>NC_000003.12:113099513-113402543 GCF_000001405.40 Homo sapiens
CCTTAGGTGACCAAGTGCATTGTAATGAACCATAATATTTTATAGAAATATTTTCTTCTGAGCAGAAGATCTCAACAGTGGGCTTAAAATATTCAGTAAACCATGCTGTAAACAGATGTGCTGTCATCCAGGCCTTATTGTGCCACATATAGAGCACAGATGAAGTAGTTTAGCATAATTCTTAAGGGCCCTAGGATTTTCAAAATGGTAAATAAGCACTGACTTCAACTTAAAGTCACCAACTGCATTAGCCCCTAGGAAGAGATTACTCAAAGCCTGTCCTTTGAAGTTGAAGCCAAGTATTGACTTCTCCTCTTTAGCTATGAAAGTCCTAGATGGCATCTTCTTTCAATATAAGGCTGTTTTGTCTATGCTGATAATCTATTGTTTAATGTAGCCACCCTCGTCAATGATCTTAGCTGGATCTTCTGACTAACTTGCTGCAGCTTCTACATTATTAGCACTTGCCACTTCCCCTTGCACTTGTATGTTATGGAGATGGCTTCTTTCCTTAAACCTCCTGAGCCAACCTCTGCCAACCTCAGGCTTTTCTTCTGCAGCTTCCTCACCTCTCTCAGCCTTCATAGAATTGAAGAGAGTTAGAGCCTTTCTCTGAAATAGTTTTTAGCTGAAGGGTATGTTGTGGCTGGTTTGATCTTCTATCCAAACAACTCAAACTTTCTGTATATGAGCAATAAGGCTGTTTTACTCTCTTATCATTCATGTATTCACTGGAGTTGCACTTTTAATTTCCTTCAATAACTTTCCTTTTTATTCACAACTGGCTAACTGATACAGGCAGCCTAGCATTTGGCCTATCTCAGCCTTCGGCATGGCTTCCTCTCCAACCTTAATCGTTTCTAGCTTTTGATTGAATGTGAAAGATGTGAAACTCTTTCTTTGAGTTTAATACTTAGAGGCCATTGTAGGGTTATTAATTGGCCTAATTTCAGTATTATTGTGTCTCAGGGAATAGGGAAGCCTGAGGAGAGGGAGAAAGAGAGAGAGAGGAATGGTTGCTCAGTGGAGCGGTCAGAACATGCACACACTGGTCAGTTAAGTTTGCTGTTGTATGTGGATTTTGTTTGTGGCATTCCAAAACAATCACAATAGTAGCATAGAAGATCACTGATCACAGATTACCATAATAGATGTAATATAACAAAAAAATTTGAAATATGATAATTATCCAAATATGACAGAGATGTGAAATGAGCACATGATGTTAGAAAAATGGTGCCAATAGATTTGCTCAATTCAGGGCTAACACAAACCTTCAATTTGTAACAAATGCCGTGTCTGTGAAGAATAGTAAGTGAAATGCAACAAAATGAGATAGCTTATATTAGCAAGCTGTTTTCACATCTTCAGAAATTTCTGCTCTCTCATTAAGAATGGTAAAATAAATTGGCATTTATATAGGATCTTTCCAACAAACAGCTCAAAAGTCAATAATGACAAAAGGGTCCTTTCTTTTCTTAAATTAGTAGACTTTATCTTTAGAGCAGTTTTAGGTTTACAGAAAAATTGAACAAAAAATACAGAGTTCCCACATAGCCCCACCTCCTCCCCATTTCCTCATCTCCTTCCCCACAGATTCCCCTATTTTTAACATATTGTATTAGTGTGATATGTGTCTTATAATAGATGAGCAATATTGATACATTATTATTAACTACAGTCTATAGTTTACATTAAGGTTTACTCTCTCTCTGTTATACATTCTATGGATTTTGACAAACATATAATAGAATACATCCACCATTACAGTAACAAACAGAATAGGTTCACTGCTCTAAACATCGCCTGTGCTCCACCAATTTATCCCTTCCATCCTCCCTCCCTCCACCTGACTATCTGGCAATCACTGATCTTTTTATTGTCTTCATAATTTTGCCTTTTCCAGAATGTCATATGGTTGGGACATACAGTTATACAATATGTAGCATCTTCAGATTGGCTTCTCTCACTTAGAAATATGCATTTAAGCCTCCTCCATGTCTTTTTGTGGCTTGATAGCTCATTTCTTTTTGCTGCTGTATAATATTCTATTGTATGGATGAATCACAATTTGTTTGTCCATTGGCCTACTGAAGGACATCTTGGTTGCTTCCAAGTTTTGGCAGCATTTAAGCTCCAGGTTTTTCTCATTTTGAAGTTAAGCAACAGAAAAGCAAGCTCCCCAGAATTCTATGCCCCCATATTTTCCCAGCTGTTTCATTGACTGGCTTGCTCCATGGCTCTGGTAACTATTTCCTTACAACTGTTCTTGGTTCCCTCCAAGCTTAATATGGCAGAGATTAAAGTCATGGTTATTTCCAAATTGCTGGATAGCTGATCCCAGACCAGGGCAAGATGAGCAACTCTAAGACACCACCATTGCAGAGGAGAGATAGTCTCAGCTGACCCAGAGGGGCCAATCCCACTAGGACCTCTGGCCCATAGAACGTGGACTTCCATCCTAGAAGCCATTTGGAGATACAATTTTCAGCCACATGCTGCAGACAGCTTTCATCTTCTGAAGCCCACCCCTGGTGTCTTAGCCAGTTTGAGTTGCTCTAACAGAACACCACAGACCGGGTGGCTCACACAACAAACATTTATTTCTCACAATTATAGAGGCTGGAAAGTCCAATATCAAGGCAGTAGGCAATTTGGTGTCTGGTGAGGGCATGCTTTCAGATTTGCAAATGGCCATCTTCTGGTTGTATCCTCACAAGGCCAAAAGAGATTATTTCTCTCATATTTCTTCTCATTAGGTATTAATGCTATCATGAGTGCTCTACCCTCATGTCCTAATTTCCTCCCAAAGACCCTACCCCCTAATGTAATCACATTGAGAGTTAGGATTTCACCATATGAATGGAGCAGGGAACCACAAACTTTTAATCCATAACACCCAGCTAGATACTAGGTAACTACAGTATCTACCTACCAGCTAGATAGATACCGTAGTTATACCCACCCTTCATACCTTTCCACCTGTGTCTTTTTAAACCCCTATTTCAGGGAAATAGTCATCATATTCTTTCCAGTTAAAAAGAGAGGGTCTTAGTAAATAGAACCATTTATTTTAGACTTCTTCTATTGGTTCCTTCTCCATGTTAATCTGCTGTTCTCTTGACTTCTACATACGCTTACAATGCACCTTGGTTTTTTGTTACTTCTCTTTTCAATGAATGTGAGGTCTTCCACCAGCAAAATTGCAGAGGTGGTCTGTCTCCTCAGGCTCCACTCTCTGTGACTTCCTTTCTACCCACCCTATGGTGCTTCTGTACTCACCTCAGTACCAGGACTCAGTACCTCAGGACTCAGTACCTCAGAACCTGGATCCTCTCACGACCTGCTCTCAGGCTTTCTTGTCACCTCAATGATCCCAAACGGTTTTCAGTAAACAACTGAAAAGAGTTTAGGCATTTTCCTGACCTTATTGCATTCCAACAAGGAATTGCCAGGATAAGCCGGAAGTAGACTAGAATGTGTGAAACTGCAAGATGCCTGACCGCCCCTCAAGGCGGCGGCAGTTTGGCTGTCCTGAGACGGTGAAAAGGAAAAGCCTTCTCTGCTGGTTAGCCCCTCACTTAGAGCTGCCTCAACATCTATTGGAAATTTTCACATCGCATAATTCATCTGTTAACATTCCCTGAAGAGGGTCCAATTTTCAGTGTTCTTGAGGCACTTCTCTGGGAGTTCACCCTTCATAGGGATCTGTTCTTGCAAGAGCTCCTCACTGGGGGAGGGACTATCATGCCCCCATCAATAAAGTGGACCTCTTCTGACCCGGCCCAAGCAATCACTCCCTAGTTTGTTGAACTTTCAGTAAAATATGGCAACAGCACTTAATATGGGATTACCCACAAACCTGTACATTAAGGCTTTAGAGGAAAGGAGACAATGCTGTACCTGTCAAAGATAGAAAAGGGATTGGGAAGGATGCAGGCATTGAAAGACAGCAATGAAGCAGGAAAAGAAATAGCACAAAGTAGGGATAAAATCTTGGCAGTCCTGAGGTAGAAGGTAGCCGAGAAAAGGTGAGAAGCAATGAGGACGAATTGAGTGAGATGGTTTAATTATGATGTGTTTTATGTACCAAGATCTCTGAGGATACAGAGGTAAAGAAGACAGTTTGTTCTCAAGATGTGGTGTGGCAATGAAAACAGTTCTCCATTTGTCACTCAAATAGCCACAGTGGGTTTGAGTTGGGAGAAAACCACTGATCATCCTAACACCAGAAAACTCTTGAGTCAGCACTGCCTTGTTTCATAAGCAGAATAAGCAAGGAAGTAGGTTCTAATTCTAATGTTTGCAAAGTACCTTCCTTGTTTGCTGAGCCACACTTCAAAGGGATTTATGTACATTACCTCGGATTAATCAGTTATCTTAAATTGTCAGTGAAAGCAAGGAAGGTTAAGTGACTTGTACAAGGACACGCAGTTAGTAATTTTTAGAGCCTGGGTCCAACTAGTTCCAAAGTCCCTTTGCATGGCCACTAGTTGGTTTGAATTCAACTTCTCTGCTCCCCTACTTAAGACCCTTTTCCTACTAAGAAAATGAAATTTTACAATTAGATATTTATTCCTTTATCTAAGCACTTTATTCTTTGGTAAATTTCTGTTAAGAGGAATAAGCCATTTTAAAAAGTTTACCATTAATGTATTCCTTGCTGAGAACAAATTTATGAAATGATTTCCTGCAAGAAAATTTTGATTTGTGTGCATGTAGAGTGGGGAGCAGTCAGAAAAAGGATGAAATGAAAGACCAGCACAGAAGAGGGAGGCAAAAGTAGAAGACATCTTTGCTTACATCTCACATTTTTGAGGGCACAAGTGCTGCTGGGGAGAAGGCTTGCCCATCCTCACTTCTCACTCTGTCCAGGGACCTTGTTACACCTCAGAGTTTCAGCGAGTGGGAGGAAACTGGAGAGGAGAATACTGGCAATGGAGAGATGGGGGCGGGAAGGGGGGTGGTGCAGGGAGGGTGGAGACAAAGGGGGAAGTAACTTTTTTAATAAAAAATGATAAGTGATGAATGGAATGGCTAATCCTGGGGAGCCCTGAGAATGCTGGACCGCCAAGCGAGGGTGTCTCTTTTTCACTTTCCTTTTTCTTTTCTTTTTAATTTTCTTTTATTTAATTTCGCTGCAGCACGTATAATCAATTACAGACTGAATTGGGATAAAGGGAGGGGAAGCACTTTAATTCATAAATCAATTTTATACGGTCATCAGTCAGGTTGTGAATGCAAATACCTCTGTCGGTTTAGGTTATTCAGAATTAATTGACTCCCACCGGGCTGGGCTACAGATGGAGAGGGGCTTTCTCACAAAGTCTGCTAGGGCCCGGCATGGGGGCCAACCACTTCCTCCCTCCCCGCTCTGGCCCTCTGGCCAGCCCCCTCTTCTCCTTTAACCTCTGGGCCCCAAACATGGAGATGATGGGGGTGGGCATCCAGCAAGAAGCTGGGTGGATAAGAGCCCAGAAAGGCTGTTTGAAGAAGGAAGGGGATTCACAGAATGATGAAAGCCCCCAAACAAACCCTCTTCAGCCCAGGCCCTGCAGAGACACCTTTATGTGATTAGAAATGCTTAACTTTCAAGGATCTGCTTTTAAGTTCTCTTGAGCTTCTTAAATAAGAAAGAAAAAAGAAAACAAGCAGAAAAGCCAGAGCCCCTGGGCTGAAGCTGAAGGGATATCATTCAAAAACCACTGGGTTGCAGGGTTTGTGTGGCTGCCAGATTTTAGCAGCCAGAGAGCAGCCCAGGACAGAGGCTTAAATGCCAGCAGGCCCAGTGAAAGTGAGTGTGAAGGCCCTGCCCAAGGCACCAGAGAGAACAGCCCTGGGCTGTAGGCCCGCAGCAGAGGATGGAGAGAGAGAATGAATTACGGTGTAGAACGGGCTGACCGAGGCTCCCTAGTTGGGCTGCACCTGTTTCCTAACTTAGGGTCTTCTATCTACAGGAGTTCATTCTAATTTGGAAAAGACACGCACCCATCCACCCACACATTCAACATATTTTGACCTCGACTTTTCCACTTTTTACCCTCAGCTAAATATACTTCTCATTGTGTTGCTCCAAATCAGACTGCCTTACTGGTTTTCAGCACTGTCCTCCTACATGGGAATCACCCAGGAGGTTTGTTTGTTTTGTTTTTCTGTTTGTTTTTTTCATGCTGTTGTCCAGGTCCACCCCTAAAATTCTGCTTTAATTGGTCATGAGTAGAGCCCAGGGAATTGGTGCTTTTTAATAGGGTTACAGATGAATCCAAAGGGCAGCAAGGGTTGGAACGACTAAAGTGTCTGAAGACTAAGGTGGGCAACTCTAAAACCCCATGCTTCCCTCCCCAGTCCCCAGTCCCTTCCCACAGCCTGGCAGTGTTTCTGAAAGTGTGCCCCATTGGAATTACATTAGAAAAAGTAAAACAAGCACATTGGTAAGAAAAACAGGAACAAAATAAAATTTGGGAATATATATGTTGTAGATTCCCTGGCCCCCTCCAGATACACTGTAGTAAAATCTCGAAACATTTAGAATTTACACAAACTCCCAGTAAGTTTGGGAACCCCTGCTGAGGCAAAGCACCAAGACGTTTGCACTGTCTTTATTTAACATCAAATCCTAGCCCGCATGGTATGCATCACATTTTGCCTTGACACATGGCAGTTGCATGTTTGTGGGTTTTGTCAGAAGAGCTCTCCTGAGAGACCAAAACCTGAATCTAGGAGCAAAATGAAAACAATCTATTTGATGAGATGATCTCAAAGGCTTCATGTTCCAAAGCATGAGTTCTTATCCATATTGAGACTTTTAAAAATCAGATGTAAAATTCTTCTGCATTTTTAATTTAACCAGCAGTTAAATAATCTTTAATACAGTTGCTTATATGTAAATGAGCCATATTCATTTGTTTTAAAAGGCTAAGAGGAATTCTTGGAAATGCTTCATTAGTCATTCGTTTGTACTACCATATGCTACTGAAAGCAATAAAACTGCTTTTCTTTAAAATTTTAAGAAATTCAGGCTTTTTTCCCCAGTCAGACTAGACTTCCTCTCCAAAAAGTTTGAAGGTCTTAATGGAGATTAAATGTGTGTTTTCTCTTGCTGTACTTAGCCAGCAGCAAAGAGAAATTTGGGCAGAGGGTGGTCCAGAATGAAAGGGCATCTTGTTCTCAAAGCCCTGGGTTTCTAAGGTAGATAATCTGAGAAGTCCATGGAGGGAATGATCCTTAGACCATTCAGGCCGTATGGCAGAGTGAATACACAAGCTTCAGCATCAGTACTGCTCAGCTTCATGACATATATTGGACAAGATATAGCACCTCTCTGTGCTTCAGTTCCTTCCTCTTTAAAATGGCAATATTAACAGTGGGTACCTCATGGGGTTATCGTGAAGAGTAAATGACATAAAGCATCTAAAAACCTAAGCAGAAAGCAAGCCCAATAACTGACAGCATTTGCCCTGAGAGAGACCATGGACGAGTGGTGATCAGTGGGCCTATTGGTCTGATTTGGTCCCTCCAGTAGCATCAGCATCACCTGGGACTCTATTAGAAATGCAGAATCTTGGGCCCCAGAATGACTGAACAAAAACTCTGAGGTAAGACCTAGCAGTCTGTGTTTTAGGAAGCCTTGCAGGTGATTCTGAACCACACTACAGTTAGAGAACTACCGGGGTAGGCTAAGAGCTGGAGGCTGGAGCCTTGGAGAGCAATTAAGAATCTCCTTAGAGTCAAGTGGTTTGTGGTAAAGAAAGAGGGTGGATTTAGCTCTCTATATAGGAAACTAAGACAAAAATGTCTTACACAATTATGAGTCTGGGGTTGGAAGAAAGGAAATTTGGTGGGACTGCAGCCTGAAGTATCCATCCAAAGGATAGAAATCTCACCAGTAACCACGTGCCTTGTACAATAGCACTGTTTGCAAACCCTTGCCACAGACAGCATCTTGTAAACCTCGAGACCTCAGGAAACCTTCGTACCCCCCATACCTCTAGCCCCTCTTGAGATTCCAAGGCCCAGGGGTGCCTCCAGCCTCATTTATCCCTGGGACTTCAGCAAACTACACTACCCAACTATGTCACCAGATGAGAGCAGAAAAGTCTGAACCTCCTTCCCTAGACTTGTGCAGAGAGGGAGAGCCTGCCAGAAAAAGGGACACAGAAGAGCCATCTCAGCCATATTGCTTTGAGATGTCAGTAGGATATATGTGTATCCCCTTCCTTCTCCCACAGTAAGGAGTCTCACAGAGCCAGAAGGTGGAGATGGGGGGAAGGCAGTCTGAAGGGGTGGATACTAAAGAATTTGGAAGTCATCTGCAGAGAGACAATTTTTTGAAGATATCCAAAAAAGAGAAAAGATAGTGAAGTTTGGGGGCTTCAGAGAGAAACTTCATATTCAGATTTACAAGTGGCTAAAAGAGGCACAGGTGGGAGCTGAAGGAGGTGGCAGGTAGGTGCTGGTTTAAGGGATCTACTTCCATTTATAGAAAATAAAAAAGTATTATCTTTTCCTCATCCAATGTAAGTTTCATGGCTGACGCCTCTATAACAAAAGACGGATTTTAGAGAAAAGACAGAAATACAGAAAAGCATAACAAATTTATTTAGCCAAAGCTTTACATGACGGGAAACTTCAGAAATGAAGACCCAAAAATTCAGGGAAAACTTTATTTTTATGCTAGAACTTGATAAGGAATGAACAGTCTTGCAGAAGTGTGATTGGACAAAAGGGGGTATGATCTAATGGTACAAAGCTGGGAGAACTTAGGCCTGTTTTTTCAGATTCTTCTTGACATCTCTGTATCTCCATTCCTTTCTGCCAAGTATATGGCAGGACATTTGCCATATGAGGGTCTTATGACCTACTTTCAGGAGAGTTGGTAAGAGAATTGTTTTATGGCTGGCCCTCTCTTCTTAGAAAGGCAGAAGATCAGAGAATTAACTTCTTACCTCTGTGATTTTCTCCATTTCCAAGGTGCCGCGTTTTGGAGTAGTGTGTCCTGTACCTGTCACCTTTAACAAACAATTATTGAGCACCTACTGGGTGCCAGATACTCCACCAGGCTCTGAGAGGACAGAAATGCATAAGACACAATTCCTGCTCTCAAGGAGGCCTTTCAAAAAGAAGAGAGTAGAAAAAATTCACACATTTCCCCCATTCCAAAATGACATCTGAAGAAAGGAAAAGAAAAAGGTAACTCCCACTGTGTCTGTAAACATTTGATTCAAATTTGAGATTTGGGGTTCAGCAATCAGCTGAACCTCTCCCTCTCCTTTACGTGCACGTGCAAACACACACACACACACACACACACACACACACACACATTCTGTAGCATGTGTGTCCTCATCCAGCTGACTAGCGAAGGATAGGCCTAGTTGTTGCTGGCCCTGCCTGTGCTACAATTTTGATCAGACAGGTATTAGAAGTTAATTTCAGAAAAAAATCATAGCAGTTTCTGGCACATAAGCCAACTTCAACCTAACCTTTCGATGAGGTAAGGGTAAAGGAATCTGATAAACACATTTAATTTCCTGTGAAATGAACAGGGGTTTAGAAACTAAGAGGGAAGTGGGATTTAGACAAATACATTTTGGGTTTTATCTCACAGGACACATAAAACCCTTTTGTTCCATTTGTCATAGTTCCAGGCCCACCGGATCTCTCCTACCCTTGACATGCACCTCCATTACCTATCTAAGCCTCAACTTCCCAGGGTCTCCCTCTGAACTTTCCCCTTCCTAGGGGAAAGAAGGCAAAGCAACATTGTTGTGATGTGATGTCCAGGACTGGGGTCACATGGCCCCCTCCAGATCTGTCCCAGTGGTCACTTTCCCAGGTTCCTGTCTGACTTTCACATTTTGTCTAAATGTGATACAATTATTTCTGGGGCAGAAAGGAGACTCTAAAAGGGGCCCTTTGGTTACTCTCCATGCACCGCCCCCCCAGGGTCCTGAGACCTGTTCACTTGATCCCAGAAGGAAGAAACGAGCTCTTATTCCCTCTCAGACCTCTGCTGATACTTGTTTTTCAGCTAAGTTCAAGACAGCCAAATGAATTTTTCAGAGAGACCACAGCTGGCTTGTCAGGACCCAGGTAACAAGATGAAAATAATTGAGAGAGGAAAAATCCCAGAGCCCCTCAGGTGTCATTTTCACAAAGTTTTCTTCTGGGTATCCTTATGCGTTCCGAGTTATTCATTGGTTCTCTTCTGTTGTCCTCACTGGCAATTTTCCTCTGCCTCTTCTTCTTTCTCTACAGTTTTCCAAAAAGCATAAGCTATGTGTCCCTGATCCTGAGCAAAGTTGATGTGAAACCTTGTTTTTTTTTGTTTTTTGGTTTTTTTTTAGAACATTTCATAGACAAAACAACCCCGCTGCAGCTGGAGGCTGCTGGGATTTCTGTGCCTTGTTTTAATGCATGGGACCTTTCATGAAATCTGGGGCAGTTAATGGAGGTGGGGTGGAAAAGAGAAGAGGAGGAGGGGGAAGAGAGGCATGAACTTTTACACCCAAAGTGGGACTTCAGAAGAATTTACAGTCGTCTTCTGTGGAGACAGTTAAGATTTTTTTTTTTTTTTTTTTTTTTTTAGACGCAGCCTCATCCTGTCACCTGGGCTGGAGTGCAATGGCGTGATCTCGGCTCACTGCAACCTTCATCTCCCGTGTTCAAACGATTCTCCTGCCTCAGCCTCCCAAGTAGCTGGAATTACAAGCACCTGCCACCATGCCCAGCTAATTTTTGTATTTTTAGGAGAGATGGGGTTTCACCATGTTGGCCAGGCTGGTCTCAAACTCCTGACCTGGTGATCTGCCCACCTTGGCCTCCCAAAGTTCTGGGATTACAGGCGTGAGCCACTGTGCCCGGCCGAGACTGTTAAGATTTTATTGCCCTAGTACCAGCAGTTATGATGTTCTATAGAACTTATAGCTGAGCCCATGCCAGGGATTCCCCAGCTCACTGAAGCTGGAAGGAAGCCAACTGGACTGCCGAGTTCACTTTAGGAAGAGAGAGGGAGTTAACTTAAAGTAGGAGGTGGGTTGGAGGAAGGATAGAAGCCCAGAAAGTAAGTAAGGCATTGTAAAGTCACACCTTAGGCTCTGCAGTCAGACAGAGCTGGCTGTGGGTGACTTTCCGATATTTACTAGCTTAGGATATTAAGCAAGTGCTTTAATCACGCCAAGACTCAGTTTTCCCATCTGTGAACTGGAGGTCATAATAGTACTTGCCTTGTTGGATTGTTGTGAGGATTCGATGAGATAAAGTCTGAAAAGAATTTAGCACAGTGTCTGGTTCACAGTAAAAGTTAAATCAATATTATTTTCTATTATCATAATTATAAATAATGGCATGAGCAAAGGAGAGGCTGCGAGTAGAGTTCGCACTTTCCCTCCCTAAGTGTCAGTGCGTCTGGAGAGAAGACAAACATTCTTACGTATAAACAGTCCCTTCCGTGTGACTCTCTCATCCAAGCCTGCTGCATACCTTGGGTGTGAGGGCAAAGAGTAGTAAAAAGGAAGAAAAATGGAAGAAGAAAGAAGAGACCACAAAAGCAGAAGAGATTCACCGGGGGTGAGGGGCACCAGGGCAGCAGGGTGGGGGCAGGAATGATTGGAAAAAGACATGCAAAAGACAACCACGTGAAAGAAATGAATATGGATATGGAAATTGTCAAAAATGGAAAGAAGTTTTGCAGCTGGATGTGGACAGAGCAGGAAATGTGGAGGAGAGGTGTAGGAGTCTAAAAATGTACAGGGTTTAGTTTGCCGGCCAACACCTCCTCTGGGGAGGTAACAACTCCTGAAAGCCATGAACTTTTAAAAAGGAACCTAAACAGCACAGCAAACCTTCCTGAAGAACATATAACCTCACTGTGTACTTTTTGTCAGCCTCAATTCCTTCCCCACAACTCTCACTGAGCCATTGATCAGTGACTCACCCTTATCTCCCACGATCTCACACTCCGCTGTAACCCTAAAGAAAACTCTGCTCCTTAAGGTAATCCTTGACACTGTGCTGTGCAGGCCTCTGCTGCAAAGGGTAGGGGCAAAATTACACCATGCCTGGAGCTTAGTAAGTGCTCCAGGCATGGGGTAATTCAACAAACAATGTTGGTTGAATGAACAGAGGGATGAATGGTGTGGTATACTTGAGGCAAGCCTACATGCAAGTCAACAAGACTGCTCATTGGATCACTTGAGCCCAGGAGTTTGAAATCAGCCTGGGCAATATAGTAAGACCTTGTCTCTACAAAAAAAAAAAAAAAAAAAAAAAAAAATTAGCCGGGTGTGGTGGCACATGCCTGTAGTCCCAGCTACTTGGGAGGCAGAGGTGGGAGGATCCCTTGAGCCCAGTAGTTCGAGGCTGCAGTAAGCTATGATAGTGCCACTGCCCTCCAGCCTGGGAGACAGTGAGACTGTCTCAAAAAAGAAAGACTGCTCATGGGGACAGGATTTCTTTCTGGGGGAAAGAAATGTCCTGGAATTAGATAGTGGTGATGGTTGTACAATTTTCTGAATGTATTAAAACCCACTAAACTGTACAATTTAAAACGGTAAAACAGTATGTGAATTGTATCCCAATAACTTTAAAAAGCACAAACTATAGCCAGGGAGAAGCAAACAGTCATGACTAGTACCTCTCTTCCAATTGCACTCTTTTTTTTTTGCTTTGTTTTCCCCCCGTAAGTTATTGGAGTACAGGTGGTATCTGTTTAAGTGAGTAAGTTCTTTAGTGGCAATTTGTGAGATTTTGGTGCACCCATCACCCAAGTGCACTCTTGACACCGGGTTCTCTTCTCATCCTTTTGCTTCTTCTCAGGACATAGTGATTATCTTTAAAAGCCTTTCTCATGTGGTTTTTGTTTGTTTGTTTTTGGATTTTCAAGTGTTCTGGAAATCTCAGTGGGACCAACGATGGTTAGATCTCGTAGTAATAAAGTGACTATGTAAGAGAAGCTCAGTTCTTTCTTGAACATTTCTCTAGGACCTGTGCTAACTTTTCAAGCTTGAACAGTCCTCAAGATAAAGATTCACTTTCATAGCGAGCGTCTTTCACATGGCCCCAGCCACCTGAGGCTCGGCATCAAAGAAATTTTTTAGGAAATCTATTGCCTAACTATCATGTCTCTTAGCCTTATAGTGCCCTTATGGAACACCTTATCTTCCCTGATAGTCAAGAGCATTTAAATGAACAGAAACGGTTTCCCAGATGGGATGGAGAGGAAGAACACAGTGTAGCAATAGATTCTCCCGGGATTTTTTTGTTTTTGTTTTTGGTTTTGGCTTATTGTTGTTGTTGTGTGTGTGTGTTTGAGTCAGTGTCTTGTTCTGTCACCCAGGTTGGAGTGCAGTGACATGATTTTAGCCCTCTGTAACCTTGAACTCCTGGGCTCAAGTGATCCTTCCACCTCAGCCTCCTGAGTAGCGGTATCATTGCGGCCAGCTCTCCTTTTCCTTTAACTTTCCTGTTTAGTCACAACCTGCCTTCTTATACATACCTATAAACACATGGACATCAATATTAAAAAATGTTGTTTTCTATGGACTTAAGTTTGGTGAGATTGTGTGGTTAACAGAGCAATTCGCTAAGGATTTTGTGTGGAGCTTACTTCACTTGCCTGCTTAACACTGGCAAAAGAAACTCCTGAATCTTTTAACATCGTTTAATACGTCAGTAACAGACCGTTTAGACAAATAGGATTTTAAATTTGGGGGCTGGAATCTGCTATATTCCTGTACAATAAAAAGGAAATGAGTCCATACATGTCTGCAAACTAAGGTTTGGGGCAAATTCTGAGTCTCCAAGAAAAATTGGGAAAAGCAGGCTATTCATATTCATATTCCTTCTTCAGCATTCTATACATGCAGAATAAAACTGTGAAAAAGTGGAATGCTACCTATTCAAACTTAATTTTGGGCCTAAAAAGAAGTTTAAATATTCACTCATTCAGGGACTTTATTTGAACTGAGAAACAGAAAGTTCATTTATTGCCTCAGGAGCTTCTGAAAAATCCCATCCAGTCATTCATTCTGTGTAACTTGTTACAACCCACTGAGAATCTCAGTTACTGAACTACAAAGTGAGTTTTTATCTCTAAGGCCTACTATTCCTATATTTTTGCCATGATGTCATCATCAGCCAACCAGGGCCTCAAAAGCTCATAAGTTAGCAGTGCTATCAACTGAATTGCTTGGCAGCATCATGAGGTGGGGAATTTGTTTAAAAGCCCCTTTAGGCTTTGAAAATTATTGAAGAAAAGCTTTTAGAACCTTTTTTTTTTTTTTTTTTTTTTTTGCCTTTGAGGATCCCCTACCTGTTCAAGGACACCAGGTTGGGAAACACTGACCATGTAATCTGTGAGGCCCTTCCCAGCTTTAAGAGTCTCTGAGTCTGGAAAAAGGAGGCAAATGAGTAAATCATGAGTTACCTGGATATGCCCCTTCTTCCAGAAGGCCCTGCCGATTCTCCCTGAAAAGTAGAGTTGCTCCCCGGCGGGATTGCCCCCTCAGAACCAGCTATGACTGTCCTCATTGGGGAAAACAATGCAAAACCTTCAAAACTAAAACAAATAGTCATTATTTGGATTTAAATCCTAGTTGTTTAATTTCCCCGAATGTCTTTAGTCTGGAAATTTAAGGAAAACAACTTTTCCTTAGTTACGTCCAATGACACTTTGTAAATATAGGAGATGAACAGAAACATCCTTTTTTACTGTGCCCCAGATAATTAATGATAAAACTCTTGAGCTCAGAGAGACCCTAGAGAGTCCTTACCCAGTGGGAAACAGCCATTCTGCTGAAATGTAAGAGCAAAGCAAAGGAAAGGAGACAAAGAAGACTTCTAGAAACCTGGAGATTCTAGGGCTTCTTTCCCAATCCCTGTTCCCTTGTAAAGGGGCCGAGGCCTAGACTCCATACGCATCCTCTCTCTCTTATACCTCTTAATGACATGTATTTCTAGATACTGTGGGTTTCTAGACACTGTGGGCGGCAACCTTTTGTTTTTTAAATCTCCCTTGGTGCAGAGAATCCAGAATAGTGTTCTTTGCTGGGAAAAAAATGACATCAATGTCAGTAGCCTTTCTCATGGTGGCCACATGGTCACAGGGCTGCCTCTGCAGGCAGAAAGCTTGCAATGTGACTAACTTTGTCCACTTTTATTAAAATGTTTACTTTGCCATTGTCTGACTTCTAAAGATCAAGATCTTTTTTTTTCCTCAAGCCTAGGGTTCATCACTCATTTTGGAAAGGGGAGAGTTCCTCGCTATATTCGTTAGAGGTCTAATGGAGTCCCTAAGAAGATTTTATACTTCTCTTTGGAATCAAAAAAGAGGACATTATTGAAAGCCATAATTTGTATACTTTTCACTGCACCCCATCAGTCCTCATTCTTCCTTCCCAGAGCACCTTATGCAGAGTAGTGCCCTTTTCTTGATGTTCCTTCAAGAAAGTGCTTCCTGTTTTCAGGAAGAATGTGTTCTTCTCTTCAGCAATGGATGAGCTTCTTCCAGGGAAGTTGACCCATTTCCTGATGGCCCCCAGCAGAGTCTTTGCTTGGATGTTATTTGCTTCTTGGATTGATTTTGCATTGCTCCTCCAGAGAAATTGGAAAACCATCCAAAAAACTTTTAGAAATGTAGTATTTCTAGAAATACTACAAAAATAGAAGTACTAGAAAAAAAAAACACCGGTATTTATTCATCATTATCATTGCCATCATCCTGTCTCTCATTGTGATGTTTAAAACCTTCTGTAAACAAATAATCAGAGGCTGAGCATGGTGGCTCATGCCTGTAATCCCAGGACTTTGGGAGGCCAAGGCAGAAGGATCACTTGAGCTCAGGAGTATGAGACCAGCGTTGGAAACATACTGAGACCTTGTCTCTACGAATAATTAAAAAAAAAAAAAACTTACCAGGCATGGTGACATGCACCTGTGGTCCCAGCTACTTGGGAGACTGAGGTGGAAGGATCACTTTAGCCTGGGCAATCAAGGCTGCAGTGAACAATGATCATGCCACCACACTCCAGCCTGGAAGACAGAGCAAGACCCCATCTCAAATACATACATATATACATACAAATGATCAAGCAGATTTCCGGTGTCAGAAAAGCAAAAGACTGCTATTGTTTTCCATATTTATTGACTCTTGAACATGAAGCAAACTTAAGTTTACCTGTATTTTAAGGAAGTAAACCATGTTGAGAACATTAAGGCTTTCTCTTTAACTCCTATGCTGGGCAGCACCTTCAAATACAAAGATGAAGAGTGGGAACAACTTGCAAACCCTCCTTCATGCTGTGGCTTATGCCTGGGTGATCTTGGCTAGTGCTCACCACAGACCCTCGGAGTGGGTGTTATTAACATTATATATGCCTTCTCACTTTTTCAACCCACAGTGGCTCCTAGTTAACCCTTGATTATCTTTGTTTCATGCTAAGCTCCTCCATTTGTTTGCTTAGTCGCTCTTATTCCCATACGCCATTCCCATTTCATCTCCACAACCCCTGTGCAAGGTATTTAAGGTGTATTTGAATGTGTTCTTGCAAAATATATTATTCTGTGCACATGTATTTCCATTTATATAAATGTATTTTAACACATTTTTTCACATTTAAATCTCTGAAGTCAGGATTCATCTTACAATAAATGGTATGCCACCATTTAATTGGCAGAGCTTTTTTTCTTTTTTATTGATAGTCCATTGAACAATAGGTGGTATTTAGATTTGATGAAATATGGTCTATATCACACCCTAACCTTACTTTTCTTCCCCCTGGAGTACCAGTTTAAGGCCATGCATGCTTCATGTACTCATCTCATCTGTCACTTCTCACTGCTGCTTAGCCCTCCAGGGTGGACTTTCTGTCCACTCCCAAAGCCCGCCAGGTTGGCCCTTACTCCTTGAAACCACAAACAACACTGCTTGTACTATCCCCTATGGAACACTGTAAGCATTTCACAGGGCTATAATATCTAGGATTGAAATCAGGGGGTCATATGATTTGTAAATATTAATTTGACTAAGTAGAGCCAGATTGCTCTCCAGAACGGCTGTGCTATCTATATTCCCACCAGTGGTACATGAGGGTCCTATGTGCCCACATCTCTGCCAGCAGTTGGCATTATCCAACATGTAAAATCCTCATTTTAAATGTGAGAAAAGAGATTGTGCTGGTGAACTCTATTCCCTTTTATCAAGAAGAACGTGATGTAGATGTATCTAGTGGTACCAGAGCCTGGACTACACCAAGGTACTTGATTGAGCCGGTAGCCAGATACATGAACTGTGGTTTCTTTCTTGCTTGCTTGCTTGCTTGCTTAGTTTCTTTTTTTTTCTTTTTTTTTTTTTTTTTTTTTTTTTTTTGAGATAGAGTCTTGCTGCTGTTGCCCAGGCTGGAGTGTAATGGCACGATCTCGGCTTACTGCAACCTCCATCTCCCGGGTTCAAGCGATTCTTCTGCCTCAGCCTCCCGAGTAGCTGTGATTACAGGCACCCGCCACTATGCCCAGCTAGTTTTTGTATTTCTAGTAAAGATGGGGTTTCACCATATTGGCCAGGCTGGTCTCAAACTCCTGACCTCGTGATCCGCCTGCCTCACCCTTCCAAAGTATTGGGATTACAGGCATAAGCCACTGAGCCCAGCCTGTGATTTCTAAATTTATGTTTCTTCCACCAACTAAGAATGTCCCTTGGCTTCTCTGGGCATCAGTGTTCTCATTCCTTAATTAGAGGGGTAGCATTTGATGACATCCAGGGCTCTTTTCCAAATCTCTAATTCTCCAGCTCTGAACTCTCTTTAGTCCATCAATAGCAGTTGTTTCTGACGGCATCTAAGTGCCTTTGTGGGCTTCAAGATGTTGGAAAGGAAGGGCTTTCTGGTTGTACCTTTCCATCTAAGCGACAAGAGAACCTAATGAATAATAAAGCACTCACATTTAACGTTTTCACCTTTCATATGAGCCTTCTCTCTCAATCTTCCCCACCCTCAACGGAGTCAAGGACCAGAAATAAAAGACAAAGTATTTAATGTACTTTTGCAAAGCTCAAGGGCCTAGATCTGGCCTTGTTCCAGTCTGAAAAGTGTTATTTCTGTTCTGGTGAGGGATGGATTGTATCATTTCACTAAAGGCAAAATCTAGGAAATAAAGGAAATGACATCACCCAAGCAGGGAGAAGCCAAATATCTATCCTTAGTCATTTCTTGAAAAGGGATGGAGAGCTGAGATATGACGTTGGTAAAGCTTTGAGGAATTTATGGCTAAAATGCTCCCTCTTCACTTATTTTTCTCTTCATTGGATGAGGATCTGCAGACTTTGCTGGCTTACAACCAGCAGTCTGAAAGGATCATTGGTGCATGTTTGTATATTCCAGCCTCATAGGGATTCACTTCTGACAGTTCCCTAAGAAAGAGGAGCCCTTCTTAGGCCTCACAGATGAGAGTTTGGCAATTGGTTTCCACCAGGAATCTCCAGATTCAACCTTATTAGCCCTTTCCCATGTCACCTTCTTGTCAGGTTTCCAAATCTCAGAGACCTGGAGAGGCTGTATTTCTGGCCAAGTGTCAACTTCCTCTCATCAAGAAGAAAATACATCACTTGCTACAGAGGGAAATTCCAGGGTGAGATGTCTTGGGTCCTAGTCTCTAGTCCACAGAGCTGGTGCATCTTCTCTCTCTCTCTCTCTCTCTTTCTCTCTCTCTCTCTCTCCTGATTCCTTAGAGTTCTTATAGTTCCATTCTGAATACCCAGTATACCTCTGTCTATCCTGGCATTTTAATGGGTAGGGTAGGAATTGCTATTGATAGGTACAACTACATGCTCATGTGCTGTTTGGTATCCTAATTTGGTGTCCACTCAGCTGGGTGTTTCGCTCTTGCTTTTCTGCATGAACTGTCCCAGTGGGCCCCTTTGTCAGCAGCAGGATTCAATCTTCTCCCCTTCAATAGCCAAGTTGGGAGATTTATTTTACTCTGCATGGCCTGGGTCTGCTTACTGGGAAGAGTTGCTTAGCCAGTTCACATCAGCCCTTCAGGGACCTGGATGGGAAATCCAGTATCAGCCCACATGGAATATTGCTTTGGCTGAGCTTCAGGGTAGTGGTTCAGAGTTCCAACATGCTTACCACTTTGTAGGGTCACTGCTAGGACACAAGGGGCCCTACATGGCTCAGCTGATAGGGCAGTCCTCTGGTCTGGGGCTCATTGCTTCTTTCTTAAACTTTAATAGCAGAAAACGCAGTGCACTGGGAAGCCCTATCTTACTGATCACACTAGCTGAGATAAATGAACATTATAATCAGCCTCACATCACTACAGCCCAGGTCTCCCTCTGCCCCAACTTTTTTTTTTTTTTTTTTTTTTTGAGACAGAGTCTTGCTCTGTCACCTAGGCTGGAGTGCAGCGTCGTGATCTCGGCTCACTGCAACCTCCACCTCCCAGGTTCAAGTGATTCTCCTGCCTCAGCCTCCCAAGTAGCTGGGATTACAGGCACCTGCCACTATGCCTGGCTAATTTTAGTATTTTTAGTAGAGACAGGGTTTCACCATGTTGTCCAGGCTGGTCTCGAACTCCTGACCTCAGGTGATCCACCCATCTGGGCCTCCCAAAGTGCTGGGATTATATGAGCCACTGCAACTGGCCAAGGCCAGGTTGTTGTTTTCTTTTTTTTTTTTTTTTTTTTTTTTTGAGATGGAGTTTCGCTCTTATTGCCCAGGCTGGAGTGCAATGGTGCAATATCAGCTCACCACAACCTCTGCCTCCCAGGCTCAAGCAATTATCCCGCTTCAGCCTCCCAAGTAGCTGGGATTACAGGCATGTGCCACCACACCTGGCTAATTTTGTGTTTTAATAGAGACGGAGTTTCTCCATGTTGGTCAGGCTGGTCTCGAACTCCCGACATCAGGTGATCCGCCCACCTCAGGCTCTCAAAGTGCTGGGATTACAGGCGTGAGCCACTGCACCCAGCCAAGGCCAGGTTTTTTACCAAAAGAGTTTTTCAAGAAAATATTTTGTGATATTTAGAGCTCTTTTTTAGATTTAGAAATTGTAGATAAGAGACTATAGACTTAATTAATGAAAAAAGCATGCTAAGCCTTCGGCACAAGAAAGTTATAGCTTCAAATCCCATCAGTCTGATTTGAGGGCAGTTGCTTAACTGCTCTGAAGTTCAGTTTTCTCATTTGCAAAAAAAACAAAAACAAACAGACAAAACCAGGTTATTTTTACTACCTTGCAGTGTTCCTTAGAAAATGAAAAGAAACATTGTGTGCGTAGCACCTGACATCAGGTAAGTAAAAATAAAAAAGGTATTTATTATTTTTAGGATATGTGGAGATATGCAACGATGAAGAAAAATGAAATATTGAGAGAAACAAGAAACTTAGATTGGATGAGGTGGATCAGCTATAGTGGAAAACCTTATCTTCAGTGTGAGAAGCAGTGGGGGGAAAAAAGTCTGAAGGATGAAAACTTGTTAATGAGCTAGGTGGGTTCCAGGGAAGGAACATGGCACCTTGGAGCTGAAGAATGGGCAAAAAGTTCGGCTAGAAAAGGTTGAGAACCAGCATGTTTACCTGCCTATTGCATTTGTAAAGAACTAGTCAATGATAGCATCAAGTGAATTTTTCTGACACGACCATCTGATTTTTATTCACCTGGGTATATAATTAATTGCACTTTGAACCAAGTGACTAAATTCATGTTGCACCAAAGCCCCCAAGCAGAAATGAGAAATACATTACAACAGCTGCTACTTAGCGCATGCTTCCCTGAAGAGCCAGGCACTGCGCTAAGCCATTTTACGTTCATTCCCTCCTTCAATTCTCACAATGCTATGAGGTATGTATTGTTTTCCCCATTCTATAGGTGAGGAAACTGAGGCTCAGAGAGGTTAAATGATTGCCCAAGGTCACATAGGTAGTGAGTGGCAGAGCTGGAATTCACTTCAAAGTCTGATTGGCTGCAAGAACCATGTTCTTAACCACTGCCATATGCTTATCTCCTGCTGGTGAACAAGAAATGTCAGTCATTGGTTTTATATGCGAAATCCCTAATCTCTCAAATATTGGAAATGGAAGGCTACCACAGTGGAATGTTTGTGGGAAAGATCTTGAGCCCCTTCACCACAGTCCCTCTCTGAGCTGTGTCCTAGCCCTAGGCTGACATCCACCAGATACCACCAGCCCAGGGCCAGGACCCCACAATCCTTTTAAGGGCCCATAAACATGTTTTAACTTATCATAAAATCAAAAGAAAAAATGATGAATATAATTTATACCAATGGAGTTATAAAAGATAATTTTTAATACTTTTTTATGGTGAAAGGTGTGCACAAGGGCAAAAGTACCTAAGGCCCATGAAATGCAGCCCTGCCTGTTTTCTCAAATAATCCAGAAAGTGTGTGGTGTGTAACTGTTATCCTTGCATAGCATAGGCTCCTCTATCATTCATTTGGGGGGTTATATCATCCTAGAAACCCTTCAGTGGAAAACACACGCTTCTCTTGGCAGGCTGTTCTTTTTGGCTAACATAAAAGTTGATACAAATATGTCCAAATACTCAAATATACAAATGTGGACAGATATTTATGCCTCAAGACACACAAGCTAAACCCCAGAATAGTATACCCCTGATTGTCCACGGGCATAAATTCACAAGCACCAGGGGTCAGCCCTAGGAACTTCAGTGCAAATATACTGGCCAACATGTATGCACGCACACACACACACACACACACACACACACACACACACACACACCATTTCCCCCAACAATAAACAAACAGACAATGAGCCAAGAAGATCAAATTACCATCCCATGAACAGTTAAAAAGAGAAAAATCTCAGATTTGGAGCCTAATCTGCAGTAGGTAAATAAAGGGGTAAGAGTGAGTTGGAAAAGGGAGAATGCTTTGCAAATTGAACCGATGTACTTTTTTTTTTCAAAGTCCAAGACCAGTTCTCCTTAATGATGGTTCCCAGAGATTCTCCAATTAGGCGTCCCCTGGTCTTTGAGGAGTCCAGATCTGCACAACTTGGCAATAGCATCAGATTTGATCTTTTACGGCCCAGAGGCTTGAACTGGGAGTTGAGAGGAGGGGAGAAGGGGAGTGGGTAAAAGTTTTGTGAGGGCTGCATGGTTAAAAACAAGTTCAAAAACAGCTGAAAAGACAGGGAAGAAACGATCTCATTAACTGGACCCCTTTCACCTCTTTCCTTTCCCATTCCACCCACAATTCTCTTCCTTCCACAAAATGTACCCAGGCAAAACAGATGAAAGGAAAGAATTATCCACCCTATTCTCCAAAGCCAAGGGTTTTTATTTTGTTTTTGTTTTTGTTAATTGGGGGTAAAAATGTGAGGCAACCTCTGGGCAAAACTACTTTTGAGTCCTGCCTGTTTGGAATCAAATCCCAAACCTATGCTGATAGGAAGATATATACTTACCTCAGTATGGTTTCTGTCATAGTTATTTGACTAGAATATTGAGAGATTTGCATGTTTTGGGCCAGAAAGATATAATACTATCTTTTGAAATAATAACCACAATAAGCGATCATTGTGCCAGGCACTACGCTAAGTACATTATCCGCAATAATGCCATTTAATCCTCACAGCTTCATAAAGTAGGTGCTGTTATTGCAGAAACAGGATTTTATAGAAAAGGAAACTGAAGCTTGGAGATGTTAAATAATTTACCCAAGTTATCACAGCTATTAAGTAGCTCAGATGCAATGTCACTCAGATGTGTTGTTGTATAATTTACATTGTGGGTTTGTTCTATTATTCATCATTTAATTTTTTTCCAAGCTGTAACTACTAGAAATAATATATTTTTAAAATTGTACTTTAAAAAAATTTTATTTTTAATTTTTGTGGGTATATAGTAGGTGTATATAAATATACACTGAGACACTTGATACAGGCACGCAATGGGTAATATTCACATCACGGTAAATGGAGTATCCATCCCCTCAAGCATTTATTCTTTGTGTTACAAACAATCCAATCATACACTTTTTGTTTTTTAAAAATGTGACAGTGTACTTTTTGTGCAAAAAGCTTTTATCTTATTTTTGATTATTTTCTTAGAATAAACTCATAATAGTAAGATGTCTAGATCAAAGGGCTTAAATATTTTTTGGTTCTCACGGTATGGTGCCAAATTGCACTTTCAAGGGCCTTTGCCAATTTACGCTGGGAATATCAACGTAAGAGTGACATATTTGTGTTATATCCTTTCAAATACTGTCATTTGAAGATGAGATTTTTCCACTCTCTGGTCACCATTCCACATTCAAAGGCAAGGGTTCTCAGGAATTCTGTTTCAGTGGCCAGGGGTATTCCAAGGCTATGAAGAAGCTGGATTATAATGGCCTATGCAAAGGTCCCATCTCCCATCTGTTAGCGAATCCCTTTAATTCTACCATTAGGTACTCTTCCTTTTGGCTTAAGGCTTAGAGTGTTTCTAAAATGCCCTCTGGAAGGTGTTACTTTAAAATGGCTGTTGCTATTTATGGTCTCTTGTGAAGATGCAGGGACTACTAGGTTGTTTTGAGAAGAAAGGGAAGCCAGTGATTGGAGTTCTGGGTGGGAAGGGGGAAGGAAAGGGAGTCAGGGAGGGTTCAGAGCTAAGAGCAGGTCCTTTCCCTGTCCATTTAGCCAATGTTTTTATTTTTCCTATTTTTCCTTTTCGGTGCCAGTGCATGGGAAAGTAGATTTCATTTATTCATTCACTCATTCCTTTTTTTTTTTTTTTTTTTTAATAAAAAGGGCTTCCCTCTGTTTCTTGGGCTACAGTGCAGTGCTTCAATCATGGGTCAATGCAGTCCTGAACTCCTGGGCTCAAGCAATCCTTCCACTTCAGTCCCAAGTAGCTAATACTACTAGGTATGTACTACCATGCCTGACTGATTTATTATCATCATCATTATTATTATTATTATTGTAGAGATAGGGATCTTGCTATGTTGTTCAGGCTGGTCTTGAACTTCTGGCTTCAAGCAATCCTCCTGCTTCAGCCTCCCAATATGCTGGGATGTGAGCCACAATGCCTGGCCTCCATGCTTTTTTGAGTGCTTACTCTGATGTAGACTCCAATTACAGGCATTGGAGAGGGACACATCAGTGAACAAAACAAAACCTCTATCCTAATGAGGCCTATATTTTAGTGAGGGCAGACAGACAAATAAGTATATATAATGTCAGGAAGTGATGAATGCTATAAAATGTTGTCTCTGAAGAAGAAAATTGTCATAAGCCATGGTCTCTTCCTATGCTGGAGACAGGCAATCCACAGACTTAAGGGTTTGGGGACATATGTGTGAAACTGGAGGATATGGCAGGAAAATAAAAATTATAGGCAAAGCAATTATTAGCAAACAAGACAGTTTTCCGACTCTTGTTAGAAAGTACTACAGATTCCCTTCACTTCCCATATGAAAAATCTATGATTTTAGTCAGCAGGTCCTTCACTTTGCTGTAAAAATGTAAAAGATGCATCTAGATACAGTGTTATTGTTCTGTATGTAGATACAATGTTACTGTTCTACAGCAAGGGCAAAAAAATTCTTGCAGGCTTCCCACTGAGAAGGGCCTGTGCTGGAACAAGTAAAGTAGAAAGCCCTGGGGAAGTCTAGACTTGCCCCAACCCTCTGAGAGACTTGGGCCAGGCCCTTCACTGCTCTGCCCTATACCTCTTGAAGCCTAATTAAGTAAAATGAGGAGTATAGAAAGGAAGGTCTCTGTGGTCCCATCCAACCTGAGCCATCTTTTTCTACCCTAGCTTACATTTCTGCCTGGGAGACTTACAAGCGCACAACAGGATTAATCCATCAGCTCTGCTGGGCTGGGAGAGGGAGGGAGCCAGGCGGAGGAAGTATCAATGATACCGCACTCCAGTGAGCACTGAAGAGGCTCCATTCATGGACCAACAAAACCTGGAAGAAGCCTCAGACTTAATCAGCCAAGGAGGCTCCAGCAGCAGGAACAAAAGAAATCAAAGCTTCACTGGGTAATGCAGGCACAGCTTCTGTGTTCCTCCTGAGACCTGAACCCACTGGGTCCCCAGCAGACAAGAAGTGGTGGGCGTGGGGGCGTGGGCGCGTGGGCGCGTGAGCGCGCACTCGCGCACACCCACACCCACACACACACACAGACACACACACACATACTGAGGGCTTACTGGTTTCCAGAAGAAAGGAGAGAACAAAGATGTGCAGACAAGGCACCTGCAGAATGAGACTATGGCTGATATCATTAAACAAGAGCTTCATTTAAACTTAGACCATACTCTAGGAATGCTTACACAGTAGTTTAATTTTTTTCAGTTAAGATTCATGTTACACTTAATAAGTGAGGGATGCTTTAATGAGATTCAAAATGAAACTCTTGCATGCACTTCTGCATAAAACCTTTCAGGGTCCTAGAGTTACTTGTTTCTTAACATATAGCAGTTGCAATACTTTGTATCATGCCCTTCCACAGAACATCTAGCTAGGCATATTTCTTTTTGTTCTACATCTAGCTAGGCATGCTTCTTTTTGTTCTATGTTCAGACAGTCTTCTAGTGAAGTAGGTTGAGATTATGCATCATGCCTAAGTGGGATGCTTAATCTCATTTAATAAGTGGGAAAACTGAGGTTGCGTTTCTTATGGCTGCTTATTACGCCTATGTGTGCCACCATAATCACCTGGGCCAACTTCGTCAATAGGGTGATCATTGTCCCTGAACTGATGGTGGTGGGAATGAGCATATCGTCATCACCCTTCCTTAGGAAGTGCCAGAAGGAAGACAGGCGATAAGATGCCACATAAAACTCAGTAACCTTACTGGAAAGAGTGCCTTCTCTGTGCTAGTCTAAATGCCACACTCTGTGTCTTTTTCAGGTGCTGAAAGTATCTGGAAGATTCCATTATTATCAGGATGACTCACAAAATTTAATAATTACTTGTTTTTGCTTTGTTTTGTGTGCCCATGTTTTACATGATGTGACCTTCTGCTGCCCTGTACTATCATAAATTGCATCTTTCTGAAGGCAGTTCTGAGTAAGTTTGTGTCCATGAGTATGTGCTAGCATTTCAGCTCATGGGCATTGCCTTAAAGAAGTAACTGGGGCTGTCAGCAATCTGTTGTGAGGTCTTCAACCAGCTCATTTATTAAATAGCTTTAGGACAAATATTCTTGGCTGAAAAATCTGGTATAAAAATGAAAAGGAGAGTCCTGCAAACAAAGAATACAGTTCACTGTGTTCAGTTATTTTTCCCTAAAAAAAATGCGTAAGAGATGTAGAGTTAAAAAATATTTTTGAGTTGTTATGACCAGTTGATGACAGACGTGGTTTTTACTTTTAAAATATGGTATCTGTGACTACAACTGATTGTGGGCAAAACCACAGAGATGCTTCTTTTGCTTGAATTCAGCTATTTTCCTTTTCTGTGTTCTTCTCCCAACTTCTGATTTGTTCTTACCCATGAATTAGGTGGCTCTTGAGTTGCTCTTGATCTTACCCCTATTCTTTGCTGTTGTCCCTAAGCAATGCTCTTTATCTGGGGCCAAACCCACTTCTTCTCCCCACTCAATACTTTCCAGCCAAGGGTCCTGACTTTCCGGTCCAGGTGCAAGTTCCTGACGCTGGATAATTCCAGGCATCATTTCCACAACATAGAGCTTTTGGGACAGAAAAGCCTTTACACAGCACTCATCTCAGATTCCCCATGGAGGGTCTGCCTATGCATTGAGTCTGGCCCCTTCAGACCCCTTTTTCTTGTCATCACAGAGGGAGCCCGAGCTCTTGGCCAGGCTTGTGAGCAGAGCAAAGACAGTTGCTATCGCTATAGAACCATTTAAAGCTTGTGTGTGTGTGTGTGTGTGTGTGTGTGTGTGTGTGTGTGTGTGTGTGTGTGGAAAGACCTTCTGCTAGGCCTTATTACATCCTACTGGTTCTCCTCTCACTTCTGTGGTGTGAATGTTAATTATCTAGGAGCAGACCACTCCATCATTACAGATCTCACCTTCCCACTCTAGTCTGTTTCCCAGTGAAAACATAGCTTCTGCAGCCCTCAGCCCCTAGAGTTGACCCCTCCATCTTTACAGGCACTTCCTGCTTTTGGTGGCAACTTTCATCTCAAGGAATTAGAGGTGTTTTGTGCAGCCAGCACACAGTGGAGACAGGGCACATTCGCAGAGCTGAACAGACTGCCAAGAAAGACAGTGCCCTTCTGCTGTAAAATTCCAGTAGAAGTCCTGTGGCTGGGATCGTGACACACACGGGAGTCTAAGGCTCACAACGGGCTAGCATAGTCTACCTTGTAAGCCTTACAAATATTGAAATATGGCTTTGCAGGGGGTAGTTTATATAAGATGAGGTAAGTTAGCCATGGGACTTTCCCCATAGTCAAAAAGTTTGAGAGCATTGAAGAAAAGTATAGCCTTGGTTGGAAGCCAAGGAATGGCCATCATCTTTGAAGAGTATCTTCTTTTGCACCTGAAAATGGGCAGCTCAGCCTATGACACAGAAGGATGCAGAGAAGGCCCACTGATGGCCTTGGCCTCAGAGACTCATCACTGTCCTTTCAGACTCCAGATCCTGACTCTCTTGACATCATTAGAGTAGCATCCTCCATGCCCCAGGTGCTGACACAGCCTCCAAGCCACACACACACACACACACACACACACACACACACACACCAGTTTGTTAATTTACCCAGAAAAATACAACTAATAAGAGTACTGGTTATTCACTCTGGCCAAATCAGCACACTGGCTCAGAATGCAGGCAGTGAGTTAAGCTTCAGAAGTGTCTCTCCATTGAGATGCTTTAGGCTCTCTCAGCAAGTCAAGGACAAGAAGACTCTGTCCAGAGCTGTTATAGTGCCTTAGTGGGTCTACCAACATTTGCCTCTGCAACACCCCACCTTTTTCTTTATTTTATTTTATTTATTTTTTTTTTTTTGAGACGGAGTGTCACCCTGTCACCCAGGCTGGAGTGCAGTGGCGCGATCTCGGCTCACTGCAAGTTCCGCCTCCCGGGTTCACACCATTCTCCTGCCTCAGCCTCCCCAGCAGCTGGGACTACAGGTGCGAGCCACCACGCCCGGCTAACCTTTTTTTTTTTGTATTTTTAGTAGAGACGGGGTTTCACCGTGTTAGCCAGGATGGTCTCGATCTCCTGACCTCTTGATCCGCCTGCCTTGGCCTCCCAAAGTGCTGGGATTACAGGCGTGAGCCACCGCACCAGGCCCCTTTTTTCTTTATTCTTATAACTGATCATTTCTTTGTACCCACCCCACACCCCAGACATTTTGTTCTAAAGCATTCTTCAAGCAGAATGCGTACAATTGGTTGGGTTCTAAGTACTGCCCTTGCTGGTTCCCTGAGATTTCTCTTAAGTTCACCTTGATTGGTTTCTTAGGCATCCTTAAGTTCTTGGCTCACACATTTATAAATGATTTTTTTACTTTACTTCCAAAGATGACTAATTACATCAATTGTGTGTGGATTTTAGTGGTTTAACTCTTATTTAAACTGTATTTACAAGTCTTAGAACTTATCTTACTGTGGCCTTTATGCCCTTCAATGTCTTCTTAACTAATCTGTTGATAGAAGCAAACCTTCCAATGTCCCAGCCCCTGAATGGCAGAGACAGACGCTGAACTATGCATTCCAGCTATTATCCTTCCTCCGAACTGAACATTAGCCTTCACTCCTTCTATGAAGCCAGCTTTAAACATTCTTCCCACACTGCACATGGGGAGCTGTGGGGATAGTTAGCTGAACTTTCCCAACACCAACTTGTTGAAAGCAGAGGAATCAAATAAATGATGAAAGCAGCAGCAAATGAGCTTTTGTGCAAACTGAAAAGTGAGCAACCCACGCCCTCAGTTAGGGCTGGCAGCAGAAGTTTAATGGCCCCCCTTTCAGGGTCACTTAGTTAGTTGTAGTTTACAGGATGGTCCCAACTCCTGAGGTATCACTTGCTCCTCAAACATCTACTCGTAGCCCCCACCATGCTAGGCATGAAGTGTAGGGTAGGATGACTAAGAGATGAATAAGACATCATGCTTGCACTCCAGGAAGTCACAGTCTATGACGGTAGGACACTGGCTTGCTGGCAAGTGATTCCTGAAAGAAATGATGGAATAATGACTGACAAGAAGAAGGGAATTACCTGAAGAGGCGTTCAACCTTGCAGGACTTCATGCAAGCACAAGGCTGTTTCTTTGCTCTAAGAGCACTCATTCCTCCTTTTCCTTCTCCCTGTCTCTTTTCTCCTGGCCTGTGGGGTCTGGCGGCTTGTCTATGTGACGGCTGCAGCTGCTGCTCTGCAGAATGAGTCACCTCCACCGATCCCCCTACATGAGCAGCTCCGCACTCCATGAAGGGATCATGGATCTTCAGATTAAGCATAAATTTGAGCTAAAGTATTTATTTATTTATTTTTAAATCAGAGCGAAAACTCTTATTTGAATATGAATGTGCTTCCCCACTTCACTTTGAAGCGTAAGGATTGTGTTAATTTCTGATGGAGAAAAGGGCACAGGGAGGCCCCCTTTAAAAAACGGCATGTGCCCAGTATCCTGAGACCCCAGGGCCAGCAACCTTGAACCAATAAGTGACAAAAGGCAAAGGAATTAAGCTAGCCACATTTAAAAAGCTAACTAGGAAAGTTGGATTCATTTTGGCTAAATTAAATCCCAAAACCATGTAAAATGTTCCAAGAACGTGTATTCCTAAAGATTTTATTGTTTATAAAATGTTAGTCCAACGTTGATATTATGAAATCAGCAATATTTAATAAATGTCCGTCACCTTATTCAGCACTGGAAATACTGAGCAAGACACAGTCACAGCCCTTGTGGTTCCTTGATGTTTCATCACAGTAAAAGACACAGCTTCCAAAAGGTTCTGCCAGAAGTGAAAGTTAGTCTCTGTTTCTGTCTCTGTCTCTCCCAACCTCTACCTTCCCTTTTGTCTTTCTCTCCTCCCCTACACCGATGATAGTCATGGACACAGTACATTGGCAACTAGCACACTGATGTCCAGGCGCTGCTTGTATGGTCCACAATGTGCTACATGATTGTATCAGTCAAGACAGACTAGGTTATGTTGCAGTAACAAACAACTCTAAAATCTGAGTGGCTTAAATAATAAAGGTTTCTTTCTTTTTTTTTTTTAGATGGAGTTTCACTCTTTGTTGCCCAGGGTGGAGTGCAATGGCATGATCTCTGCTCACGGCAACCTCCACCTCCTGGATTCAAGTGATTCTCCTGCCTCAGCCTCCCGAGTAGCTGGGATTACAGGCATGCGCCACCACGCCCGGCTATTTTTGTATTTTTAATGGAGACGGGGTTTCTCCATGTTGGTCAGGCTGGTCTCGAACTCCCGACCTCAGGTGATCCGCCCACCTCAACCTCCCAAAGTGTTGGGATTACAGGTGGGATTACACCACGCCCAGCCGGTTTCTTTTTTACTGAAGCTACGTATTCATTACATTTAAGCAGGAAACTTTGCTTATTGTAGTCACCTGGAGTCCCAGGCTGATGGAGCAGCCACCATCTTGAATGCTGCTGGCTATTGTACCAAAGACAAAAGAAAGCTCTAAAAAGTCACAAATAGGCTCCAGGCTCCAGCCTGGAAGTGTCTGTTGCATGTCACTTCCACACAAAATTCAAACGTCATAACTAGTTATAAGATTCCACTCAACCATAGGAATTCAAGAATTTCAGTCTTCCCTATGCCCAGAAGTAAGGAAAATGAACAATTTTGCAAAGAGCACTAGCAACCACTACAATAGTGTATAGCAGATTTGACATGCTGACCTAAGCCTAAAGTGCTGTGCCACTGGGTGATCTCAGCCTTATCATAGTGAATCTTGCCTCTCCAGCCTCAACGGAAAGTAGAAAAAGCACAGTACTGGATAGCTTTCCAGCATAATCTGATCCCAGGGTGATCCTTCATGCTACTCTAAAGCCACATAGATAAACACAAAACATGATGAGGAGGGTGGGAAGCTAGTGTAATAAGATGATTAAATGCAGAGACTTAAAAACCAGACAGATTTGGGCTTGCATTCTGGTTCCACCATTCACTATTCATGTGAACTTTGCCAAGTTTCTTAACTTTTCTATGTCTCGGTTTTTCTCATTTACAAAATGAGACTAATAAAGCTTACTTCATAAATTTATTGTTGGGATGCACTAAGGTAAAGCATGCAAAGCCCTTAGCCCAGTACCTGGTAACTTACAAGTACTCAGTAAGTCGTAACTGTCATTAGTAGTGTTAGGATTGGAATAATAAGCCAATATTAGCACAATGTCTAAAAGATCATGTGTAACAAACTAAAGAATTTTTTTAATTGTTGCCTTTCCTTGAAATGCTCTAAGTGTTAAGAAAAGGAGTATGGGCTGAGTGCAGTGGCTCACTCTTGTAATCCCAGCACTTTGGGAGGCCAAGTGGGAGGACTGCTTGAGCCCAGGAGTTTGAGCCCAACCTGGACAACTTAGTGAGACCTCATTGCTAGAAAAAATTTTTAAAAAGCCAGATTTGGTGGCATGTGTCTGTAGTCCCCGCTACCTGGGTGGCTGACGTGAGAGGATTGCTTGAATCCAGGAGGCTGAGGTTGCAGTAAGCCATGATCAAGTCATGGCACTTTAGTCTGGGCAACAGAGCCAGACTTTATTTCAAAAAAAAAAAAGAAAAGAAAAGGAGTATGAGAAAGAGATGACCCCAAGTATTATTCACCTGAGACATTGGTATGCTACATCTGGAATATTAATACCTTTCCCAGCATACATCCTTTGGGGACGCTATGTATGAAATTCCTCAAATAGGCATAGTGGTGAGGAAAATAGGCTCTAGTGTCAGACTAAGTTAAAATTCAAACTATCAATATACAGCTCTGTGACCACAGGCAGCCTCCTTTACCTCTTCCTTATCTGTAAAATGGGGATAATAATTACATGGCATGGGGTTGCCATGTTGATTAAATATATTAATGTACATAAAATGCTTAGCCTAGTGCTTGACACGTAATAATGACTCAATGGATGTTAGAATTATTAAACATGAGGAAATCAAGACTCCAAAAACTAAAGTCACTCACCTAAGATCACACAGTTAGTAATTAGAAAAATTTAGACTCTGGTTTTTCCAAATCCAAAGCACATGTGCCTGCATTTTACCACATCATTCCATTATTTACACTTACATAATTGCCCTTAGGACTTCATTAATCTTCTGAAATTTGGGTCAAGCCATTCTCAGGCATAGTTGAAGAAAACAAGAAACCATACAGTGGACTATCACAGTGGCAGGAAATAAATGGAGTCCCTCCATTTTCAAGACTGGCCCAAACAGGCTCCTGAAGTTGCTTACCCTATAAGAAATTAGAGATATTACTTCACAGTTTTTGATTACCCACTATTGAGTGTCTGTGCTTCATCAGGCTCAGTACTAGATGAGTTGTTTGTGTTTTTCCATTTAATTTTCACACAGTTCTTTGATGGAAGTAAGTACTTATTATCCCCATTTTACGGAGGAGGGAAGCTAAGATTCAAAGGGTTAAGTAACTTACTCAAGGTCACATAGGTAGAAAATGGCAAAACCTCTGAAAGATAAATTAGGTTGAAAACAACCTTTCTGTACAATATAATCTTTTTTTTTTAATTTTGATCAGCATCTTCCAGATCTTCAGAGTAATAAATGCTGATTAGAGAAAACGTTGAAAGAAAAGTATAAAGAAGCAGGAAATATTATCTATGATTCCACTGCCCAGTGTCACTCACTGTTAACTTTGGTACAGTTCCTTTGAGTCCTCTCTCCATCTTTCTTTTTCATTGTATAGGTAAGATCACACTATATAATTCTGTAATGCAATTGTATGCAACTCTATAAAGTAGGTATTATATAATCAAATAGAACACTTACGCAACCAGTATTTTCATATACTCTACTTTTTAAGAGAAAGAAGTAAAGGACAACAAAAAGGTGATAGACCTAATTTATTTCAAAAACCCAAACAAAACACTGCCAGGCTGTGGCCTGTGGTTGCTATAAATTCCTTTCTGTTTTCCACCCCTTTTCCATCTACAGCATTAGGATTGATTTCCATTTTCTTGACCACAATGATGATTCACAAGCATCACAGATTAAAGGATGTTTAACGACACTTCCCTCCTTTGGCTTGCACTTGGACAGGCCAGCACTTGAGCAGGCCAGACTATGGGACCACTCAGTGGACATCAGAAACAGGAGACGAACCACATCTCCCTCCTGTGGCCTGGATGGTGTTCCAATTTCCTCTTTTGGTCATTCTTGCTGGCTCTACAGTAGCCCTCTTGTCTCTAGGATCTAAATTTCAGGCCTTCCTTCTCTGCAGCCCTTAGACACTTCTCTGACTAACCATAGACTATGTGGAAAATGGTAGCTGGATTGCCTTTGGGTGGAGTCCTTGCCCTGTGGCATAGGAAACAAAGGAAAGGAGAGAGATGCCCTTTGAGATTAATGAAAATGCTCTCAGCCAAATAAGATCTAAAAATAGCCTCCCTGTGATATGAACGCGTGGCCCCTAAGGGTCCTAAAGAGAGAGCTAGGGGAGGTTCAGCTGGCCACAGAGATGCTAAAGGTCAGGAGCAGACTTTTAGGGTTTGCTGTTTTATAGGTTTAAAGACCAGGTCTGTGTTTTGATAATTGAACTTGCTAATAGCTGGCCACTTGAGTTGCTTCTTCCAGCTCTTTGTTTGTTTTAAATAAAGAGATTCAGCCAGTAATAATGGGAAGAGCTGCAAATGACTTCCCCAGTTGGGAGTGCCTGCTTGTTTTTCCTTCTGCCTGGGCATGCTGATGTGCAGGCCACACTCACAGACTCACACGTCTGAGGAGATAGCCCAAGGGAGCCCTCGGTTTGTATATTTATATAGGATGTGTGTATAAGAATGTGTTCAAGTATCAAAATACATAGGTAACCATGGGTGAAAAGAGGAATTCTGTTGCAAGAATTTAAATATACTGTTTCTCGTACATTTATGTCTTCATTCATTCCTTTAACAGACACTTATTGAGCACCTGCTGTGAGAAGCACTGTGCTATTTGCTGGGAGACATGCTGAGATTTCTAAAAAAGTGGGCCTTTATTTCTCCCCCTTCAGAAGCTTTCCATCCAGTGGGGGCACTATCTGATCATTCATTAAAGCACACATGAGTCACCCACAATGAAAGATATTGTGGGATAAATGCTTTGGGAATGGTACCGAAGACAGGTGCTATAAGAACCCAGAGGAGTATGTGTTCACTTCGGGCTTAAAAGACATCAAAGAAGATCAGTGGAGGAGGGAGTGGTGTGCTAGAAATCATACAGCAAATATCCAGTGGCAAGAAAAGGCACAGCATATTGGGAGTTTCAAGAAGACTGGTTTACCTGGAGAGGATTCTCATGGTAAGGTGAATTGAAATAAAATTGGAAGCTAAGAGTCAGATTGTATAGGGCCTTGAATGCCAAGTTCAGTTGACTTACACACATATAGATGAGGAAGTGGGAGGGAGGTAGCTCCCAAGGTCTCAGAAATCCAGGTGATAGGACTGAAATTATAACATAAAATGGCTCTTTACTTTCAGAATTGTTTCTAGGCCAGTAAGTCATCAATACACCCTAAGAAAATAAATTCATATGGAATTTGCCAAAGTTGTAGAAAGGATACAATCTCTAAATAAAGGGTAGCCCTTTAAGTTGAATCCATTAAGAAAAGTTAAATTATGCTTATTTTTTTCACCATGACCTAGTAAAAATTCTGTCACAACCATTGATACAGCTAAATCCCCTTTATTCCAACTCCAAGCTCCTCAAGGAACCTTGTGAATATCAGATGGAGCTATAGGAGAAGACATAAGAGGCCCCCTTAGTGCATTAGCTGCTACCCTGGTCTTGCACTTTGGTCTCTTGAGAGCCTTGCTAGCATGAATAAGCGTCCTCAAATGGGATCAGCTCTTGGGACACTGGCTAAGTTACATTTCTTTTTTCTTTTTTTTTTTTTTAAGAGACAGGGAGTCACTATGTTGCCCAGGCTGGTCTCAAACTCCTGGGCTCTAGCAATATTCCCATCTCATCCTCCCAAAATTCTGGGATTACAGACATGAGCCACCATGCCTGGCTCAACCAAGTCACATTTTTGAATCTTCAAGTTAAAGACTAAAAACCCTGGACTTGCCTTTGTGAATCCACCAAATGGCTCTTTCCAGACTCTGATTGGGGCAGCTTACCAGCTTTCCCTCTGGGCCTCCTTAAAAAGCACCCAATCATTCAAAATACACACAGTTCTGGGTGATGGAAAAGTTTAATTAATAGACTTATGTGGCTTGCATATGTAAATCACCAAGAAGTAAATATAATTAAAAACTTTACAATAAAAAACTTTAAATATTCATACATTTTTTGATGATTCAAGAACTACATTACCAAAAGACATAACCAGAATATATCAGAACTCTCAAAACGCAACAGAAAACAAATAAACCAATGTAAAAAAATGGGTAATTAAACAGGCACTTAACATAAAAGGATAGCTAGATGATAGTAAGTACACAAAAAGTTTTCAACAATTATTCATTATTAGGGAAATGTCCGTTAAAACTACAATGTGTTACCATTATATATAAAATTAAAAATACTGACAATACCAAGTGCTGACAAGGATGCGGAGCAACTGGAAATCTCATGCATTGCACATGTGAATGCAAAGTAGTAAAGCGACTCTGGACAATGGCTTGGCAATTCCTTAAAACGTTAAACATACACAATGACCCAATAATCCCATCCCTCAGGTTTTTACTGTAGAGAAATGAAAGCTTATGCTCACACAAAAACCTGTACATGCATGTTTATAGCAGCTCTAGTCAGAATCACCAAAAACTTGAAACCAACCACCCAACTATTCTTAAATAAGTAAATGGGTAACAAAACCACATCAGAATCTTACAGTATTTTGGGGGAACATAATGACCAATTAGCATCATGAAGTGGTACCATAGAAGGAAAATGGTCATATTTTTTCCTTCTGCTTATTAAAATTCCAGATAAAGTGAGGGTTCCAGATAAAGTAGGCTCCTTATGTTTATAAGAAAATGTGTAAACATTAGCCACACTGTGAGTTATGAGTGTTTGTGTTGCAGCTAAATGCACAAGTATTGAGCATGGAATGCAGGTTTTGAAAGAGCAGAAGAATAAAGCATATGAGTGGGAGAAGGAAGAGAAAGGCTGCATGCAGAATAAATAAAAGCATCTCTGTTCATCAGTGTTGACTTCAACCTCAGAACCAAAATGAAGCAACTGTATGCATGAGTATATATATGTGTGTGGTCCATGTTCATTTGGAGGGTCAAAAGCCTTTGATTAAAATTTTTTAAATTAAGACTCAGAATCATTCAGTGTTTTTAAAAACTGATCTCCTTAAGGAGAAGAATCCTATGTTTTGATGGACATGAGAATAGACAAACTTAAAGAATTGGGAGAGCAGGAGGCCCTGCCAGAGGAAGGCCTGTCTAAATCCACATACCAGTGCAAGCTGTCTTCGGCTGTCCTACGTACTAAGGGACATAGCTCAGCACAGCCAGTCCCTGTGATGCATCAGCCACTGCATCCGTAAACCAGTGACCACTTCTGAAGCAGCAGAAGTTATTTTGCTGCAAATCTATCTCCAAGATCCAAAATGTGTTTAATCGGGGTGAGCCATTAACTGAATTAAATGAGACATATGTTTACCAGCAGGTGGCAACAGAGGTAATGGTGTCTCCCAAAACGTTAAACTTGCATTATTTTATACGCCAGAAATGGGAATCTTCAAAACTTGATTGGGTCCCAACTTAACTTCACTCTATCTTACATTTGCATTCTGAGATGAAATTATTCAAGCCAAGATATTGTAACCAGAAACATAAATTTTTCTTTTATTAAGCTGATATTGTGCTTCATTTTCTAAGGGTGGCTCCTCCAGGAGTTTGATATTTTTAATTGAAAAATTGGAAAAATAAAACATTATTTATAGCCTCATGAGTTAGACTTATTTGTGGTCAAGGGAGGCTTTTAAAAGGTGAAATAAACACTATTTTCAAATACAGCTGCCTGACATTTAATAGTGGAACGCATATTCTCTTGTGAACAAAGACGAAGCAATTCGACCACTTTTGAATGTCAAAGACATACTAGGTTCCTAACTGACTCTCTTAAACCTTTGTTAATTCTTTTCACATATGAGAAAACCCTTAGGTTTCAATGGAAAAAATAAACATTTTATTCTCACATGATTTCAAAGACTATTGTAACAGGATAGTTTGCTCTAAAGCTCGTGTCCCAGATGGAAGGCATTGTTGCAAGAACATTTTACCCGACTGTCCTGATCCTAGAACTTGTAGAATGCCTGTACTTCTTTCTGTTTCACCAAACTTCCCTGATTGTCTGGCTCCTCTCTTTCGGCATAGGTTCCTGGGCTCCCGTCTAACTCTTAGTCTCATTTCCCATGGTCCCTCTCTTTTCCTGTGGTTTATCACTCCTTTCATTTCCCACAATCTCTCTCTCATAACTGGACTTGGAATACATAATTTAGAAAAATATATACGTAGAAAATAAAAATGTTATTTAGAAAAATAAAACTATTTCTTGCTATATTTTATGATCTTAAATTTAAAGGCTTGTTCAGTTCCATATTTCTAAAAACTAGAAATAATTTACTTGCCAATTATTTAACTTAATTTTTAAATAAGTATGCACATTCATGTGATTCAAAATTTGAAATGTGCAAAAGGGTAGTAAAAAATGTCCCTTCTACTCTTTCTTCTAGCCAGTAGCAACCAATGCTTCAAGTTTCTGATGAATATTTCCAGAGAGATGCATATACCAGCAATTACATATATGTGCAGGGGTGTGTGTATATATATATACATATATATGTGTATATATGTATATATACACACATGCACATATATAAGTGCATATGTGCATATATATGTGTGTGTGTGTGTGTGTGTGTGTGTGTGGATATTCTTTATCTTTCCTGATTCTTACACAAAGGACAAATGATAGCATACGTTACACAAAAGCACCTTGCTTTTTTTTTTTACTTAGCTATTATACATAGCTTGGCAATTATTCCCTATCAATCCAGAGAGAGCTTTCTCTTCCCTTTTTCATAGCCACAGAGTATTGCACTGTACAGATAGTCCATAATTTATTTCAATCTGACCACTACACATACCACTTTGTTTGTTATTAGTTAAATAATTTCTGCTTTTAGTTTCTACTTTCTTTAGGTTTATTATTATCATTCAGTTCTTTTTATTAATTCTTTGAGTCAGATGTTACTTCTTTCATTATCAGTCTTTTTATTATTCTACATATGGAAGACTATGAATTTTCCTCTGAGCACTGCTTTAAATTGCACTCCTTAGGTTCTAGTATATAGTTATTTCTAAATTAGTTTTTGGCACAGAATTGGATTAATCATCATCCTTAATTTATGTTACACTCTCATCATTGGTAAATGCATAGCCATCTTTTGTTTAGTTCTTCCATTTTTTAACATAATTTTTAAAATATGGGCCCATCACCCAATGCGTCTTGACAATAAACTCCATCTACCTATATTGCCCCTCCCATTCCCTCCCTCTGCTTCTGTCCATACTACTCCTCCAACCACCAGAGATAAAGATCATGCTGAATTCTTTTTCATTTCCTTGCTTTCTTTTTCATATAGCTTCATAGCTTCTATCTTCTATCTTTCCTTAAAACATATTTTTATTTTAAATTTAAACATTTTCTTATTTTCTGAATATTAGGTTTGATTTTGATTTTCTTTATGATCCAAGAGTTGCTTTAAAAAGAGTTTTGGGGTTTTTTTCCCAGATATTAGAATATCTTGTTGTTTTATTATTTTGTTTTATTATTAAGATCGGGCTATATTACATCATGAACAGAAAATGCCTTCTGCACTATTTTTACATTTTGGAATTTCTTGGTGTTTTTCTTTGTGTTAAAATGTGATCACTTGGGATATGCCATAGGATGCTCTGTATCCACCTGTCTGTCTCTCCAATTTTGGGGCCAGTGATTGCCCTGTGGCCTCACTTCTCTGACAGATCTAAGAAGAGTTGCTGATTTTGTATTTTGTTTGGCTTTTTAAATTGTATATATTTAAGGTGTACAACATGATATTTTTATATAACTATACACGGTAAAATGCTTACTCCAGCCAAGCAAATTAACCCACCCATCATCTTCCATAGTTACTTCGTGTGTGTGTGTGTGTGTGTGTGTGTGTGTGTGTGTGTGTTAAGAGCACCTAAAATCTACTCTCTTGGCAAATTTTCAGTCTATGATAAGGTTGTATTTACTGTAGTCCTCATGCTGTATGTTAGATCTCTAGACTTACTAATCCTGCATAACTACAAATTTGTACCCTTTGACCTATTTCTCCCCATTTCCTACCCCTCCCATCCCCTGGTAACCATTGTTTTACTCTCTGTGCTTGGTTTCTTACTTATTATTAGAATGGAATGGTGACTTCTAAGTTCCTTATGTGTCAGACTGGAAACCAGGAGTCTTTACGTCAGTATTTAAAAATCAGTTTAGAGGTGATAAACAGTTCATCCTCTCCAAACATCTCTTAGACAAATCAGCATGGCTCTGAGGTGACAGTTAAGAACCAATTGACACAAGGAAGTTATGCAGGTTACCCAAGGCCATACAGCAGGCTAGAAACTGAGCGGGAATTCTATTTAGCACCTGAACTCCCAGCCTTGTGTGCAGACCACATTGTCTGTAAACAAACTAGCTCCAGCTAAACTAGATAAATATGCCTGAAAATAGTTACTTGTGGATGCCAAACTTGGCCTTTTATGCATAGTCAATAAGCAAAAGAATCCAAAAGTAAGTAGGGCCCTTTGCACACACATGATCATGAGAACCTAGCTCTGAGAGACCACGCCCCAAGGAGTGGAGGACCGGCCATCTTCGGTGGTGATCATAGTAATTATCCATTACATTTGGATGGCCTCCCTCAGATTTTGAAACACTTTCATGTGATTTATCTCAGAAGTTCTTGCCAGACATCCTAGGAGGCTGATATTTTTTGTTTTGGTTGGTGCTCCAAGGAGACCAGCAACTCAGCACTGGGAGCCTAACCTGCCCTAATGAGCATAAGGAAATGGGCGCAAACCCTGGTTTTTAGATAAACACAAGAAGTGATCTCTGGGGTCAGATTTAAGTGGGCGAGATAGACAGCATTACCTTGACAAGGGGCAAGGTAGAAACAGAGCACAGGTATGGGAACTGTGCACCTCTTGGTTACCAGTATATAGGAGGATCCAGTCTATGATAATCTAACCCCAAGGAGATACCACGACTTTATTATAATTTTTGCATCCTCTGTGTCTAGCTCAGAATGTGGCATGTAGAAAACATCCAGTAGATGCTTGAAGAATGAATGAATGAAGTATTTTCTGCACACCACCGCCAATGTATTACTCTCTGGGGTGAATAAATGTTTACTAACATCTATCAGGTTAAGGGTTAGATGCTTTCAAGTAGATTTCTTAACCTGGAAAACATCATGGTAAAGATAAAAGAGAGGGCCTGTGTTTTCTCTGTTTCTTACCATACCAAGTCTAGGTGCCTATTCCTGATTTTCAAAATTACCCATGGTTGGGCCCAATGCCTACCTCTATAGCCTTTCACCCCACCCACCACTCTCCTGGCGCTCTTACTGTTCATTCTGGCCTTTTCCACCCGTCCTGGTACACTTTTCTTTGTCTCCCTTTCTATCCCAGTCATTTTATTCCAACCTCTTCTATGGAGCCTTCCTTGACTATCTTGGCCCTCAGTGATCAACCATTCTTTTGAATTTTTTTAATCTGGAGAGTTGATATCCATATATTTTGCCCTCAGTTTTCTCCTATGCTATTGAGTTATTTTAGGTACATGTTATGTTTGACTAGTTGGATTATAAATTCTTTAAGAATACGGCTTGTGGCCAGGCGTGATGGCTCACGCCTGTAATCCCAGCACTTTGGGAGACTGAGGCAGGCAGATCACCTGAGGTCAGGAGTTCCAGACCCACCTGGCCAGCACGGTAAAACCCTGTCTCTACTAAAAGTACAAAAATTAGCCAGACATGGTGGTGGGCGCCTGTAATCCCAGCTACGCAGGAGGCTAAGGCAGGAGAATTGCTTGAACCTGGGATGTGGAGGTTGCAGTGAGCTGAGATCGTGCCACTGCACTCCAGCCTGGGTGACAGAGTGAGACTCCAGCAAAAAAAAAAAAAAGAATAGGGGTTGTATTTAGTAGAGAGCCTAGCATAGATCCAGGTACATCATGGGAGATCAATAAGTAGCTTTTCACTGATCAAATGTAAACACATTACTGGAGAAGCTACTTCATTGCTCGGAAACTTCCTGAAACATATGTAGTGTTAGGTATACAATATCCTTGCCCATGCTGAGGTGTTAAAAAAAAGTTCTTCTCAAAGCCAAATGAATCATACTCCTGGTTTCTTCCTGTCTCAGTCATCTTCCCCTTTCACTATTCAGCAGATTAACCTCCGCACAGGGCCTCTGGCCACACACTCTCAGTCTCCTCTGGCCTCCTGCACCATCAGTTCCCTCCAGTCCTCCAGACTCATCAGCTGCCATGATGCTGCCTCTGAGATTTTCCTGCTCACCTACTGCTGAACCACACACCCAACCCTCCTTTGCTACAGTGGTCAGCCAACAACATAGCCAAGAAATTATGGAAGTTTTGTAGAAATTAAACTAAGGCGATGAACAACAGTGGTTAAAAGTAGAAATAAAATTATGTCATTTTGGCAGTCTGCAGACTATCTACTAGAATCCTTCTTCCCCTTCTTCCTGGGCACAGAGCACAGCTATATTTTCTGGTCTTCCTTACAGTGAAGTAAAGCCATGTAACTAAATAACTAAATTCTTTCCAAAGATGTAAGTGGAAGTGTTGTATACCTTCAACAGGTCTGGGTCAATTATTCTGTGTTCTTCCACACTCTTTATGTGTGCTGGGTGACGTGGCCTTAAGGGTCTGTAGAGCCACAGGGTCTAAGAAGCCATGGTCCCTTAACTACCTTGTGAAAGAGAGCTGCGCTTCAGCCAGGAGCACCTCCCTTGAGCAATTATATGAGAAACAAACTTCTATTGTGTTCAAACCATTATACATTTGGCATGTATTTATGACAGCAATTCAGCCTACCCTAACTAGTACATCCATTAAGTGAATGAACAAAGGTACAACTGTTACTCCACCCTTACTTGACTCCAGAGAAGCATATAATTGAGAAGGAAAGAATATTTGCCTAATAACAAAAGGGAAGAAAGCCATAGGTGAATGTGAGTTATATTTGCATAAAATAAGATTGAGAAACTTTGTGCAATGAAGGTTCTTACAGCAAAGACCTGGGTTTTTCATTGTGAACTGTCTCATTGGAACTATTAATTATCCAATGGATAAAACAGAATTCCTTGGGGACATGTTCCTTGTTGATTTGTGGGCCTTAAACATATTAGGTACTCAATAAATACTTGTTAACTAAAATTAAATCAAGGGGGTAAGAATCCCAACTCCAGCCTATTTCTAGAAATGGAGCATAGCCAATTCTTTTTCTTTTTCTTTTTCTTTTTCTTTTTTTGACGGAGTTTCGCTCTGTCACCCAGGCTGGAGTGCAGTGGCATGATCTCGGCTCACTGCATTCTCTGCCTCTGGGTTTAAGCAATTCTCTGCCTAAGCGCCCTGAGTAGCTGGGATTACAGGTGCCCACCACCACACCCGTCTAATTTTTTTTTTTTTTTGTATTGTTAGTAGAGACGGGGTTTCACCATCTTGGCCAGGCTGATCTTGAACTCCTGACCTCGTGATCCACCCACCTCGGCCTCTCGAAGTGCTGTGATTACAGGCGTAAGCCACTGAGCCCAGCCGACCAATTCTTATTAACAAAGTGTAATGTCCAAAGAAGGGAATCAGAGGTTGTAAGATCTTAAAGCCATGTCAGATGAGAAACATTGAGGAAATGTAAATGTCTAACCTAGAGAGAGAGAGTGTGTGTGTGTGTGTGAGGGGATAGAGAGGGAGGGAGAGAGGTACTGAGAACCACACTGTTGTTTAATAATTTGAAGAGCTGTCATGGGGAAGAGATGTATTCCACATTCCTTAAAAGTAAAACTGTAACTAAACTTCTGTTTTATACAAAAAGAGATTCCCAACAAGTACAGACAATGGAACAGGCTGCCTTGGAAAGGACTAAACTTCTCCTTACAGGAAGTACTTCATCCAGGGCTGGCTGCTGCCAGTTGGGAACATTATAGAAGGTTATCCTGCACTGAGTATGAAATTAAGAGAGTGAAATTCCCTTTGGAAGGTTCCAAGTAGTCCCAAGAGGCTTGTACTAATAAGGCATTCGGGAGACACTCGGTTCCAGGATCACCTGTGATTTCCAATAGTCTCTGTGCCAATTCCCAGTTGTTCCCACAAGGATGACTCTTTAGCTGGTTGCAAGAGGGAGGCACAAAGAAGTCTGGGAGAAAGGAAGCCATGTGCCAAGTCACAAAATCTGTTATCTGGTATTTTATCCAAAGTCTAGCTTGTGGGGAGAGGAGAGCAGCTGATAGAGATAGACAAAGCCCTTAGCCCCCCAACATCTCCCTTACTAAATTACATCAGTTTAATGGAGCTTTTAGTCTAGAATACCTAATAGAAAGATAAAGCCAATTTGATTACCTACATCTTATTCGTTTTAAGAGATCAGTACCTGGTGGGAAGAGGAAAAGCTAACTTCACCATATAGTCTTTATGAAGATCAAGCCCAGTTAGACACCAAGGAAGGAATGCCCGAAGTTGGCAGTGTGAGGGCTGGAGGTATCTGGGGTGCTGGGGAACTGAAGGAGTGGGAGGAACAGTGGTGAAGAGTTTTGCCTACTCTGCAGTTTAGCCTGAGGCCTTGGTGCATCTCTGAGAACTTTCTCTGGGCTGAAGACATTGCTTGCCAACACCCAAACTGGGATGTCAGGACTTGTTTATAAACTGCAAACAGCTCACCACAGCTTAGCCCAGTCTTCCAGTCTAGGCCAGTCTGGTCTCCTCAGGTTCAAGCCCAGGTCTCCTTATCCCTCTCTCTGGGAGAAAGAAGCAGAGAAGGAAAAGAAGGATGCTCTCTGTGCTAAATATCTTCCCATGAAGAAAGAGTGTATCAGTTGTCTATTCTCATGTGAGTCCAGTCACCGCCTCCACCCAACCCCAACAATTTATTCCTTCTGTGTTCAATATGAGTCCAATATGACTCTACAATTTCTTTTTCAGGGACTTCTGGAATCCATCTGCAAGGAATGCCAGCTGGTGGCTCTTAAATACCCAGAAACCTAACAAAGAGTACTGGACAATGTGGAAACTTAAGAAGTGGGACAACATAGGCACTACCAGCTATCGGGGTGTAAGAGAGGGGAGTTATGGGTGAATTGCATTCAGTGAAGGCTTCACAGAGGAAGAGAAGGTGAACCTGAGTCTTAAGATTTAGTTATACAAAGAGAAAGCAAGGGAATTTCAGGTTGGAAGGACTATGCAGGGAAAAGGGAAAATAAAAGAGTCTGTTGAGAGCCAATGTATGAGAGTCTGACTGGATGAATTCACTGGAGAAATTGAATACTCTGTACAACAACCTCTCACCACCTCCAGCCTCCAAGTGCCATGCCAGCTCCATCCATGGTTGTTTATGAGTCTCTAGACAGGGATGACCATTCCATGGTTGAAGCCGGTAGATCAGAGAAGGCACACGTAATGTTTACCTGCAAAGAATATGGCAGAACCTCTCATGAAGTTTTAAGATCAAATGGAGAAAAGTTGCCTGCAGAAAAGCATGATTAAATAAATTTATAGCTGGTTTAATCACTTGACCAAATTTGTACTCATCTCTTGCCCCCAGCTCTACCATTGTTCATGTTTTCCCCATCTCTGTGATGGGTTATTCATCCAGTGGAAATAAATGGTAGTGGGTTCTTAAAAATAAGTCATCACGCACAGCTTAGATTGTTCCTGGAGATTCCCAGGATATGTATTGTCTCATGAGGTACTTAAAGGATTTTTTAGGTCCTTTCTCCAGGACCTAAATGTAGGACATTTAAAAGCCATGGTTCTAAATGTTTCACATAGTACTTGGGACGTTTATATTTTCCAGTTCTAGAGTAGTGACACATTCTATTCAGATTGACATAAGGGTATCCTAGGTCATTTAAATAATGAATGTTTCCATTTAAACCAACTCATGAGGTGAGAATAAGAAATTCAGGCTGGGCACAGTGGCTCACGCCTGTAATCCCAACACTTTAGGAGGCTGAGCAGGGAGGACTGCTTAAGCCCAGGAATTTGAGACCAGCCTGGGCAACCATAGTGAGACTTTGTCTCTACCAATAAATTTTTAAAAATTATTCAGGTATGGTACTGCCCAACTGTAATCCCAGTTACCCAGGAGGACAAGGCAGGAGGATTACTCAAGCCCAGGAGTTTGAGGCTGCAGTGAGCTATGACCATGCCACTGCCCTCCAGCCTGGGTGACAGAGCAAAACTCTGTCTCAAGAAATAATAATAATAATAATAATAATAATAATAATAATAAGTTCAAATGCCAATGCCACACATAATGTTTCTGCCATTGAAAAATATGACTTATGCTGTGTTTTACCCACCAACACACTCTGACTCACACAATTAAAGTGGTTGACCTACATCTGCAAGTCCATGTAAAATATATGCAAATGAGAAGACAACAGTGAAAAGAGAGAAAGGAGACAATTGATCATAGAACAGAAGGAAGGGTGGGAAATGTCTTTTATAATTCATCAAGACACAAATAGAGATATCTCGTTTTTTTTTAAGGCACCAGATCTACTGAGAAATAAATAAAAATTGAAAATATATATATAATCTAAAGGACAGCCTGGATATGTGGAACATCACGACTCAAAAAGCACCAAACCAGCAGAGTCCAGCAAACAAATTGTAAAATGCCAAAGCATCCTTTCTTTGGCATCACTTTGAAAGGTTGAGAATAGCTTTCCTCGCAGGTCTTGAAGAATAAGGACCCAGCAGCAGTCTGACCTGGAAGTTACAGTAGGGAGATGTAAGAACTCTTGAAATCCCTTCTCTCCCCAGCATCATGAGAGTTCTGACTGAGTTTATGAGATCCATTTTTACAAATCACAGGAGCGTATGAACTGTGGATGATTAAGGAGAGTCTTCATTTCTGAAAGACAGATGCTTCTGTGGGCAAGATGAGGCTGCCCCAGAGCTGCAACAGTTTGAGCAGAAATTTCTTCCAAAGGGGAAAACATTTCCACTTTTTGTTTCAACATTTCACTTTTTTTTCCGAAGTTCTTAAAACAGTAGTAATTATTGTTTTTCTAAGGGAATGTTGCTATTTTTGTCAGCATGGGCTTTGAACTGCTTTGACTTTTTCTCTAATCTTGCTGGCACAGTAAAGTTGTTGCTGCGTTAATGTAAAGGGCGAACATTTTGAATAAGATAGAAAAGCACAAAAGAAGACCTCCTTGAGATACTACCGAGACTAGAGGTTGTCTTTGTTAGTCAGATGTTGACAGTGCTCAGGAGCCACTCCAGCACTTAGGGGGGTGTCATATGGTAGCAAGACAGGTACTTGTTTCCAATCGAAAGATAGGAGTGACAGCATGTGATCAGATAAGAGGAAGGGACTCAGTTGAAAGGAGAGGGCTTCCATCACACTGGTTATTGTTGCCCCCTCTTGGAGCTTTGCCTGAGTTCAGGGGGCCTGTGGACCTTTCTTAATTTATTATGTACCAGTGGACTGGGTAATCAGGAGAAAGCTGTCCATTAATCCAACCATAAGTCCAAATATAGTCAACATTTTCACACATTGGCCAACCTCAATGGACAATGAAGTCTACAGGCAGCACTTAACATTTAAAAAGGGACGTTGAAAAGCACTTAACATTTAATCAGATCAAATGATTAAAATGGCTTGAAAATCCCCTAAATTGTCCTTAAAGAACATTATTATACCATTGTGTGAGACCAAAATATGCCACCCCAAAATATGAAGGATTGTTGAGCTGATGGTAATTAAGAAGAAACAGATGCAGAAAAGCTCTCTGCCCTTCCTCTATTTGCCTAAAAGCAGGACATAGATTTACAAAGACAATAGGTATCCTGCACCCTATCACCCCACTTCTACCAGAGAGAACAAAGGTTAACCACTAAAGACAGCTTGGAACTCTTATAAACCTGGAGATGGTTCCAGAGCAATCTACACAAACAAGCTTTACTAACCAGCCTTTAATTTGCCTTCCTCCAAGTTGCCTTCCCTAGAGACTTAAAGTCTTTTTCCTTTGTCTTGCCACTTCTTTAAAAATTTACTGTTCTTTGAGAACTATTCCCTGGGTATCTCCCATGTATATATAAAATAATGCATATTAATAAACTTCTGTTTGTTTTTCTCTTGTTAATCTGTCTTATGTTACAGGGGTCTAGATAGGGTTCCCATCTAAGAACTTCTGAAAGTTGAAGAAAAAATTACTTTTCTTTCCCTACACCATTTTTCAACAAAAGCAGCGTAACTTGTTGTGTGTTTTCCTTCAGTTGGGTAGGAGATAAAGTAGTGAACTTTTATGTAAAGGACAACTTTTTATTTAAAAAAATTCTTGTTTCCTTAAACATAAATTCACCGATATTATGAGATCTATCTGAGAACCAAGACCAAAGAAACCAAGGGAAGAGTAGATTCACATGTCTCAGCTCAGCTCACCTAACATTCTTGCTCATTGTGTTAAAAGATGGGCAAATCATCCCTACTCTTTAAATGGTGTTCTCTCACTCTCTCTTGCTCTCTCTTGCTTTATCTGGCCTAACATATCATTGAATTCATATCAATTAAACACAGAACTTTACTCCACAATTCATGAACATATCCTCTCCAACTCACCAAGAGCCTAAGAGAAAGCTAGAAATAAAAAGACACAGAGCTTAAGCCTCAGGACAAATTGGCCTCTGGAAAGTGCCTTTGCATTTGGCTGCTGTCTTTCTAAATGTGTGCCCCAGATTCCAGCCCTATATTATCACACTTTTCCCATTTATGATGCCTCCTCCACCTTTAAGTGTTCTTTACACAATTCTTGGATGAGACTTTTTGGTCCAAAGACCTTGAGAAAGAAGGAAATACAGATTTATGGGAAAGGGACCTGGAAAATCTCAAACAGACACATCTTTATTGCAACCGTCTGAGTCTGTGGGAGAGAGAACAGGGCCCAGAAGGATCAGCTCTGAATTTGCTCCAACTCTAGACTTCACTCCCTTCTTTCCAAGCTCCCCACTCAGGCCAATATTTTAATCTTTCAATCTCTCTCCCTCCCTCATCATCCCCTGTTTATTCACCTTTTCCATTCCCTCGTCTCATTTTCTCATTCTTTCTGATTGCCCCGCTCTCTCGCACTCATATCCCCTCGCGTATCATCTTTCTGTTGGAGCCTGCACTCATGGCCTCCTTCCACGAGCAGCAGGTTTGAATCAGCTCCAGTTGAAAATGAAGGCAGGAGGTGGGGGTGGAGTGAGGCCAGGAGGGGAATAGCCACTTTCTGATGGCCAATGTACAGTAAGCACAGCCCTCCACCCTGCCTCCAGGCTGGTCCCTGCTGTCGCTGTCTCTCTGCCCGGACCCCCCACCACACACAGGTATGTACAAGAGAAAACCTAATAATCCCCTGCAAGGAAGAGGCCCCCATCCCCAATAAGGCAGCTGGTTTCCATTAGATGTTCCAAGCCCTATAAATATTCTCTTTTCTCACTTATCTCTTATTATTTTTCCTTTCCCTTTCTCATGTTCCCGCCTCTGGATTCCCTCCTGGGAGGAGGCCTAAATTAAAACGGGAAGGCTTGCCAAGCTTTGCATTAACCATCCTGTTATGCCCCAGGCCCCTGGCTGAGCACAGCCCAGAAAAGAGCTTCTTGTTTGTCCAGTTTGCTGCTCCCCACACGGAAGGCTGACATGCTCCCAGGAAGGAGGAAGGGTTGAGCTGAGCCTGAGCTGGAGGGTGTGGCCAGAACCATCTCACCTGCGTGCTGTGGGTTGTGTTCCTGGCTAAGCCTGTTGGGTCCTCTGTCAAGCTTGTCTTGTCCATAGCAGTGGATACTGTACAGTGTCTTGGGCACAGCTTTGGAGGGCAACACTCTGGGGTTCAGATCCCAGGTCCTTTGTTCACAGAGAATCTGACTTCAGGCAAGTTACACAACCTTTCTCATTTGTACAATTGTGCTGATAACACCCACCTCAAAGGACGGTTAAGAGGATGAAAATGAGGTAACTAATGGGAAAACATTTAGCTCAAGGTCTGCAGGTAGCAGATGTTGGTGCTCTTCTCTTGCCCCTCCCTGTAGGATTTACTGTTGGAAAACCTGCCCTCCTCCTCCACCAGCCTCCCACACCTTGCAAACAGTTAACTGAGCAATTACAGAATTTAATTAACTAGCAACTACAGACTCCGAATACCCAAGGGCCTGACTTGGGGAGCATACAAATGTTTACTTTTTGTTCTCTCTCCTCCAGCCTATTTTAAGATAAAGAAAGAGGCAGAGAAAGAGTGAATATAAAATCCCTAAATTAGAACAATGTTTACAATTTTTAGTACTTCTTATAAACTAGGCAGCAAGAAGCTATGTCATTGTTGAGCCAGTGACCCCAGAGCAAAAGTTCCTCCAGGGGTGGGGGAGAGGGAGGAACTTAAGCACCTCATCCTAAACTGAGGTAATTAAGAATACAGCTACTGGGGTCAGACTCTCTCTGGACCTGGACTCAAGCTCCAACTCTTCCTAGCTGCTGGGCTCAAACAAGTTACTGACCTCACTGTGCTTCTTTTCCTCATCGTAAATGAGGCTAACAACAGTACTGTCAGAGGCATTTGAACCAGAGAAACTCCATCTTGAAGAGGAGCTGGGTAAAATGAGGCTGAGACCTACTGGGCTGCATTCCCAGACAGTTAAGGCATTCCGTGTCACAGGATGAGATAGGAGGTCTGCACAAGATACAGGTCATAAAGATCTTGCTGATAAAACAGCTTGCAGTAAAGAAGCCTGCCAAAACCCACCAAAACCAAGATGGCGATGAGAGTGACCTCTGGTCGTCCTCACTGCTACGCTCCCACCAGAGCCATGACAGTTTACAAATGCCAAGGTGTAGTCAGGAAATTATGGGGAGGCATGAATAATCCACCCCTTGTTTAGCATATAATCAAGAAATAGCTATAAAAATGGGCAACCAGCAGCCTTCAGGTCTCCTCTGTCTATGGAGTAGCCATTCTTTTATTCCTTTACTTTCCTAATAAACTTGCTTTCACTTTACTGTATGTACTCGCCCCGAATTGTTTCTTCAGCGAGATCCAAGTACCCTCTTTTGGGGTCTGGATCAGGACCCCTTTCTGGTAACAGTACTACTGACTTTATAGGGTTGCCACAAAGACTGAATGAGCTAATATAGTTCACCAACTTTGAATAGTGCCTGGCAGAGTAAGTATGCAGCACATGTTAGTCATCCTTCCCATTCGGTCAATCAGTCCTAGTTTCGTATAGCCTTGCTCCTCCATCATGGCCATTCCCAAACTGGCCCATGTGCATGGACAATCATACAGCTGGGATTTGCTCCTCCCACCTCTGCATGCTCCTCGGACGAATTCTAGCCACTTTGGTGGCTCTGCGTAAATTCCAATCCTCACCGTGGAACAAACTCTGGAACCTCCTTAACTAACTGGCCTTCCCATGAGGGATGAACCTTTGGGACGCCATGCACTGTGCGTAGGAGGGATGTCTTTCCTGTGCCCTGGACACCCACAACCCATCATCCTCATGGCCTTCCTGAAACCAGAGCCTTCGTCTGGGAGTGCAGCCCATGACAAGCAACAGACATGACCAGCACAAACAGAGCCAAAAATCTTCAGACTGTTTCAGGGAAACTGCAGTGCTTGTCTGCCCTCTCTGCCTGTCTGTTGGGCTGAGAGTGAATGGAGGGTACTGTCCTCCCAACACAGAGGCAGGTATAGCACAGAATCCCAGGACCTTAAGTCCACAGAATTGAATCCCCTGTCCTCTGCACATGAGCCAATCTAGGCTAATGGCACTTCATAAAATGACTATTTTCTGTATTTCTTGTTAATTTCTTTGCCATATAAGTCAGCCTTGTCATACACTGTGGAGTCCAGCTAGACCTGGTTCTGTCACTTCCTCAGTGATGGACATTGGTCAAGTTTTTTAACCTCTCTGAACCTCCATTCATTAACCTATAAAATGGGGCTAACAAGCTTACAGCTTTAAAGATATATCTCATCTTCCTCAATAGACTTTAGCCATGGATGTTCACCTTTATGACTACTTATTCTGCCATTTTACTACAATTTGATTCCACTTCCTTTCATTCTATCCTTAGTGCAGTCAGAAAACAGCTGGTCACCATCATTCCTATATGTAACTACCTTCCAGAGACCTGGAAACAGTTAATAAATCATTCTTCAGCCTCTGAACTTTAGGCTAAATAATGTCAATTTCTTTAATCTTCATCCCAAGATCCTATCTGAAAATCTTGAGTAATTTTATCTTTGTCTTCTGGTCTCTCTAAAAATTAACACATCAGATTTCAGTGCCTCAACGTGAATATATTATTGTAACAAGGGCCTGGTAAAAATTTGGACTGTTTAATTCATCTAATTCATCCTCAGCTTGGGGTGCCCACTAGTATCCTCCCTATCTTTTATTTTTGCATATAAATGTTGGATCACTCAAACATGAAACAGAGAAGAAAGGCCAGTGTTTATTCCTTTAAGAAGGCAGTCGTGCAACTTGTTAAACTTTATCCCATTTGCTGGGGTAAGGGAGAAAAAAAAAGAGAGACAGGGAGCTACCAAAAGGGACTCTGAAGGAAATCATCAGAGTAAGGAGAAAAGCTCTTAAGAGATGTTTTTTGCCCTCTGAACTTTTCTTGCTCAATTCTGTTCTCCCATGGTGACAGTGCAGCTAATATAAGTCTGTGCTCCACTGGGCCCCTGCTGAGCCAGGCTGGGGTAGGACAGGAAATTACCACTCAGAAAATAAATGACCTGTCCCAGAGTCTTCTGTTAATGAGTCCAGGGCATAATAAATCAAGGTGACCCAGTCTCAAGAAACACAAGCCTGTTTAAAAACAAAAAAAAAAAAAAACCAAACCCCGAAGCCCCAGAGGTGAAGAGGAGGAGAAGGGAGAGAGGGGACCGCAGGGAGTCCTTATAAATCACACCCAAACGAAACTAGTGCAGATGTTTTCCAGTTTCAGGCCCACTCAAGAGGCAGAGAATAGACGCATGTGGAAGTGAATGGAAAGAGCTATCTGTTTTGAGGGAAGACAGGAGGCGGCCAGCTCAGTGGATGGGGCCCCTCCTCTCACTCAGTGTCTCAGGCATTTAGTGGCACCGTCTGCAAGCTCTTTTTTAATGTTCTTCAGGCTGTCACGGTCCACTCTGCTTTTTCACCTCTCTGGGGTCTCCCTGTAATCAGCATGGCAGGAGTGTCTGAAGAAGGGTGAATGCCTAAATCCTCTTGGTGGAGAGAACCAAGAGCCTCTTGTCAAACATGGGTCCCAGCTTTCTACAGTAGCAGGCCCCTGTAAAAAGAGAGGTGTGGGCAGGTAAATCATGGGAGGGTCTTCACTTATCAAGTATATTGGAAGCTCTCTGAGGGTGATATCTAACAAGACAATAGAAAACAAAAATGTCAGGCTGGAAATAAATATTCCATTACATGGTAGAGAAATAAGGGGCTGTAGATCTAGGGTGAGGTATAATATGAGACTCAGTTACTTGCAGAGGGCTTCACGGGGAACCAAAATATCCTAGTGAAATGGGTGTCACTGGCCGTGTTTTACAAATGAAGAAACTGAGGCAAAAAGACGGAATAACAATATAGGCATTTCTAATGCACTTTACAGTTTGTAAAGGGTTTTCACAAACATTATTTCATTTGGACACTGCCCGGATAGTAGGCTGTTCTTCTTTTGTTATAGATGAGGAAATCTGGGATAAGAAAGACTTTTAAAACTTACAGAGCGAGACTCCGTCTCAAAAACAAACAAACAAACAAACAAAAAACTTCTCCAGGTTACACAGCCAACATGTGCAGGAACTCGGGCCCACACCCAACTCTTAATTCTAAAACTGTTGTTTTTTTCTGTTCGACCACAGCTATTTAATATTTGCCAGGGTTCTATGATGGGCTATAGGCTGATAGAAAAGGATGCTGAAAAGGAGGATAAACTTTAGCAAAGGTCTATTATTGCCTAGTTTTTTGTTGTTGTGGTGGTGATTTGTTTGTTTGTTTGTTTGTTTTTTAGTCCTCTTTACCATGCTTTAATGTTTAATGTTTAGTAGCAGCTGGTAGGTAGATGAGTGGACAAGAGGAAACTGCAGCCAAAGATGTTTTTACCATTGTTCTATGATGTAAAAACCCATCATTCAGTTATTTCCTTCCTTCCTTATAAGCACGGCCTTCTCTGCTCATTCTCTTTTATTAGCCATCATTTTTAAAGAAGTAGCAACACAACACAGCTTTTTAAAAAATTATTTCCTATGCTGAATTCAACTCCATCATATACCACCACAAGTTAATATAACATATTATATTTTTCAAAATTCTTTCATGTCTGTTACCTTCTCTGAACCTCTTAATCAGGATTGTAATTTACCTTGAAGAAACTTAGACCAGGGTGACTTGCCCATGATCTCTCCACAAGTTAGAAAGTAGATCCGTCCTCCTTTCCTGGACTGCCTCCAAAACAACACAAGGAGGGAGACACGGTTTTCCATGTTGGTTTTCTTCATATTACCCTAGTTCTGCAGTAAGACAGATATCACCTTCTCCCACCAGGACTCTCCATGAACTATTTATGTCAGCTCTTCTTCCTTTTGAAATAAAATAATGAGCATTAGTCTCGAATCCAAATAGGAGGCCAAGCATTTGCCCATCCACACAATGTCCTCAACCACAATAGGAAGAGGCCACAGCAGGCTGCCTAAAATAAACCAGAATAAACCCATAGCTTTTAATTGCCCAGAACCTAGATCTGTAGAACAGCAGACACACCCATGAAAATTACTAATGTTCCAAGTATTTTAAGTCAAATAGTAGCCTTCTACCAAGCCAGACCATGGCTTTAGGTTTCCCTTCCTTGTTTTTTGTTTGTTTTTTGGTTTTCGGTTTTGGTTTTTACTTTGTTTTCCGTTTTGGTTCTGCTCTGTGAGTCCAAATCTTTCATATTCAGATGTTGACTCTCAGCTGGGTGCCCAGAAGCAAGACTCCCAGTATGTGAGCTTTCCAATGAATTCTGCCATGTCAGTCTTCTATTATGAAAGTCAGTCATTCATTCCACAAATGTTCTCAAATTCCTACTATGTACCAGTGACTGTGTTAAGTACTGAAGAAGATTGAAACTTATGTTTTATACTAGCCTTGCCATTAACTAGCAGAGAGACCTTAGGCAAGACCTTCCCTCTTTATGGACATTCCTGCCTCTGTAAAATGAAAGTATGGCTTGTTTGGTCTCCGGGTCCTTTCTGACCCTGCTGCTCTACAGTTCATGGGAATCTGTGTTGATGAAGTAGGCTTGGATACAGCACCTAAAAAGAAGAATGTCCTTTTGATATACTAGTGCAAATAACTGGCAAAGGAGGAGGTAGAAATGGAGATTATATTTTCCAAGGAAATCAGATTGCAGATTGTAAGTGTGGCTACTGAGTTTTTAAATTCCATTTTATAGGTCACCAAAAAATTCTCAAATACAAGTATGCATGTCAGCTCATGCATAATATTTTTCACTCTTTTGTTTTAACTAACATTGTTTTGTATATACATTCTGTGTATCAAAAAGTGCAGTCTCCTCTTTTTTTTTCTTCTATTTTTTTGAGACAGAGTCTCGCTCTATCACCCAGGCTGGAGTGCTGTGGTACAATCACTGCTCACTGCAGCATCAACTTTCTGGGCTCAAAGGATCCTCCCATCTCACCCTCCTGTTTAGCTGAGACTACAGGTATGTGCCACCACATTCGAGTAATTTTTTTTTTTTTTTGGAGACACAGAGTCTCACTATGTTGCCCAGGCCAGTCTTGAACTCCTGGGCTCAAGCCATCCTCCCACCTCGGCCTCCCAAAGTGCTGAGATTATAGGCAAGAGCCACAGCACCCAGCCTTTTATTTATTTATTTATTTATTTATTTTTGATAATAATAAAATAATTTTTTCACTAACTTATATAAGTTTGTTTATATTTTCATTTCTTTCATTATTATTGGGCTGATCTGTTTTCTATGTGTTGAGTAATTTTCTGTATTCCCCTGTTTGAAGAGTTTATTCATGTCTTTTGACCTCGTGTTTAGTAATGTTTGAAAAACATGTTAAGGTTTATGTAGACCAAATTCTTAAGCACTGCTGATATTAGGGATCTCCAAATATGAATACATTCATCATGAGGGTGGTGGGGAGTTTTGTCTTTGTTCATTGAAGTATTCGAAGCACTTAAAATAATGGCAGGTACACAGTAAAGGAGGTGCTCAATACATGATTATTAATATGTTACTACATTATCATTAATATTTATGAGATACTTACAACATGTTGGGACAAATATGAGCACTTCAAATTTGCATTGGATAATGAGAAGAAAATAAGGTCAAAACAGCAAGGAAAAAGAAGTTGTTTCTCACTTTAGAATTTTAAAAAATCTACACAAGGTGAAGAAGGCAAGGTAAGAAGCTGCTAAGGAGTCCTTTGAAGTAATGGCTGGACACTGCCAAAACAAGACACAGGTATTGGACTGTGCTGTGCATATGAATATGTCAGACTAACTGCAATATCCCAAGACGAATTTAATTCAAGAAACAAACATTTTCGGCCAGGTGCGGTGGCTCACGCCTGTAATCCCAGCACTTTGGGAGGCCGAGACGGGAGGATCCCGAGGTCAGGAGATGGAGACCATCCTGGCTAACATGGTGAAAATGCGTCTCTACTAAAAATACAAAAAAAAATTAGCCGGGCGTGGTGGCGGAAGCCTGCAGTCCAGCTACTCGAGGTTGAGGCAGAAGAATGGCAGGAACCTGGGAGGCGGAGCTTACTACTATATGCAGGGACTGAGCTAGCCACAATATACATATTAGTGTATACAACACAGTCCCCACCCTGGGCAACATGGCGAAACCCCAACTCCACAAAAAAATACAAAAATAAGCCAGGAATGGTGGGTGTCGCATGCCTGTAGTCCCAGCTACCTGTGGTCTGAGGCTGAGGGATCGCTTGAGCCCGGGAAGTCATGGAAGCAGTTAGCTAAGATCGCACCACTGCATTACTGCATTCCAGCCTGGGTAACAAAGTGAGACGCTGTTTCAAAACAAAAAGCAAATGCACAAACAAAAAACAGTCCCCATGTATCCATACGATGGAAAAGCATTCATCAAGGAAAAAGACTGAACTACTGATACATACGACAACATCGATAAACCTCAAAAACCGCATGCTAAGTGAAAAGTGAGATAGCAAAAAAATACATAGTGTATGATTCCACTTACATGAAATGTCCAGACAAATCTTTAGAAAAGAATCTACAAACTTACATGAAATGTTCAGACAAATTTATAGTAGATCAGTGGTTGCCCAGGGCTGGGAGTGGGAATGGGGTGACTGCAAATGAGTGTGAGGGATCTCTTCCAGCTGATGAATTATTTTAACACTAGATTGTGGTAATGGTTGCACAACTCTGTAAATTTACTGCAACACCATTGAATTGTACACTTAAAATGAGTGGATTCTATGGTGTGTAAATTATACCTCAATAAAACTGTTTAATTAAAAAAAAAAAGAGAGAGTGACAAACATGATCTGTGCACTCTCAAAGCAAAGCAAAGTCCCCAGAGCAGACAGACAAATAGAATACTATCTGTTAAGGGCTGCCACTGGGATGAGCCCAGGAGCCAACAGGAGCACTGGGACACCTAACCCAATCTAGGGGCTTAGGGGAAGTTTCCCAAACAAGATGGTATTCCAGGCAGAATAAATGGGAAGTGAGAGAGCAGGAAAGGCACCACAGTAAGTCAGTGACAATAGTATTCACGTCCTGGGAGGTGATGCTGAAGCCAATGGCCACCTTGATTTGAGTTTACCAGGTTTCAGAAGAAGTTAAACACTGAAAATACTTTGTATATTAATTATAACTACCATTTATGAAGCATCTTGCCATGAGTCAAGAACTTTACATTCAGTAACAACAATCCTGCAAGACAGGATTACAAATGAAGAAATTAAGGCAAAGAGAGGCTATGTATGAAATACATACTTAGTATGAAATAACAGAGCTGGCATTCAGACACAGGCCTGAGTCTAAAACTATGCTTTTCCAATCCCATTGTCTGCTTTTACCACCACATAGACACATAACTATTATGGGATATGAAATTAATTAATTAATGGCCTCTGCTGAGAAGAATGTAGGTTTTGCTGATGTACTCTAAAGAATTCGTAGAATTCATCTGCAAAGAGTTTTGCAAATGCAGTTTGACAGGGTCTCAGAACCATGGCCTTTGTAATTTATCTCTGTCCCTAGCACACTGCTCTGTAAACAGCAAGCAGGCATTTGAAATGTGCCATCCTTAGCTTAGGATGTGCGAGTAAAATTCAGTATTCTTGATTTGAGATAAATTAAAGGACATTTAACTTCTAACTCTTCTTCCTGAAGAGTTAGCAAATTCTGGAAGGACACAGGAATCCAGTCTAGCACAAAGGTCTAATAAAAAAATCCTCGTTAAATGCCTTTCAATAATCATTTTAAATGATCACAAAAAGTGCTTAAGATGATATGGTCAAAACAAACATTATTTCTTTAAAACTGTATTGTTTCTCTTTGAGATTTTTTGAGAATTGCTCCTTCCCCTCATCTTTGGCCCAAGTGGCCCAAGTGTATCTACCCTTTATGGGAAAATTGTGAGTCTGCTTGGGTGAGGCAAAGACACACATTCCTCTCTTGAAAGAACAGACTTGCATTCCTATGAGTAAAATAAATTAGGCCCAGTTTCTCTGTCCATTAATTATGTGGAATAAACAACCTTCTCCTGTTCAGAGAGAAGCACAGGAGACCAGCACAAATTTCCTCCACAGGCTCAGGGGAAAGATCACTTGATCATTCAGGAGAACTCCTGTGGTCTGGGAGGACTCAGAGAATTGGAACAGGCCCGGCTCTGCTGCCAGATGTTTCTAAGAAATCCAGTAATGAAGACAATCCCATGATATGATCCACAGAGGATTGCTGCTTTGCGGGGAGAGGGGGCTAGAATTGCAGAAGAGCAACAGAGTGAGAAGGAATTTGCATCCAGCTCTGACCCTGGGGAATATCCCAATCTTCAACCCTGAAGCAGCATATGGAGTCTAGGAAGCGTATGGGGCCAGGTACTTACATTACTTTAGAGTCTTTGAATATGCCAGGAACTTCAGGGGCTCAGGGGAGAGGATGTGGGGGCAGTAGGAATAAAGTAATCCATGGCCTCTGATGGTCTATAGCTAAATTGAATCTGCTGGGATTTGCAAGAGAATAGAATATTATCATCAAGAATCTAAAAGACAAGAGGAAAAATACGGCAAATGACAGAAAGAGTTGAAAATGTGTTTGTGGTTTTTGCCTTTACACACTTGGGACTGATACTGCTATTCATTATTTCATTATCCCCATCTCCTAAGACATCCTCAATTTTATTATAGGCTGTAGCAATACACCCAGTTAAAACATCCGCTTCCCAGATGCCTTTGCACAGTAGAGTGGTCACATGATCCACTTCTGGCCAATGAGAGGTAAGCAAAATTCGCTAAGACAGGATTTATTGTAGAAAACCCACAGGGCTTTGGCCTTTGCTCTTTGCCCTTAACTTCTCTTCCTGATTGGATTGTGGCCAGAATAGCCGCCATCTTTGGAGCATGAGAAGGGACACTGAATGCTAGTCTGGCAAGCCAAAATATGAAAGCAATCTAGATCCTTGATGGGTCCCAGCAAACACTGCACACCTCTGAACTGGTATCTCTACTTTTTATTACATGATACATATCTTGTTTAAGCTACTGTTGCTTGGTCTTTGTTGCATGTAGTTAAGCATAACCCTCTGATAGCAATCTGAATTCAGATTTAGCAATAATTTAACAATAATTACCTATACTGTGCCAGGCACTGTGCTAGATTTGGGAATGCAAAGATGAAGATATAACCCCCTACCCTCAAAAAGTTTACAATCAACTGAATGCAAGAAGATAAGCAACCCATTACAGTGCGGTTTTTGTTTAAAGTGTTATGGAAACAAAATAATTATGAATATTAACAAGGAAGAAAATACACTGGGGTAAATTCTATGGAATTTATCTCAGTACATCCTCACACCTTACGACACGCGCATATGTGGCAAATCCCATTAACCCACTGAATATTCACAATTCATATTACTGATATAATCTGCCAAATCCTAGAGCCGCAGTTATTTTATTCTCCTGTAAGTACCACTTTACGCTTGTTTATTTTCGCTGGTGGGGTCAGAGGACCTCCATGTTTCCTAAGTAAATTTCTCAAACCCTTGTCAATTCCTTATACACAGAGAAACCCCAAGAAATCCGTGGAAAAATAAACTCAATCTCCAAGAGTAGTAGTAACAAGGGACAGTCTGGTCTGAAGCACACCCTGAGTTGAATGCCAGAGTGCAGTAGCAGCATTTTAACCCAACAGTAGCACCTACTTCAACAACTCTTGTCTTTGCCTGTCTCCCTTGTTTTCTGTTACTCTCTCCCTCTGTGTCTGTCCTGCTTGCCCTGTTTATCTTCTGCCTCATCATCCGTCTCTAGTATCCTCGATGGTATCTAATGCTCCCATTTTCTCACACTCCGTCTCTTTCTCCCTTATTCAACCATGAATTGGGAATTTAAAATTTGTTAAAGCTTATTTGCTGCACGAATTCGTTGACATCTTTATTCAAGATTTTAGTTTTTGAGGTTGATGATTAGATTGATACTTCTCAAAGACAAAAATAAGTTGCCTATTTTTTTTGAAGTAATACATTGACCTGTTTAAAACTTAGAAAGTTTGAAAGAAAATAGGTAAAAATAGCTCCTTCACATCTGTCTCTCAGCCACTCTTTTGCTCAAGACAACTAACACTGCTAGTTTTTTGTGTATCCTTGCAGAGCTATTTTATATATACAAGTAAATGCATATCACTATTTCCCCACTTTGTCCTGCAAAAGATGGCATACTCTATGCACTATTTTGTACTTTGCTTTTTTTCACTTAATATATTTTTAAAATCTTTCTGTCAGTACATAAAAAGAATTCTCATTCTGTTTTAAGCTGAAAAATGTTTTCTTGTATAAATGTATCATAATTTAACTAGTCACCTATTGATGGACACTTAAGTTGTTGCCAGTCTTTTATTATTTAAAATAACACTGCAATGAATTTCATCATTCATGCATCATTTAACAGATGAGAGTGTATTTTAAGATAAATCCCTAGAAGAGAGCCAAATGCTTTGTTCATTTGTAATTATAATAAATTTTGCTATATTTTCTTTCTTAACATATACTATTTTACAGTCCCACTTACAGTATATGGGGGTGCCTATTTCCCTAAGCCTTCACCAACACAGTTTGTCAAGCTTTTTGACTTTGCCAATTTAATCGGTGAAAAATGGTTTGTCAATATATTTTTAATTAGTTTATTTTGTTGTGAATGAGACTGTTCATCTTTCACACATTTCATAGTTATTAGTATATTCTTTTCTGTTAAATCTTTATTAATATTTATTCTTTCTTCTATTGGGTTGGTAGGGCTCTTTAAATCGATATTTTTCAGTTTTTTATTTATTAGGAAAATTAATCATTTGTCTGTGATACAAGATGCCATGATTCACATTTTTTTCCCTAGTGTATCAGTGTATCATGTGTCTTTTACTCTGGATTTTTTTTTTTTTTTCTTTTTTAGAAACAAGGTCTTCTGTCATCCAGGCTGGAGTGCAGTGGCATAATCATAGCTCACTGCAGCCTCAAACTCCTGGGCTCAAGCAATTCTCCCTCCTTAGCCTCCCAGTAACTGGGACTACAGGCACATGACACCACATCTAGCTATTCTTTTTTCTTCTTTTCTTCTTTCTTTCTTATTTATTTATTTATTTTTTAGAGATAGTGTCTTCCTATGTTGGCCAGGCTAGTCTTGAACTCCTGGGCTCAAGCTATCCTCCTGCCTCAACCTCACAAACTGCTGAGATTACAGGCCACCAAGGATTTTTACCTTGCAGAGATGTTTCTTTTATATTTAGTCAAATTTATTCATCTTTTCATTCTGATTTCTAGGTTTTGTTTTATACTTAGAAAGACCTTCTGATAGGAGAGATGTTCTTTGATATCTTCTAATTATACATTATCTTGAATGTCAATCAACATTTGTTTTTCTTATATGATTGCAAGTTAGCAAATGATCAGGTATCAATGCTGATGTTGTGGGGAGAGGGAGGTGTGTGGCAGTAAGAATCTGGATTCAAATCCTTTTCCTTCCCAGTTGTGTCACCATGCAAGAGCACTTGGCCTTATTCTGCTATACACCCCAGCTATTTGTCTGCAGTAGGCAAATGAACATGCCCAAAGTGCCACAGGTCAGGTGTATGTGAAACGAGAATGCTAAAATGCTTTAATGACATGTGTGCATGAATATTTTAATTTTTTCACCTCTGCATAGCATAGCATTGTGTCTTCTGCTAGACAGCTAGGTGCTGCCTGTCTCCATCATGTCATTGTTATTGTTTGCCCTCATAGGTACTAATTATGACATGGGAGATATAGCAAAATTCATTATAGCTTTTAAAAAAATCTCCCAGTGTAGTGCAGTGAGAAAGGGGAGGGAGAGTCACTCAGTCAACATGTATACTCCTTGACTGAGCAGTGTTTGAGTGGGCACCAAGCTTAGACATGTGTGTAGGGAGGCAATTATAACTAGTTACAGCCATCCTGCCTCTTCTGTCCTCCTCTCTTCCCCAGCCTTAGCCCCCCAGCCTCATGGGGCCCAGAGTCCTCCTTCAGATGAGGCCAGTGTCCCAGGCAACTACCTGACGTGGGAAAAGCTGCCGTCCTAGAGATCAGAAAGAACCCACCAGTCAGGAACAGCAATTCTGATGATGTCAGCTTCTAAGTTTTCAGAAGCGACAGCCTCTGGTGTTCTTACAGCATCAGAAGAGCAGAAAAGCTGGCCACTTATGAACCCACACATTGTTACAGAGCATCTCGGCTTTCTGCCAAGGAGCACCACTCAGGCTTTAAAGATTTGTCCTTTGATTTTACTTTTTAGGGCATCTTGAGACAATGTTCTGCCTACACAAAATTCTAAACTGAGAGGAGTGGCTCAGAAGCTCTACTAACATGGAATCACATGTGGTAAGCCACTCTAAGGATATTATCCTCAATCATTAGATCTCTCTGGGCTTAGGTTCTAGGCAGGTGGATGGTGGAGATATGGGAATATGTGGTAGGTCACTCTAAGGATATTATCCTCAATCATTAGATCTCTCAGGGCTTAGGCTCTACGCAGGTGGATGGTGGAGATACGAGAGGTCCGGAAGAATAGACTGAGGGGTAGCCACAGAGATCAGAATAAATTTGAGTGCCAGGAGGACAGATCACGTCAAGTCATGGACTGTATCACGGACATAGAATCTTGATGTAGAGTTAGAAATGGGGGCTGAAGGATAGAGGAAGGTTTTGGAAGTTGGGAGACTCAGGAAAGCTGAGCAGGAGGCTGTGTCTGAATGGGTAACTTATATCTAGGGGAAATTGTACAGATAGATCCCTCTGATGTCCTCTGAGTTAAGATTCAGATGGTTTGAAGACAGTTTCTACCTGAAACCATGGTGGCAACTTGAGGCTTGAGCGCAAGAAGAGACCAAGGGCCATACGAGAAATGGCTTATTTGCTCCCACTTCATCTGGCCACCTTTCTTTAGCAGGACATCCCTACTCTAAGTTTTAGACTGAAAGGTAAAGTTAATCAGCCAGCAGGAAAGGAAAGAATGGCCATTCATTCGTTTAACCACTGTTCACTGAACCTTATGTGCCAGATACTGTTAAGGTGCCAGGGGTATAGCAGTGAACAAGACAAAGTCCTTGCTCTCAGAGTATCCATATTCTAGTGTGAGAGACAGATGATAAACAAGATGTATTACATTTATAATAAGATGATAAACAAGATATATATGTGTGTAACAGTGGCAATCATTGCTAATCAAGCCAGGGAAGAGGCTAGCTAGATAATTAAATGATGGAGGGAGGATGCTATTTTAGATAGGGTGGTCTAAGAATGACTTGGTGGTAATGATGTGACATTTGAGCAGAACTGGAATGAAGTGAGGGAGTGAGTTGTGCAAACATTGAGGGGAAGCGCTTCCAAGGCTAAGATAACAATAATGCCAGAGGCAGGAGTGTGCTGGGTGTGTGAGGTGCCACAGGGAGACCCCTGTGGCTGGAAATAGTGAGTGAGGGTGGCATCATAGGAGATAAGGTCACAGAGGTTGGGGCAAGCAGATGCACGATGTAGGTCACATAGGGTCTTGCAGAACGTAGTAAGGATTTAGGAATTTATTCTGAGATGAGAGGCCACTGGAAGATCACACGCTCATCAGATTATTAGAGGGCCTGGAAGCCACTCTAATGCCTTGTGTGATTTTCCAGTGCTGGACTGACCTCCTAACCTGTGAACAGACTGTGCCCCCCACGCTCCCAATTACAGGGAAAACAGTTGTGCCCTTTCAACCACCAACTGTGCAGTTCTGGGCAAAAGACATAAACAAACGCTGCAAATCTCAGGCCACTTGAGCAAAGCCTTCCTCATCTCTATGCTGGTGGCTACAACTGTGACCTTGTAGGTAGGGGCTGTGTTCGCCCCTACTTGAGTTGTACCATATGAACCAGTAAGTGGCTGCTGATAGAACATTCAGGAAACTGCTTCTATTTCCTCATCTCTGAATTCTTCCTCTCAACATCTCATAGACCAGGCCTCTGCTTAACAGAACCTAAAAGGAGACCTGCTATGACCATTTTCTTCCACCTGGGACAAACTAACGGCAGATCTTCCCAAGTTTCTTCCTCACATAGGAAGTGAGACATCCCCCCCAACTCTCCATACGGTTAAAGAACAAGATTTGTCTAAAGCATTCATAGGTTCAGTCTGGAAAACTTCTCATAAGATTCAAATGCACTAGCAGACATGCCCACAGGAGGAACCCAGACCCCAGAAGCTGATTTATTTCACAGAAATCACCTTGAAGCCTTAAAAAATACAGGCAGTTCTGTTGTTTGTATGTTTTGTTTTTATCATAAATTTCTTAAACACACACACACCAAAGTCATAGTGTTGTTAAAGACTATTTAATAACCAGAAAGTTGTTCAAATGAAATAGCCTAGGCGAGGCTGTGCAGAAACAAGAATGCTTTTACATTGTTGGTGGAAGTGTAAATTACTTCAACCACTGTGGAAGACAGTTTGGTGATTCCTCGAGGTTCTAGAACCAGAAATACCATTTGACCCAGCAATCCCATTACTGGGTATATACCCAAAGGATTATAAATCATTCTACTATAAAGACACAAGCACACGTATGTTTACTGCAGCACTATTTACAATAGCAAAGACTTGGAGCCAACCCAAATGCCCATCAATGATAGACTGGATAAAGAAAATGTGCCATATATACACCATGGAATACTATGCAGCCATAAAAAAGAATGAGATCATGTCCTTTGCAGGGATATGGATGAAGCAGAAGCCATCATTCTCAGCAAACTAACACAGGGACAGAAAACCAAACACCACATGTTCTCACTCATAAGTGGGAGTTGAACAATGAGAACACATGGACACAAGGAGGGGAACATCACACAACTGGGCCTGTAGAGGGGTGGGGGGCAAGGGGAGGAAGAGCATTAGGACAAATACCTAATGCATGCGGAGCTTAAAACCTAGATGATGGGTTGTTAGGTGCAGCAAACCACCAAGGCACATGTATACCTATGTAACAAACATGCACGTTCTGCACATGTATCCCAGAACTTAAAGTAAAAAAAAAAAAAAACAGCATGTTCATATGATCATGTGTGTGTGCGTGCTTGTGCGTGTGTTCTAAGCATAGGCAAATATGCATAGACTCATGAAAGTGATAAGAATATGAGTGATTTTAATTTCATCTTTTTAATATATATTTTCAAATTTAAAACATTTTTAAAAATTCTTACATTCCAAACAACTGGATATAATGTCAGAAACTTACAGTCTCAACCTCAGTCTTCCCATCAGCCACTCTACAGGGAAGGGCCAGTATGTGATTCCAACAAATCCCCTTTGAATTAGAGCACATGTATGTAGTAAACATTCATACATTGATCTCCTGAACCACTGACCGACGCCCCGCTTTTTTCAGGCACCTGCACATGGCTTAGAATCATTTACACACAGAAACACAGGATTGGAAAAGATTTCAGAAATGATCTTACCCAACTGCCAGCTTAATGCACAGCTCTCCACTGCATCCCTGACTGGGGCTCTTCTGTCCTCTGCTTCATCACTTCCCAGGCTGGAGACAACAGGGCAGTGAGACCCGTTACTGGTGGAGAATGGCCCCCATCTTGCAGAGAGGAAATATCTTACTCCCACCCACAGATCCTAGCCCCAGATCTATGGCATTTAAGATAAGCTTTAAGAACTCATCTCACAGGAAATAAAAGAAGAATTGGAGGGTTTTTTTTGTTTTTTGTTTTTTGGGTTTTTTTGGTCTTTTTTTGTTATTTTGTTTTGAAGACCTCTTTCAGTTTATTCTAGTTTCCTTTCCATGCTGTTTGGCCCACTCAGAGACTTGCCTTATTCTCTTTCTTTGTGTCTGAAGTTTCTTTCTCCCCTAGGCAAAGCACCATAAGCTAATTTGCTCCCACTTCATCTGGCCACCTTTCTTTAGCAGGTCATCCCTACTCTGATTTCCTACCCTATAGATAGCTGACTTTCTTTGTCTTTTCCCCTACTATTTCCATCGCTTTTTTTCCTTTCTTATTTAGAACTTCTTATTCTCATTCCCCTTCAGGGTCATATTAAAACAGTTGGAGACATTACAATATTATAACGACTCTCTGAATATGAATACAAATAAAAGCAGTATTTAATTATAAATCAAGTTTAGGATAGACCACATTTTTTTCAGATATTCACAATAATGATTATTTCAATCCTTTTTAAAAAATGTTTTTATTGTGGTAAAATACACAGAGAGTGAAATTTACCGTTTTAAGCTGTAAAATTCAGGGGCATTGAGTACATTCACAATGTGACAAAACCATCACTATCTAGTTCCAGAACTTTTTCATTGCTCCAAAGGGAAACCCCGTGCACATTAAGCAATCACTCCCCATTCCTCCCTCCCCCGACCCACTGGCAACAACTGAGCTGTGTACTGTCACTATGGGGATTTGCCATTTCTGAGTACTTCATATGAATAGAATCATACAATATGTGGCATTTTGTGTTTGGCCTCTTTCACTTAGAATAATGCTCTCAAGATTCATCTCTATCATTGCCTGTATTAGTACTTCATTCCTTTTTATGGCCAAATAATATTCTACTATATGTGTATGCCACATTTTGTTTATCCATTTATCAGTTGATGGTCATCTGAGTTTTTTTCATCTTTTGGCTATTACGAATAGTGCTACCATAAACATTTGTGTACAAGTTTTTGCTTGAACATTAATGTTATTTGTTGAGGTGTCAACTTTTCCTCCAAAACCAAAGCTTGCTTATTTGTTTCTTGCTGGGAGCCTGGGTAGGTAGTGCCACTGCTTTGCTATTGTCCTAGGCAATGTTTAGCCCGTCCACTGGTAACCTCAGTCTGTTTCCCTGTTTCTTTCACTCTCTGCTTGCCTGCACAAATTTGCATGCATATATGGGTTCTCCCCTACTTAAACAATTTGGAATTCATATTGGCAAGTGGATTTCCCCCCTCTTATAGAGGAGATTAAAAAAAATAAGTACAGTGAATGTGTCCAATTCAGAAAGGCCTTGGGCCTCAGTTCTCAGCTTCCCCTAAGAAGGCCTCTTTCCAGCTCGATTCCAGGAAGGCTGGCTCCAGGAGCTCAAGCCAGCAGAGGCCCTGCCTCGGGCCTCAGCTCATAAAGCCAAGGTGTGTCTGAGTCCCTTAACTCTGTCAGGCTTAGAACTTGAGCCTTCACTCACTGGCTGCTGTCAGAGTTCAGCGTTCCCTGCCAAGCCATCGGAAAGCTGGAGGCCAGAGAGAAAAGGCGAGAGGCATCAGATTTCTGCCTGCAGATGGGAATGGGACTGACACTCCCCACATAGGATTTCTCTGTGAGCAACCACAGGCATTATCAGCGTTCAGGATCACATCACAAAACACAGCCTGATCATCTTGCCTTCTCTTTTTCCTCCTCTCAGAGATACAGATGCATTGCTCCTTTTCCCTTTGCCTCCCGGCCTTTTCCTTTGTTTGCCCCTCTCCCCTTTCCTCCACAGCCCCGGCTTTCCCAGGTCTGTTTCTCTGTTGCTTTTTCCCCAAAGGCTCTCCTGTTTTCTCCTGTCCCTTTGATTCCTCCCCCTCCTTTCATCCTGCAAATCTTTCTCTGTCGACTCCCTGTCTCCTTGCCATTCTCGGTGTGCCTTTCGGATCTGTTTCCTTTGACACTGGTCCCAGGCCTGCTGCCAAGTTTCAGACCCATTAGTGAGGTGCCTTGCTGACTGAAACACAAATCAAGACTGATCCGGGTACAATTAGCAGCAGCTCACACCTCATCTGGAAAGCATTAGCCAGCACTGAGAGTGTAGGGAGGGAGGCACAGGGAAATATTGATGCCAAACAGAATAGATCTCCTACTTTTGGAGCGTGAAAGGATCCTGACCCAGTAGACATATAACTGAAAATAAGATACAAATGGATAATGCAAAGTTGAGAGGCATGTTAACTTACCTCGGCCACTCTTCAGCATCTACGCAAGCAACACAGGCTCCTTAACACACAATTCAGGTGTATAAATATCATCCAGGAAAAGGGGTGTCTGATTCATTTAATCCAGATATTCTAACACATGTGTGATCCGGGAGTCCTCTGCTGTCTTGCAAAATTCTATCTTGGTACTGTTTCTAAAAATTTAATGTACAAAAGAATCACCTGGCATTGAGCTAAAAATGCAGATTCTGATTGACTAGGACTGGAGAGGTGCCTGAGATTCTGCCTTTATATCAAGCTGATTGGTGAAGCACACTTTAAGGGTCTAGGAAAATTTAAGACATTTAACTTTGGTCAAGTACCCTGATCTTCTTCTTTGGAGCACTCACAATTATAAGGAAGGTTGAATGATATAATTAGCTGTTTGATGCCTATCTTCCCAACTCAGAGGCAAGCTGCCCAAAGGCAAGGACCAGGCCTGTCTGGCTCTCCTTTGTATCCTCAGTACTAGCCCAGTATGTTGCATATAGTAGGTGTTCAGTAAATATTTCACAAGTGAATTTTCACAAGTGAATGAACCAGCTCAATCCCTAAGGCCCATCAAAAGTTACTCCTATTTCAGAGAGCCTTCCCAGTCCAGCCTCCCTTATCCATACCTGCCTGGTGGCATTTCATCATTTCCCCTGTGTCTTATCTTAGCCCCTCAAGCAGATCATTAGTTGCTTGAAACTGGGACTTTGTCTTCTGTGTTTCTGAACTTTTTTTAATGTCCTTTTTTCTCCCTTCCTCTCACTCCCCATCATAGTAAGGGCTTGCTCTAGCAGGCATTTAATGTTAGTTGATTGATTGAGAGACCCTAGAATGATGCCAAGTTCTATTTAGACTTCAATTATAATGCTCAAGGGGTGGCTGGATTTTGGCTTGGATAAAAGCCAAGATTTTATATGCCCCAGTGGAAAACCTTTAATACCACCTAACACATTGTGGGGTGGGAAGGCTAAGACATTATGTGTGTACAAAATCAAGCGATGTAATACCGTGAGGCTCCCAAGGCAGTTATAAATCAGGCCACTCCAGAGGGGTAACTGCGGGCTGTGGCCATTACTTCACTCCTGTTTTCTCAACTGAGAACGACGGCTCACGTTTGCCAAGCTTTACTTGCAGGGGTGGGGGCTGTTGTTCCCCAGGATTGGGCAGACCGTTTCTCTTGGAAAGACAGAAAACTGGCTCACAGAGTTCTGCCAAAGATAGGAGAACCTGGTCTTGTTTAGAACTCATCAAATGCCCTATTTTTCAAACATCAGGGCTGTGTGAAATGCAAAGTGCTTTCGTCAAGCACTACCCCCATACCCCATAATATTAAAACATGCATATTTTAAGGGACATTTAATCCATATGCTTTTTATTTACTTACCCTTAAATCATCAAAAATAATTATTATGAAAACCTGTTTGACATCTGAGAAACTTTATGAGCATAATTTGGAAATTTAAAAATCTTGCTTTCAGGAAAAAAACAGAAAGTTGTGCTTTTCCAAAAACACACGGCTTTTAAAACAAAGAGACGTGAGGGCCTTTCCAGCATTCTAATTTCACAGGGCTTGAGGGGTTCAGCACCAGCACAGCACAAGCTCATATCCCTCATCTCTCCAGTGAATCGCAGATGGAAGTCTCAGGCATGGCAGGTTCAGGCTTCTGCACTTGATTTGATTCTGTGACCCTTTAATACCTGACAGTGACAAAACTTCATCTGTCTGCAGGCTCCCAAGCATATTTTACAAATACCCCAGATGCATGTTCAATGTGTATTTCTGCAAAGTGTGTGACTGTGGCCTGATTATCTTCTTAAGCAGATAAGACATAAATTCCAGGGTGTTAGAGACAACTTTTGAAGTTCAAAAGAAGTACCTGGCAATGAAAATCTACCACAATGCAGCTCAAGTATTTCATTCTGTGAAATAGACTTGCAATGATCTGATTGATCTCAGGGTGAGGCACGAGGCAGGAAATGTGGGATGTCCCATACTGTCTGTTAAGGCCCTGTCTGAAATTGTCCCTGAAAACTGAGAGCCACCACTTTGGTCTCTGAGTTGATTCACGCGTAGGTGAAATTGTGTAATGGGTGGAGTGGGTGAGTTTCAAAGCAATCCTGATATGCACACATACACACATACATAATGTTTGTATAGAACTATCCTATATGAACACAATGAGTCCAGAGCAAGTGAGCAATAGAGAAGGTAAGAGATTCTGATGGAAGAAGAATTGCAGTGTGCCTAAGCTCAATGCGTGATTGTTGAATGGGAAGTGACTGCACGTTGCTGAGATAAGTAACAGGAAGTCTGGATCCATGACTTCCTAGTCCCAGACAATAGGCTCACCTCTTCCAAGGTATGGATATGAGGTTTGAGGTAAGAGGAGAACAAGAGGCAGCTGCAGGGCAGGGAGCAGTGGCTTAAGCAAGTGGTAGGAAGTGGCAGTGCAAGGAGGCCCACCTTCCCCAGGCCTCCCCACTGTCCTCCCTCCTCTGCTGCCTTGGAGCTCAGCCTGAGACGAGCAGAGCTCTGCCTGGACAGTGAGTCCCCAGTCATGATACTCAGCATCCGAGTTAACCATTCAGTAGAACTTCACTGAGGGCCTGTCAAGCGTGACACAGCCATTGTCTCAGAGCCACAGTGGTGGAGAACATTTCAGTCCCCAGCCTCACAGTTCGCAGTCTGGCAAAGAATGACCAGCTTCCCTCCTGTCTGCCCTAGATTCAAGAGAGTGCCAAAGGAAACAACAGGACAGAAGGAGACATGAGGAAGAGATGGGACAGACAGCACTCAACCCTGAGCAGACGTGAGGGGCAAAAGAAAAGGCAACATTAAGGACCCATTCAAGTTTCAAGTCTCAGCGTCCCAGAGGATGGTGAGGATACAGCAAAAATGGAGAGTGCAAAAGGAGAAAGGCAGTTGAATGTGAAGATAACGGGGTCTTCGGAGCCTACCTACTAAGTCTGGTGGGATAACCCTGTTAAATGGGAAGAGGGAGGCCTTTCTTGGTACATTTTAGGAGGAAAAAAATGGCTGCCTGGAAAGTTCATATACCAGCAGCAAAAAGAAAAGCAGAATGGGATGAGAGATTATGAAAGCCCTTCACGAGGAGGTTAAGTTCTGGCGGGTGTGCCCATCAGAGACCAGCAGAGACAACTGGCTCTCCGGCCTGAGTTCGCCTACATCAGAACTAGCACATCTCTCTGTCTAATTTCTAATCACTGTAAATATGTTCAAAATGAAAGAAAAAAGTAATCTCACACCCCAATAAACTGGATCAGATGTGTGTGCTTCAGTGGGTAGTGGTAAATCTACATATGGAAAACTGTATTCAGAAACGCCTGACTATAGCACTTAAATTCTATGGCACACATGGAATGAATTGAGAAGATAGCCAAACTTACAAATATTCCACCCACACTGTGTAATATGGCATCCTGATGCGTTCGGGAAAGTGAAGAACAATGTGGTGGGACACCCCCTCCACGGCTAAACGTGGACACCTTGAGCATGGACCAGATTCTCCCTTTTTTTTTTTTTTTTTTTTTTTTGAGATAGAATCTTGCTCTGTCACCTCGGCTAGAGTGCAGTGATGCGATCATGAATCACTGCAGCCTCAAACTCCTGGGCTAAAGTGATGCTCCCATCTGAGCCTCCCAAGTACCTGGGACTACAGGCCTGTGCCACCATAATTGACTATTTTGTTTTGTGTTTTTTGTTTTTTGTTTTTTTAAATTTTATTTTAGAGATGGGGACCTCATGATGTTATCCAGGCTGGTCTTGAATTTTTGGGCTCAAGCAATCCTCCTACCTCAGCCTTCGGAGTTGCTAGGATTACAGGTGTGAGCCATTATGTCCAGTGGACCAGATTCCTTATGAGATTTTCATATCACTAAGCATTTGGACAATCTCATCATTTTCTTTTTTTAACTTTTATTTAAGGTTTGGGGATACATGTGAAGGTTTGTTGTTATAGGTAAACTCACGTTACAGGGGTTCGTTATACAGATTATTTCATTACCCAGGTATTAAGCCCAATATCCAATAATTATTTTTATCTGCTCCTCTCCCTCTCCCATCCTCTACCCTCAAGTAGACCTGAGTGTCTATTGTTCCCTTCTTTGTGTTTATGAGTTCTCATAATTTAGCTCCCACTTGTAAGTTTGAACAGAACATACATCTGTTCCTGTGTTAGTTTGCTAAGGATAATAGCCTCCAGCTCCATCCACGTTCCTGCAAAAGACATGATCTTGTTCTTTTTTATGGCTGCGTAGTATTCTATGAAGTATATGTACCACATTTTCTTTATGTAATCTGTCATTGATGGGCATTTAGGTTGATTCCATGTATTTGCTATTGTAAATAGTGCTGCAATGAACATTCCTGTGCATGTGTCTTTATTATAGAATGATTTATGGTCCTCTGGGTATATACCCAGTAACAGGATTGCTGAGTCAAATGGTAGTTCTGCTTTTAGCTCTTTGAGGAATCGCCTTACTGCTCTCCACAATGATTGAACTAATTTACACTCCCACCAACAGTGTATACCTGTTCCCTTTTCTCAGCAACCTCGACAGCATCTGTTTTTTTTTTTTTTTTTTTTGACTTTTTAATAATAGCCATCCTGACTGGTATGAGATGGTATCTCATTGCGGTTTTGATTTGCATTTCTCTAATGATCAGTGATATAGAGCTTTTTATTCGTATGCTTCTTGGCTGCATGTATGTCTTCTTTTGGAAAGTGTCTGTTCATGTCCTTGCCCACATTTTCAATGGGGTTGTTTTTCTCTTGTAAATTTGTTTAAGTTTCTTATAGATGCTGTATATTAGACCTTTGTCGGATGTGTAGTTTGCAAATATTTTCTCCCGTTCTGTAGGTTGTCTGTTTACTCTCTTCATAGTTTCCTTTGCTGCGCAGAAGCTCTTAAGTTTAATTATAACCCATTTGTTAATTTTTACTTTTGTCGTGACTGCTTTTGGTGTCTTTGTCATGAAATCTTGCTAATTCTTATGTCCAGGATGTTATTGCCTAGGTTGTCTTCCAGGGTTTTAATATTTTGGGTTTTACCTTTAGACTTTAATCCATCTTGAGTTCAATCTCATCATTTTCTGAAAAGAAATCATACACTATCCCCTCTGGCCATCTAGAATGCTTTGGAATATTCATTATTTTGAGGAGATAAATGTTCCAGATAACAAAGGGTTTATCTTGTTAAGTGACAAAACTTTTTTATTTCAATAATTTGGAATAAAATCTCTCCCAAAGTTATATATATTTTTCTTAACTTCTTAAAGGTGAATTTCACTTGAGGACTGCTCATTACAAACTCTGCTATAATAAGAGAAATACTAGACTATAAGTTCCATGAGAAGTGAGTGCATGCAGAAACTGGTGATCCAAATAAGGGCTGTAGTCTAGTTAATAGCACTATACCAATGTTAATTTCCTCACCTTGATAATAAACTTTACTTATGTAAGATTGTATAATTAGGGAAAGCTGTAGAAGGGTATATAGGAATTATTTCTGCAGCCTCTCATGAATCTAAAATTATTCAAAATAAAAAGTTAAAATTTTCTGTTTCAGTTATCAAGTAGGTAAGTAGGGGAAGGAAGGAAGGAAGGAAGGAGAGGGGAGGAGAAGGGAGGGGAGGGGAGGGGAGGGGAGGGGAGAGCAAGGCAAGGTAGGCCAGAGCAGGCCGGGGCAGGGCAGGGAAGGGAAGGGAAAGGAAGGGAAGGGAGGGGAAGAGAAGAAGGAGGGGAGATCTATGTAAAGCCATATAGGAGAGACTATGCAGCAACAGAAATATGGAGGCTTTAAATCCAGGCTGACTCTGAGGTCAAATCCCCTTCCCAGCTTTGGGACGCATTTCTTAAACTCTGTGAAACATTTCTTAAACTCTGTATCTACCTTTATAATATCAGGGATTAAAAATACATACTGCAGAGGATTGTTGTGAGGATTAAATTAAACAATATGCCCAATACACTCAAACTGGGTATTCATCACCCGGTGGACATTCAATAAATTGTCCTATTCTAAACACCCTTATTTTTGTAGTGCTGGTTACCAATCATCAGAACTCAGCTCTCACTCATTAATGCTCTCAGGGTGCTTCCCTATTTAATTTGCTGCCTCTTCACCTGCTGTGAGTTTGATCTAGTTCTATATACCATATTATATAGGCTCCAAATAAGGATCACATATGGTCAATAAAGTGTTTTGTGTTTGTTTGTTTGTTTGTTTGAGATGGAGTCTCACTCTGTTGCACAGGCTAGAATGCAGTGGCGCAATCTCAGCTCACTCTAACCTCCGCCTCCCGGGTTCAAGCGATTCTCATGCCTCAGTCTCCTGAATAGCTGGGATTACAGGTGTGCACCACCACGCATGGCTAATTTTTGTATTTTTAGTAGAGAGGGGGTTTCATCATGTTGGCCAGGCTGGTCTTGAACTCTGACTTAAAGTGATCCACCATCCTCGGCCTCCCAAAGTGCTGGGATTATAGGCGTGAGCCACTGCACCCGGCCAAAAAAAGTATCTTTGTTTTAACTCACAGGCACTAGTTTTAGCTGCTCAGACACCTTTGTTCTTTTGATTTCCTGTCTAGTTTTTGACTGAGTTCCAGATGGATAAGGTTTCTAGACAAGTTCTTGTTAGATTAGGCAATGGCATTAATAAAAAATAGCCATCATTCATTGATCATTGTAATGCTAAATATGCTAAGCAGTTAACATACAGTATCATTTAATCCTCACTCTGTGAGGTAACTACTTTAATTTCTAGACTGGAGATAAAAAATTCTGATACCTTGCCCAAGGTCCCAGAGCTAATTAGCTGCAGAGCTGGCATCACTAGGCCTGGCTGACTCCAGAGCCCAAGCTTCTATCACAGAGGATGCTGGAACAGCTTCCTGTTCTTCAGTGTAATCAAAGGTACTTTTAAACATCCCTAGTCTTTAGGGTTGGAGCTCGATCACTTTGAAGGAGATAAAGAGGATGAGAAGAAGGGGAAGGGAAAAGAAGGGAGTAGTAGTCAAGAATCCAGTTATCTGAAAACAACTGTTATAGAAATAGTATTATTTTATATTGGTAGATCCTTTAAAAATGTTTGTTCAGTGATTCAGAAATAAGCAAGGTTTCCCCAACTGCTAGAGAAAGAATACTTTTTTCTCCTTTCTATAGCTGAAATCTCTCATCTATGCTGACTCTACCTCCGAATGCGTGACAGAACCAGCCAGGAAACATTTCTCACAGAAATATGAAGCACTTGGATTTGAATTGTGTAATTTCCCTTTAGAGGCCATCCTTAAGAATTGCGTGCCTTGCATGTTGAAGAATTTCTGTCTTTGGTTACCTGACATCTGAATAAATGCTAACGATCTCACCAGTCAGTCCACAGAGTCCACTGTTTATGTGCTTCAGCCTGTAATGGGAGACATGCGGGAAAACACAAAAGAAGGAAAAGAGAGTACTCCTGCTTGCAAGATGCTTTCCATCTCATCCAGCAGAGAACCTGGTCTAAGAGAGGTGTAAAGAATGTGCCTATTCTATAAGGGAACAGAGGCCAGAAACCAGCAAGGCTGTGGACCTAACCAGCTGTAAAGGCAGAGAAGTTTTAAACAGAAAAGGCTGCTGGGCCTTGGCATGTATTTTGCAATGGTTTGTGGTGTGAGGGATGTTTGGAGCAATTGTAAACAGGAACTGCTATGTCCTTATTAGGAATAATCACTTCTCCAGGCAAAGAAGTGGCTGTTGAGGCTTTTAAACACGTTTTGTGCTTAAGGTTTCCTCTCTCCCTCCTAGCCCAAGCCTATTCTCCCCATTCCTCCTGTAGGAACTCATTGAAGCTGTACTGCGTGGTTGCTCTTTGTGATTGCTGCTTGGCAGAACCCAAGAAAAGAAACATCCAGGGACTCCATCTGGCTGGATTCACCTTGATCCTAACTGCTCACAAGAGCTGTTTATTCCCCCAACACTGAGCCTAGTATACCTCTCCTTTCTACAGAGTGCCCCTAAGAGCTATCCAGCAGGCCTGGCAAATTTTGCCAAAGACAGAACACTGGGCAGGACTTCAGGGGGTGGGGATGGGTGCTCAGCAGCCTGCATTTGGAGAGGCAAGAGCTCAATAGAAAGTAGGGTCTATGGAAAGAACATATTGGGGCCTCAGTTTCCCTGTGGGGAAGGGGAGATAAACCCTCAGGCCTCAATGCCCGAGGTCATCCCCCGGGGGCTGCTTTGATCCAGTATCACCTGTACAGAGGTGATTAAAACATAGCTGTGGCAACAAACAATATGGGTCAAAATTCTGGCTCTGCTTCGTCCTAGATGCATCTGCTTGGGAATTAAAGTGAGATGTAGCAAAAAGCTGAATTTAGGGGGAAAATGAAGGGTCTTTTAGAATTCTAGCCATAGGCCAAACCACCTTAGAGGAGGTGGTTATTTATAAACATTTGGGATTAAGGAGACTGAGCAAATTTGAAGACAAAGGTAAAGTCAGTTTTTCTCATTTTGAGAGTCAAGAGCGAATGAAATATTCAAGTGAAGATGGCAATAGGCAGTTAGAAAAACAGAAATAGAGTTTAGAGAGAGATTAGAATGAGATTTTCTTCATTAATGATCCATGCATGATCCTGTTTTATTTATTTTATTTCATCTTTAATAATATGAGGAACACTATGAACCAACCTATAGCGCAAGAACTAACCATTACCAATAACTCACATCTACACAGTCCTCATTCATATCACAGCCCTTCACCTCAGAGGAACCAACCATGATTTGGAATTCTGTGTCTATCATTCCTTTGCTTTGCTTTCTGCTTTATTACAATATATTCTTGTATAAAAAGTAAGTTGATTTTTCTTGTTTTTGAACTTTATAAAGAGGTTACACTATAATGTCCGCTGGAACTTGCTTTTGTCACTCTACATTATGTCACTAAGATTTATCCATGTTCAGTGTAGCTGAATATCACTAATTTTCACTACTGCATAATATTCCATTGCATTAATATATACAATTTATTTGTCTCTTGTCATTGGTTATATGAGTTGTTTCCAATTTTTTGCAATTCTGAACAGTGAGCTATGGACATTTTTTCCTATGTCTCCTGGGACATATATGTAAGAGTTTCCCTTGGGCATGTGCCTAGGAGCAGAATTAATCAGGGAGGTGATTGTCAAAGTTTGTCCAGGGAAACCATGTAAAGCAAGAAAAGAAGAGGACTGGGGTCATATTCTTAGAAACATATACATTCAAGTATGTAGAAGAAGAAGAGGAGCCAGACAAGGAAATTGAAATGGGTAGCAGAAGAAAGGAAGTACACTCAGGAGAGAGGAGGGTTTCTTAAAGACAGGGTGACCAGCATCAAAGGATGCTGCAGAGACCATTTGAGGAGAATAAGGTTGAGAAAAGGTCAGTGATATTTGAGAAAGCTATTTGTGGCTTTGCGGACTGCTGAGAGTGGAAGCCAGTTTTCAAGGAATTAAGGATGAGTTGTGAGGGGAGAATGTAGAATGTACGTTCTACATATAGAAAGTTATAGAAAGTTAGAGGAGATAGCAGAGCTGATACATGATTTTTAATATGTTAGTTGTTTTAAGGATAGAGAAGACTTATGTTTATAGATTCAGAAGTAGAAGCCAATGGGAAGATAGAGATTGAAGAAGCAAGAGAGGTTAGTTGTAGAGGAAGGTCTTTTAAGGATCTGGAGAGGATAGAATGTGAAGCACAAGTTTGTTCTTGGCAAGGAGGAAGAACTCTATGTCTCTGAGACAGGGAGGCTGAAAAAGAATGCATTAAAAAATTATCATCATCATCACAGCAAGTTACATTTATTGGGTGTACCATGTAAAATATCTTAAACTTACCCATTAACAAACATTATCTCACTTAATCCTCTGAACAGCCCTGTGACATAAGTACTTTTATCATCGCTATTATAATTTTCATTTTACAGAAGAGGAAACTGAGGCTGAGAAATGACTAGACCCAGCTAGCTGATTGAGGGTATGTGCTGTCAATCACTACATGTAAGCTGAGAATCAGGAAGGCAAAACAAGCTTGAGCTAATGGCCAAAGCTCAGAGCTGAAGGAAATCAGAAATGTTGTAAGAATGGAAATGCTTGGACTGGGCACTCTTGGGAATGTGATAACAAATCAGAAAAGGGAAGTGAACATATTGGGCTCCTACTATGTTTCAGACTAAGCACTAGGACCTTTACAAACATTGACTTATTTCAACAGAGATAAATAAAAAGATGTCTAAGAAGTAGCAAGCGCCCAGTAGTGACTGGAAAGTATCCAAATGTAGTGGAATTAAACAGTCTGGGCTTCCTCCAGCATACTCAAGTGCCAGGAACAGGAATCTGGAAAAGACAGTGTGGTTGAGACCAGGTTGGGGAGATACATAGTGGAAGCCAAGAGGCAAGGGTGTTGGGGAGGCCAGAGAGAACCATTTACTGGTTGACCATGAGGACTCACATAGCAAGGAAGGAGAATAAAGTCATAGAAAAAGAGACTGAGTTGGGGCTGGGGGAAGATCAATGGACTAAAGCTCACAAAGTGGCACAAAACCAATCCAGCACTGGCATGAGTGGGAGGGAGGTGGAAAGAAAAGAGCTTAAGGCATAGAGGACTTTCATGATTTGAGATCCCAGAGATTGAGCAGCTGAGGGCTGAGAGGTTTGCAGTGTGGTCACCCAGGTGGGTGCTGAAGGAGAAGAGGGTGTAGATGAATGCCACTGAGATTGAGAAAACAGAAGGCTCAGCTACACATAGCACTTGTAGTTTTGTTGTTTTATAATCTTCATAGCTGCCCAGTGGAGTGGGTGTTCCTAGAGACATTACATAGGTGACCAAATTGAGGCTCCCCCAATTTGGAAGAAGCAGAAGAAGGGTGTGAACCAAGTTTGTCTCCTAGTTCCCCTCTTCCTCTTCTTGGCCGAATATTTTCACTCACCCTTCAAGAATCAGTTCAAATATTATCTCCAAGAAGGGTTCGCCACTCCCAAGGCTGGGTCCGATGCTCTGCTTCTAGAATTTCATGATTCCTTTTTCACCTTTGTCCCAATTACTCATTTATTTCTCTTGCTAGTCTAGAAGAAAGTGACTATGTCTCGATTTATTTCCAGGGCCTGGCACAATTATTGAGCCAAGATGAGCTCTGTATGTGTAATGAATTAATGTGTTTGAAAACAATAAACTGGGCTTAGAGACATACCAAACCAGGAGTCTCTGTTTCTGCTATTTGGATGTACGGTCCCCATACGTTTGGTATGAGGAAAATGGTTATTTATTTAAAAAATAAGGTCAGCATGGCAGGGGTAAATAGAAGAGCAGCCAAGAGAAGCACAGGAGGGAGCAGAGGAAGGGGTGGCCTCATCTGGATAGGAATGAGTTTAGAAAAGAGAGTAGGAAATACAATTAGACCAGTACAGAATACATATTTGTTGAATTACTTAAGTCATTAATTAATCAAAAGCCCCCAATTTCCTTGGAGGGCAACTAGGTTTTTATCTAGTGATCTCAGATAAATGTCTAGATAAAACTAGACAGAACTAGATAAAACCTGTTACTCCCCAAAAAAATCCACCTTCATCACTCATTCTTCCTCAACCCCAGAAGAATCTCCCTCCTCTCCTCAACTGCCCACCACAGCCTTGTTTCATTCCCCATTCTTCACACCAACCTTGCCTTCCAACCCCAACTCCCCCAAACCTCCCAATTCCTTCACACATGCCAGTGCCTCTACACACACACACACACACACATTCGTGCACACACACATACACACACACACGCACACATCCTACATCATTCCATCCCCAGATAAGCATCTGCACTTGCTCTCTCCCTGACTGCTTCTCCTCTCTTGTTCCCAGACTGGGAAAAGAGAAAGCCTGTTTTCAGTTAAGGCTTTGGTCACACACAGATGCCTTTTCCATTACTCTTGTTTTTCCTCTTGAGGTGTAGCATTTCCAATTAATTCTCCACAGGGGAGGCAGCCGTGCATTAACCACCCCACATGGGCTTGTGAAGAGGGGAAGGGAAGCAGGGCCCTTGGAGGCCTGACCTGGACTGCCTACAACTGACCCCTGCACAGGCTGCAACAGGAGCTTCCTTCCCTTTGGGTTACAGAAGGTGACCCTGTGGATGCAGTTCGAGGGCATGTCACACATTACCTATCTCTGTGGCTAAGGTCTGTGAAATAGACACTCTCCTAATCCCCTGTACTGACCCTTGAGCAGCCTAAAGACACTAAATAAGCCTTGTCTGGTGAGATCCTGGAACTCATCTTGCTTCATCTTAAAACTCTAGGGGAAGAGTTAGAATGCAAGAACTACAACAGACTCATGAAAATCAACAAGGATTTGTCCCTCATGGATCTCCTATTTTGTACAGAACTCTAGAACATATAATTTCCCCCACAAATTACAGGGGGGTGTAAGTGAAAACATGAAGGAATCCCTTATGCCCCCTATGGAGAGCTTCTGCCCATGTGATATGAGGAAATATACAAGGTTTCTTTGGAACCTGGATGCTGAGCAGTTGATCCAGCTCTGTCACTAGTCCTCACCCATTACCTGCACAAACAGGAAATTCAAATTTGGGTCTTCAGAAAGTGAAAGGTTGACATTTCATGGGTTCTGAAGGTTGGTCAAGAATTGTCAAAACTGCAAGTATTTAACTTGTAAATGCCAAGCGTTGCTGTGATAACAGCCCTTGTGTGATTTTTGCGAACTACAGTAAGCGAGGCATTGTGCTAGGAGCTTCACAATCACTATGATGTGTGCTGGGGGTTGACTGCTATGATTTTGTGATACACCAGGACTGTTATGGAGAAACCCCATCCTCACAGAGGGCCCGGACTCCATTGCTTTGCCCATTTGCAGCTCCACTTCAAGAATCCTTGATACTGGGTTTCATGGCTGGAGATTCACCTGATTGATTCTGGGGTTGGAGAAGGGATTGGGGGAGTCCTTTTCAGCAGCAGGAAGAACAAAGGCCATGGGAAATGAGTGGTAGGAAACAGCAGGGGGGATGAGAGGTATTTGAAGGGAGGAACTGAAGATTACTGTCAGATTTGAGGCCCAGAGAGCTCTAACACTGAAGGACACATGCTATTTATAATTGTAGGAAAATAGGCTTGATTTCACCTTCAAAGCCCTGGGGCCCCTCTCCTACACACCTGGTTCCAATTATCCAAGATCTCATCTACCTAGAAGACAATGTGCATCTTGCTCTGATTCCCAGCCTGACTTTATCCTCTCCAGAGTCTCATCCACTTTCCGAAGTGAATTTAAAAGAACCAAGTGGAAGAGGGGATCCTGGTTAACCCACATACCTGGAAATACATTACTATTTCATATTCCACATCTGCCTTAAGTTTTATCATCAACAAGTTAATCATTTGCATAGTTCGTCCTTGTAATAATGCTTACACACTGAGATGCTTATTTTAAGAACATATCATGTAGCGAAAAATTCTTAGGAAATGGAAATATGATTTGGGAAATATAGTCAGTAATATTCATTGCATATTCCTTACCTTCAGATTACAGGAATGGGCACGTTGGAGATAAAATACAAAAAGTATGATCCTAGACCTCTAGAATCAAACCTTCTGTTGTGGTTTCAAGGTTTTTGTCCACTCCAAAACTCATATTGAAACTTAATCTCCAATGCAACAGTGTTGGGAGATGGGGCCTAATGGAAGGTGTTTAGGTCATTAGGGCTCTGCCCTCATGAGTGGATTAATGCCACTATAAAAAGGGCTTTCTGGAGTGGGCTCACTCCCAAGCTCTTCTGCCACATGAGGAAGAGCATTCCCTCCTCTGAAACATGCAGCATTCAAGGCGCTCATCCTGGAAGCAGACGGAGTAGTCCTCACCAAGTATCAAACCTGCCAGCACCTTGATCTGTGACCTCCCAGCCTTCAGAACTGTGAAAAATACATTTCTGCTTTTTATAAATTACCCAGCCTCAAGTATTCTGTTATAGTAGCACTAACCAGACTAAGACACCTTCCAAATGGAGCGGCAGAATTCACCCAAAGGATAATTAGGTGCTTCACTACTGAGACTAGTTGGGGAGGGGATCTGATCTACTTTTAATAGGATAGTTTTAAAAAGCTTCCCTGAAATGATGCATTTAAGCCAAGACCCGAAGAATGAAAAAGAGCCACTCTTACAAAGAACAGGTGAAATTCTTTCTAAGGAGATGAACCAGAAAATGCAAACTCCCTGAGGCTGGAAAGAGCTTGTTCAAGGAAATTAAAAATATAATTGAGATAATATTACACATAAAAATTTTCATGCTGTATTTCCACTTAGTATGAAAATGCATTTTCTATGTTATTAATTTTTTAAGTTTCAAAGATCTTATAGTAATCTATAAATGTAATATAATTTGCATAACAATACCGTCTAAGAATACTTTGGAACTTTTTGCTTTTACAGAAGATAGCAGCACAGCTTTATACATAAATACATAGAAATACATACATATATATAAATATTTTCTGATTTGCTTATTTTTCTTCAGGAAAAATTGCCAGAAGTGAAACTATTATTTGATGCATAAACATTTTCCAACCAAATTACTTTCCTGAAAGTTGTCTATATTATTCTTTTGCCAGCAATATATGAAATCCATTCTAGAAGCAGTGATAATTTGAGCAGGATTTTAAATGTAAAATAGTAAACAGAAATCCTTAGTGTGGAAAATAATTAATTTAAAATTATTGATAAATATTAGGAATAGAAATTCTTTCAAAATATGTAGACTCAAATATATGTAAGAATCAGTTTAAGGAAAAGTATTCTCAAATCATTAAATATCTTTGGAAAAAGTTTTTATTTGGAAAAAAATTATAATTTAAATTATCTCCTTATATCATACCATATACTGGATTATATGGTCTTCAATTAACATTGTTGATAGGTTCTTGGAAACTGAGACTTTAAGTGAAGCAATGTATAACAAAATCAATTTTATCATAGGCTAATTAATATAAACAAGAATTAGGTTTCTACAACATATTTCTGGCTACAAAAACATCTAAATAAACTTCTAAATAAAGACCCAAAACACTTCTAATACTAAACATTGAAATAAATTGGAGCTATACATATGTTTAAGAAAGATTAATGAAAACAAGAATTATTTATCCAATTTTTAGTGAATCAATGAGTGATGGTCCTAGTGCTGGTGGGTTAAATCAGGAAATGTTTGCAAAACAAAAATTGTAAGGAGCACCTCTTACCACCACGCAGTTCAAAAATAAACAATAATAAACAAGGTGGGCTCGCAGAGCACTTTCATTCCACATTGTTTATTGTCATGCATTTGTGTGATTATTATAGACTTTATGAATTTTTATTTTATAATAATTTATATTCATTCATCCATTCATTTTTCAACCTGCTTATTTCCATTCAGGGTTGCAGGAGGCTGGAGACTATCCCAGCAGCACATGGCACAAAGCAAGAACCAGCCCCGGACAGGACGCCATTCCATCACAGGTGCACTCACACCCACCAGCACTCACTCAGACTGGGCCCATTTAGACACACCGATTCATCCAACATGCATATCTCTGGGGTGTGGAAGGAAACTGGATTACCTGGTGAAAACCCACACAGACATGGGGAGAACATGCCAGCTCTACACAAACAGTGGCCTGGTGGGGAATCAATTTTTTTTTTCTTATCAGTGTTATAAATGAAACAGTGTTGAAGTAAAGGACCTGCTCTACATTCCAGAAGAGTGAAAAAGCAAACGTAAAAAAGTATACTTACAGGGGAAGAGAAGCATAAAAGTCAAGGAAGAAAAGACAAATGGATCTAACTGCATACAGATTCAAACTTTTGTATTTCAAAAGTCCTGTAGACATAAATTCATCCTCTAAGGTACCATAGGAGGTTTCTGAATAGTAAGAGCTAACATGTATTGAATGCTCACCAGGCACTCTGCTATGTACTTAATTTGCTTATTTTATTTAATTCTCACAAGAATATTATGATTCTACCACAGTTTACTTTTCTCTCCTATCATTAGATGATAATTATTTATTCTAATAGAGGGACACTATAACTATGAACCTCTAGCTCAGAGGTGCCCGGGATTTTGCAGCAGTTAGTCGTGGAGCTGAGCTGAAATGGGTGGTCTCTGTCAAGCCCTCGTCGATTTACCCAGGATACTTACTCCTCATTCTCCCTTTGCAGTGCTTCCTCAGCCATAAGACTGGCCTGCTTGGCAGTCATCTGCCCATCCATTACTGTGGAATAGCGTATCTCACTCCTATCTCACTCATCCCGAGGCCAAAGGCTACAGTTTCATGAACACTGGTTCCCTCTGACTTTTCCTCTATTGTCTAAGCCAACCCAGGAAAAGGCACCATAGAAACAGAAAATATTATTAAAGCTCATATCACAAATCCAGGGATCATTTCCACTGAGCTGAGACAGAAAACTGATATGTTTATCAGAAAAGATAACACTTGTCTACAAAGAGTGCTTTCCAGGCCATAGGATAAACAGAGGGAGCCGCCAGCTTGACCTCTAGGCAGGGCGTCTGCACGAGGCTGGAGAGTCCGTGCTCTGTCCACCTCCAACAAAAACAGGCTGCTGACTTCATCCAGCTTCCAGTCCTTTCCCAGACAGGTCCCAGCTCTCGGCCACAGGCTTCCTCCTCTACACATTTTTATTATAAGAAGATATTCAAGAATAATTAACAAAGTAGAAATAAATGATTTCTCAGAAAAGATTTAAAAGGCTAAATATGTATAATGTAATTAAACAATGACTAACACTGGCCCCTTCAACAACTTGGCAATTCCCTTGGGCGAAGGCATTGTTTAGGCTGGCCTATGGGCCAAGGATCACGAGATGACTCACCCCAACATGGCCCTCATCTGTCAGACGCCTCTTCTCCATTTACTTGTGGAAACAGCATAGACCTAGACCTGAGTTCAAATCCTGACTCTGCCACTTATTTGGCATGTAGTCTTTAGCAAAATCCTTAGCCTAAGACTTAATCCTAACTCTCAGTTTCATTACCTGTGAAATGGCAATAATATTTCCTAACTCTTAGAAATGTTTTGATGATTAGTGATCATAAAGTATTCAAGAAATGTTATTAGCTTATTTTCAGAATTGAGCTTATTATTTCCTCATTCCTACTATTTTCTCCCAACTCCCCTTTCTGACTCTCTTTTTCTTAATAGAAAATTATCATAGTAATAAATTCACATGGATTAAGAAAAAAAGTAATACTAAAGGGGTAATGATAAAAAGCAAGAGTCACATCTCTCACCCTTTTCAAACTGAGCCTTACTCTACAAAAGTAACTATTTTTAACATTTTCTTCTGGTAGTTATCTCCATATTTCAGATAATATGCTTATATAAGTTTTTCATTTTTAAATAAAATTTGTACATGCTAAATAAAATTCCAAAAAAAAAGTGCAAAACGGACCATGTGTGCTTGCCATGAACACGTGCCTCTCAGGTATTTGAGTGATTGACCAAGGGCCCCAGTGCTATATTCTGAAATCCATCCCCACACACAGAGGCCATGATTCAAGGGTGTGAGGGATACTAAGGCAGGACCATTCTTGGGAGATGAGGGACTCCTTAGAAGAGCAACTTTGGCTTGAGCACTGTCCATCAGCTTTGCTGAAACCTCCTTAGACTGCACCACATCTAACATTTTTCCTACCCAACCTTCCTTCTTTCACAGACTTGCATCATGGTCTCCAGAGGAGACTCAGTCTCCTGGGCTCTTCCACCTCCCTCCCCATTTTCCCTCACAGATGTTCCCCAATAAATCTCTTGCACTTATCCTGCCTTGACATCAGCTCCTTGGAAGACCTGAACTAACACAGTGGTGCCAAGAGTGGTCTGAGAATAGGGGCAATAAAATGAGGTTCTGAGACTGACTCCCAAAAGACAAGTGAGCAAAGAGGACACTATCCTGAATGTTGTGTGTAGCACAGATGGTCTCCAACATGCAGTGGTGATCTAATCACTGGAAAATGTCTCCATGAAGGGAGATGTCATGGCAGATGCAATGAGTCAAGCATTTGAAAAACTTTGGGGGAAACAGTGTCTACAAAGACAGTGGGGTGTCCAGTTATAGCTAAAATGTACTGACTCCCTGCAGAGAGATTATAAGGAACAAGGGCCATTAATAAGCAGTTGAAGACTAAATGTGAGAGCCAGAAGGCCTCTTTGGTAGCTTACAAAGATGCAGCTAAGAATAGAATGAGGAAAAGACAAATCGATAGATAAAGTTGCAGAGCTCCAGAACATTTGAGCATTAAGGCAAGGTAGGACTGCTATGCTAAAATCAGGGCTCTGGTTGGAAAATACTGGGACCCTGAAACAAGGGATGGGATCATCAGGAAAGATGTCTCTGAAGACGTTGATTCTACAGCTACCTCCCCCTTAAACCTTCAGAGTTTGCAGAAGTGGCTCAGCGCTTCCTAGTGAGGGTAACATTACCCCTGTGCTGGAAGATACTGCAGATATCCTTTTCCCAGGGGACCTACTCTCTCCAGAACTTTCCCCAATCCTCCCTCCAGACTGATATGCCAATAACTAGGTTAAATCCCAGCATAGCCAGGCTAGGGAAGTGCTAGGCTTGGTAAAGGAGAATCAGGATTATATATGAAAGAAGCTGCAAGAATTAGCCAGCATGTCCCACGAGGAGCCAAGGGAATATTACTGATTGGATTTTTTTAAGGTGCTTGATTAAGGGAATTAGAATATAAAACTGGATTACCAAGATTTTATTGACTTTGGGACACTTTTTGGGACATAGGATTTAACATCTTGGCAAGGACTCCAGGAAATGAAGAAAACTTGTATGTGGAGTGACTCTTTGAGGCTGGAAGAAAGTGGTGGCCTGTGTGGAGTGGCGTACAAATGCCCACGCTCAGGAGGAAAGAAAGAGGCTAAAGAAAGTGGGCTTACAGGGATGGGTCCTCGGGAAGGCTCAGAGGACCCAGCATTCAGCAAGGCTATCACAATGTGCTGGAGAGTGGATACCAGCATCGCTGTGAAGGTCTCCTACAGACAGGGCTGATGGTAGCTGAGGCACACAGCTGGGCTTGTTAATGTCATTCCAAAGCTAATGGGGCCTGAAGTAATAGAGCCAGATGGTGGCAGTTATGCACTAGAAACCAGGGAGCTGTGGAGATGGTTCATAGACCATGGTGTCCCCGGGGCAAAGTAGATAGGCAGCCTACAAGGATACTGCTTAAGATCATCAAAAACAGTCAAGAATGGAGGAGCAGGAGGCTGAGGGCGGTCAAGCCAATAAAAAGTCATGATCTGCTCAGTTCCCGGACTTGAGCTGATTTTCAGATCTAGAACCCACTGAGTCACGAGATGCCATACCATAACAAATATATAGTGTGACCATTCCCCTCATTCTTCCCCAAAGGGATGTGTAGTCATTTACTCCAGTGACTGTACAATGCAGAAAGAGATGTACTCTGATATTTTGAGTGCTATTGGACACAGGGTCTGAGTAGAAATTGATACTTGGAGACATAAAGCATCACCATTAGAATGGGGACTACAGGAACCAAGTAATAAATGGAGTCTTGGCTAAAGTATGGCTCACAGTGGGCACACTGAGTCTGTGAATACACCCAGGAGTCATTTCCTCAATGCCTAAGCATATCATTGGAAATGATATGCTTGCAGTTGGAGTAGCCCCCTGATGGGGTCCTTGGCCTGTTGAGTAGAGTTATCATAGTGGGGAAGGCCAAACGGGAACTTCTGAACCTTCTTCTAACCACCTCCAATGCTGGGCCAATATAGGAAATTAAACATAATATATTCTAGGAAAGGAGAGGAGCAGAGACTATTTCCCCTCATTGAAGTCCTGAAGGAGACAGAAGTGATAGCCCCCATCATATCCACATTTATGTCACCATTCTGGCCTCTGCAGAAACTGAATTAATCCTAAAGAATGACTGTAGACTCCTGCAAGGACTAGTAGCCCCCACTGTAGCTGCTGTGACAGACATAAGATTTTTCCTAGAACAGATGAATACAGCTGCAAGTACATGGTATGTGGTCACTGATCTGGTGAATGTCTTCTTTTCAATCCCAATGAGAAAAGAAGATCAAAAATAGCTAGCGTTCATGTGAAACGACCAAGATATTCATGTAGTATGCTCAAGGCTATATTAACTTTCTTGCTTCTGTTGTAATATACAAGCATGTTTTGTTTCATTGCACTCCTTCTTACAGTACTTTACAGATATTGCATTTTTTACAAATTGAAGTTTTATGGCAACCCTGCATCAAACAAGTCTATTGGTGCCACTTTTTCCAACAGCCTGTGCTCACCCTGTGTCTCCGTGCCAAATTTTGTAATTCTTCCATATTTCAAGCTTTTTCATTATTACTATATCTGTTATAGTGATCTGTGATCAATGATCCTTCATGCTACTATTGTAATTGCTTTGGGGCACCTTGGGCTGCACCCATATAAGATGGCTAACTCAGTCAACATGGTATGTGTTCTGAATGCTCACTGACCAGCCATTCCTCCATGTCTTTGCCTCTCCTCAGGTCTCCCTATTCACTGAGACACAACAATATTGAAATCGGGCCAATTAATAACTCTACAATGGCCTCTAAGTATTCAGCTGAAAGGAAGAGTAACACATCTCTTACTTTAAATCAAAATCCAGAAGTGATTAAGCTTAGTGAGAAGGACAAATGGAAAGTCAAGACAGGCCAAAAGTTAGGCCTCTTGTGCCAAATAGTCAAATTGTAAATGCAAAGAAAGAGTTGGAGGAAATTAAAAGTGTTACTCCAGAGAACATATGAATGATAAGAAAGTGAAGCAGCCTTACTGCTGACATGAAGAAAGTTTTAGTGGTCTGGATAGAAGAACAAACCAGCCACAATGTTCCCTTAAAGCCAAAGCTTAATCCAAAAATCTTCCCAGGAACAAAAACTAAACATTTAAAATTGAGACTCAGAGTAGCATCAGATCTCTCAAAGGAAGATTTGAGTATAATGAACATTGGAGCGATCCTTTCACGTTATGAGAAAAATGATTTTCAACCTATTCTATACCCTGCCAAACTATCAATTAAGTATGAGGGCTGAATAAAGAGACTTTCAGATCCAAGCAAACAAAAAGTTTACTTTGTGTGCACTTTTTTGTAAGATGTCATTTGAGGAAATACAATGAGAGAGAACGTTTTTATCTTACAACACAGTGAGCTCTTGGTGAGCACCTTTTTCATCCACCATTCTAGGTACCCCGTACCTTTAAATATGAGGACTTGTGTCCTTCAGCTTTGTGAAATTCTTTTCTTATCTTTTCTCTCATCTTTTATATATTTTTATCTTTCAAAATATACTTTCTGGGAGACTTCCTCTATTTTACTTTTCATTTCAGAAGATAAATTTACTTTTGTATTTTTTTCAGGCAGTCATAGTTTTAAGTGTTTTAAAAATAGAATGCTCTTCTTGTTTTGCTTAAACCATAACAAATTACATTCTTAGAAGAGATGAGAAATTAACAGAACAAAACAAGGCTTGTAGTTTATTTCTATAGTTCTATTTTGCTTCTCTGAATTCCCTTCTACTTCTAATCTTTTTATGTTAGCTTATCTTCATGTTTCTGTTTCATATTATAGACTTAAGATCTTTGATTCCTCACTCATTTTGCAATATAAGGCAACAGGTAGCCTCATTGTAAGCTCTCATGCACTGGTGGAGCAGATCAACAGGGATTTTCCACTCCAGGGCTCAATGGATGGTAAACAGGCCATCATGTGCTGAGATCCCTAAATGCTGGAGGTGCCAACACTATAACAGTGGCTGGTTTTACCCAAATAGTTTGCTCTTGTAGGGAAGAAAAAATTCTTTTCCCTCTCCCTGCCTAGGTTCGATGGCAGAGGTCTTTGAATCAAACTAATAAAGGACAGATAAACATGAGGAAAAAAAATTTTTGCTTATATGTGCAGACATGAGAGTTCAGAAGGAAAGTGTGGCTGAAATTAGCCAGGTGTGGTGGCTCGTGCCTGTAGTCCCAACTACTAGGGAGGCTGAGGTATGAGAATCACTTGAACCCGGGAGGCAGAGGTTGCAGTGAGCCAAGATCACTCCACTCCACTCCAGCCTGGGCAACAGAGTGAGACTCTGTCTCAAAAAAAAGAAACAAGAAAATCTGACTCAAAGAGGCAGCCAGAAGATTGAGGCTTATACCATCATAGGCTAAGCAGAGGAAAAGGGGTATTGGGCTCTGGGCAGGGGAAGGCAACTTATGGAAAGATGAGGCGAGAAAATATATGGTAAGTATTGGTTGTCTTGTTATCCAGATAAGAGTCTGTCATGTGATAAATGTTGTCTCCAGGAATAACTCTCTTCCTGGTATAGAGATACCTTTACAAATAGAGATTTCTTCACCAAAGGAAAAAATTATATACTCTATTCTTAGGCTGTTATGGGGAGGTAAATTGTTTTGATTTGTTTTGTTTTTGTCTACTGTCATCAAGTGTCTTTAGTTCAAAATAACCCATATGCCAAAGAGGCACATTTTGAGGTGGCATATTGTGGTATCCTTTAGTCTATATCTTTAGAGAAGATTTCCTTTCTTTCCATTATTAGGTATATAACTTGACTGCCTGGCATTTTGCACATGGTCAGTGGGGATATATGGATGGTGACTGCTGTATCTATACATATTTCCGTATTCTCCCTATATCTAGGCCCTGGTCTCTCCCCTGAGGTCTTGAGCTTCACCAGGAAGGACTTGGAAGGGCAGACCAACTTCCTTCTTGGCTGTAGCCACCTCTCTGTGTATTCTCAGCTCTTTTCCACTCTGCTACATCAGTCACTACTTCTTTGTCCACTTTTAGTCTTCCCTAAATATGTTGACTCTCTTGTGCACTGATGGCCCCCCCTTTTCCATCTTGGTTAAAAAGCATTGATAACTTTTTATTATTTATTTAGAATCACTAATAAATTTTTAGGAGGGAAGGCATAGATGTGTGTGCTCAATCAATCATTTTAAACTAGAGGTTTAATCTTAACATCATTACTCTCTAAAGCCTCAAACGTTATTTTACCACTACCTACAGCACATATCAGTTAGAGCTTAATCTCTCTCACATTCACCTATTCTTTTCCTTCCCACTTCCACTAACTGATTCTGACTCCCACCACATCTCACTGAGGTTATTACAAATAACTTCCTAACAAGTCAACTCTAGCTTGATATTTCTACCATCCTCCATAAAACATAAATGAAATGATGTCACTTTCCTACTCAAAAACCTGAATGCTTTCCAATGACTGCAAAATAAAAGTTAAAATTTGCCTGGCATTCGAAGTTCTCAATAATCTGTCCCTCAAAAGTCCTGTCTCTGTGTCATTTATCAGCTGCTTCTTCCTCCTAGAATGGCCCTGCCTCCCTTTTCCACGGCCTTAAAGCCATATTCTTTTTGAGTTGTAATGTTTTAATATGAGAGATATCTGCAAATTACATTATAATATATATATGTTCTCATCACCAAACAAGACATTTGTAAATATATTTGTTGGTAAATTATGCTTTTCTTTTGAAAAATTTTTAAAATTTTATGTTTTTGAATATTTATTTTTATTTCAATAGTTTTGGGAGAACAAGTGGTGTTTGGTTGCATGGAAAAATTCTTTAGTGGTGATTTCTGAGATTTTTGTGCACCCATCGCCTGAGCAGTGTATGTGTAGTCTTTTAACCCTCTCTCCCCTCCCACTTTTTCCCATGAGTCCCCAGAGACCATTATATCATTCTTTTACCTTTGTGCCTTCATAGCTTAGCTCCCGCTTATAAGTGAGAATATACAATGTTTGGTTTTTCATTCCGGAGTTACTTCACTTAGAATAGTGGTCTCCAATTCCATCCAGGTTGCTGTGAATACCATTATTTTGTTCCTTTTTATGACCGAGTAGTATTCTGTGATATATGTATATGCCACATTTTCTTTATCCACTCTTTGGTTGATGGGCATTTAGGCTGGTTCCATATTTTTGCAATTGCAAATTGTGCTACTATAAATATGTGTGTCCCAGTGTCTATTTCATATAATGGCTTATTTTCCTCCGGGTAGATATCCAGTAGTGGGATTGCTGGATCAAACAGTAGTTCTACTTTTAGTTCTTCAGGGAATCTCCATACTGTTTTTCATAGTGGTTGTACTAGTTTACATTCCCACCAGCAGTGTAAACATGTTCCCTTTTCTCCACATCCACACCAACATCTATTTTTTTATTTTTTAATTATAGTAAAGTCTTATTCTTTATTTAATTTATTCACAACATAGCTAAAGAGCTACTTCCTCCTGGAAGACTTATTTGATTTTTTGCATCCCCTTCTCATTCCTCTCCCAGTGTCCTTGAAATTCAGGCTCTCCCAAAACACCGGCTGAGCCTCTCTCAGAGCATCTGTTATAGAAAGTCATATGAGCTTCCTGAGGGTAGAGGCCTGCCGACTCACCATGTGTCTCCACAACTAAGCAGACTGGCTGGTACAAAATAGGAATTCAGGAATTATTTGTTCAAGAAAAATAACTGAATTTGCTTTTCTGTCTTTTTAAGAAGTAACCCCCTTCTAAGTTTGCCATGTGGACCTCTGCTCACTGCATTTAGTGCTTGGCACATGACAGCATTAGAAAATTATTTGGTGAATGAATGAATGTTATTGCTACCTTGATTTTTTCCAGGGAAACTTTAAAGCCCTGCATATTATCACCTTAGAATCAACCAGCTGAATCTGATAAACTGCTTTATGCTAAAGTACTAATGGGAAAGGGCTGAAATTCAGGCTCTCAGGAAGTGGTGAGCATTTGAACTAAGGCTGTTTAGAAACCTAACTTTTATTATCCCTGAAGACCCCAATGGACTAATGGGCCAGCCATTAGTCTGACTGGGGCCCCTGCCTACCTGGATAGTGGAGCGGGAGAAACCAAAAGTCATGAAGAGAAAGGGAAAGAAACAGAGACAGACAACATCAGTGGGGGCTATGTTTAAATGACAAGACTGCAGCCCCATGACACAAGGACAATGATCGCTGTCCAAACAGAAGTAGTGACTACACTTGGAGACTTTCAGGATGGCAAATGGGCCTACGGAATAGAGCAAGTCTAAAGGGAACAAACAGTAAAGTAAACATGAATTAATATTGGGAATCATCCTGATCTTCATACCTCCTCTCCAAAGGGGTAGCAATTATTATTTGTTTGGTTAATAGGTCAACTTGGGTACAAATTTGTGGTGTTTAGTAGATCAAATTCACTAGGTAACAAGCAAAATATTATTTCTTGTCCTATATACCCACAGACTCCATGGGTATGTAGGACAAGAAATCTTTTTTAATTGAATGTACTTGGAGGGAAACTGAACCCAAATGCACATGTATTATTGCCATGTTTATGCACACACGTGTCACATATCTGCACACATCCTTGGACATTGAGCCATTCACAGCACTAAAGGGATTTTTTTTTTCCTTTTTGCTCATCTTTCTCTTTGCAAGGCAGAAGTAGGTTACTCAGTCTTCTCTCCTAAGATGGCTTACAGCATTCCTTCAACGATTTAGGACATAAATCAAAGTTTGAGGCCACTCACAGTTTTAACCCAGGGTCTTTCAGGTAAACAGCTAGAGAATTTTGGCTATGAGGAAAATTTTCTTGCATGGGGTGCTGGGAGGCAAGGAGATTTTCTAGTTTCACTACTTTTCTCCGTTGGCTTTTCTAGGCATGATCCTGTTGTGGGGCCCGGGGGCCTGAAGCCAGGAGAGAGTTAGCAAATGTTTCCCGTCAGTGTTTCTGAGGATTCCTGACAGAGCCCATCAGAGTTGCCTTTTATCACCACTGCACGCTTTAGTGCGTCTGTCGTGGCTCGCAGACATTGTGTTCCCTGCTGGATTAATCCTGCCTGTATTCTTACGCAGGATGTGGGCCACAGGGAGGAAGGTGGGTGGGGAGGAGAAAAGGAGGGGAGAGAGACAGAGGGGGTAGGGACAGTCAGAAAATAAGGTGAGAAGAGAAAAAGAAACTTTGGAAGTATCAAGTGGCAGACCTAGGCAGAAAAAAAAATAACTAATTTGAAAAATTGGAGCAAAATAAATTTGCACAAATTAAAGATAAAAAAAATCTAAAATGGAAAGCAAAAAAGGGACCCAAAAAAGGGTAAATCCAAAGTCCCAGAATGTGAGAGGCATTCAACACCAGCACAGACAGACTCAAGCTCCAGGCTGGCACTGCCAGAGGAAGTTCATTCTATTTTTAGAAGTTTATAAAGCAAACTGACCACTCATTGGCCACATTATTGAAGCCCTTTTATGTGCAGACCCCATGCTATGACGCATTGGAGAAGTTCTCATGTGCTCAGTTCTGCCATAAGCTATTCTAAGGCCTAAAGAAGGATATTTAATACATCAGAATCTTGATTTTGCTATCAGTAAATCTGGTACCCAATTCAAATCTACTAGAAAAGCACTTTGGCATTCTCTTGATGAAAGATATTTTGGCAAGAAAAAGGACGACTAGCTTAGCATACAATGAATTCTAGTTAGGAAGGTGCATTTGCATCTCAGTGGCAAAAAGAGCTTCCCTGTCTAGATTGGCTGATACATCAGCTCTTCCAGTGCTGTGGTTCTGAAAGTCTAGCTTCTCATTAGAGAGAGTAGAGGCACAGATTCATAAGGTCTCTGTCACTCTGAGTGAGCATCTTGGGGACAAAGACAAAATCTAGTTCATGTCTATGTCCTCTCTGCATACCTGATACTTAGTAGGTGCTCAGTTAATTTTGTATTGAGAAGAATCAGGAACAGTACCAGCGAAGCCATAAATAAGAGCTGGGCCTTGAAGCCTTAATGGACTGCCTGCATTTGGTATACAGAAGTTATTCGATAAAGGAAGCTTAGCGAGTTTGTGGAGAGGAAAAGAAAAGGAAGGCAGAAGTACAGAGGAATAAAATGCATGCTGAATTTAAGGAACAGATAAGTGGTTAAGTGTGGCCAGGTCATTGTCTCCCAAGATTTGCTGGAGGAACTAGTTTTGACAAGCAGATTCCTGAGGTCTCTACACCCAGAATTTCTGATTCGTTAGCCCTGAAGTTCAGCAATGGCATCTACATTTTAAACAAGCACTACCAGTTTATTTTGTTGCAAACTATACATTAGGAAACACAAGCACAGAGATTGGAGGGCAGAGAAAGGGGGGTGAGTGGTATGAGTGTGTGGAAAAATGAGCCCAGGGTTGGTTGAGAAGAGTTTGGAGTCTGTCCAGGAAGGGAGCCCTCCAGGGTTTCTAAGCAGAGTAGAGACAGAGCCAGATCTGTGATGGAAATCAACCATTCTTTACTAAAGCTCAGGTCATTTTCTCCTTGCTTCTGCTCCATTAGATATCATTGCTTCAAGCGCCCTGAACAAATAACATTTCATGAAAGCCTCCAGGTTTTGTAGGATCCAGGGTTCCAGTTACCAGTGGAATGTGAAGTTCACAGGCCGCGTTCAGGCTTGCAGGGAGAGGATTAATTAGTTAAAAAGGCAGTTGCACACATAAGTGGGTGTCCACACCCCAGTCTGGCCTGGTGTTTTGGTGCACTCATTCAGCCATACAATACTCTCTTCAGTTCTAAGCGCCACCTCTTGAAACAAGTTAAAAAGCAAGTTCCAAGTGAGATGCCCAAGTGCTATGTTTTACACAGACTAATGATCAACAGCTTTCTGTTTTTATGGGCCTGGCAACCAGACTGGGCTCACACTGCTAAGGACATTATAGAAAAGAATTTCTGCTTCAAGCATCTGACTATGCAGCAAAGTGCTGGAAAAGATGTTTCAGATTTTTTAAAAAGTGGGTTTTTTTTCACTAAAATTATTTGTTTCTAAAAATTTATGCATTGTGGGGTTCTTTTTACATTTAAAAATGCCATATGTTTCATTGTATTGGGGCAGTGAAATTAAAATTCATACTTATAATGTGTTTTAGTCTTTAATAAACACTTTCTCATGTAATAACACCTTTGATTCTCAAAATAATCTTGTGAGCTGGTTGTTATCATTATCCTCATTTTACAGATGAGAAAACAAACTGTAAGCTTCATAACATGTTTAAAGCCACACAGTGAGAAATTATGGGGCAAAAGCCAGTCTCAGGTCTTCTGATCCCAAGATCCGTAATTGCTAAAGGAACTCTGGAAGTGAATGGGAATGAGGATATGTCAGATATCACCCTCACATCTTCACAGTATGCTATAGCTGGGCTCCACTGCTAGTGCCATCAACATTTTGTTCATTTCAAATATCCATGACAGCGAATGAGGTGGGTGGAGTAACTGGCATCATGTATGCACTGATGGTTGACTGTACAGTTAATGATGGTGAGACTGTCACTTGTTGGGGATGCTTGTCCAAATGCTTTGTAATTAAAGTATCTCTCAAAACCCTGAAAACAAGATTGCCTATAAGTAAAATATAGTTAGCTCTAACAGACAATAAGAGATATTCCAAGTCACCTTAGAGGTAGAATGTCTCTCAACCTTGTAAGATGTGCATATCTTAATATGTCTAAGAAAATGTGGTAGAATTCACGTGAGCTCTGCATAGGGAAGAACATCCCGACAACTTGATCCTTGCAGATCCAGTGACATAGACACCTTCGCCATAATAATAGATGCCATTCAATAGTCAGACCAAAAATACTAACCCTTCTGGGTTATTTCCAAGCTTATAGAGGCAACTCTGGAACTGGACCTCTCTATTTAGGATGTCTGTGAGGCCTCTGACATACAGGCCACCAGACTGTCCAGGCGACTCCCAAGCTGGCCAAGCACTCACTTCTTTTGAAACATCCTGAGCAAATCCTGCGTGTGATGTTCATAGCTCTGGGTTGGGCCTTAACATGTGTGCAGGTCAGCACTAGCCCATGGCTGCTTGAATGGTCCTCCAGTTTTTAAATGAGTGAATTCAAATGAGCAATGGTGACTTTTCTGCTTGGGTTTTCTGTACTTTTTTTTTTTTTTTTTTTTTTTTTTTTTTACATTTTCCACCTCTCTGTTATGTTGAGCTTTTCTGACCTCTGTTCTTATAGTGCATTTTATCCTCTCTCAGAAAATGTCATACATGCCTTTGCCCTTCTTCTTTCTTCCCCTTTTTAACAGCATGGTCCCCATTTATTTTTTTGACTTTGTATTCTAAGTAATTTTAGACAGAAAAGATGCAAATATAGTACAGTGAGTTCCCATATGCCCTTCACCCAGTTTCCCTATTGTTATTATCTTTAACAACCAAATCCAATAATCAAAACTAAGAAATTGTTATCATTACAATACTATTAACTAAACTATGGACTTTCTTTGGATTTTACCAGCTTTTTTATTAACATACTTCTTCTGTTCTAGGATTCAATCCAGGATCCCAGTCATCATATCTCCCTGGTCTTCTCAATCTATGAGAAGTTTCTTTTCTTGACCTTGACACTTCTGAAGAGTATTGGTCAGTTATTTTGCAGAATGTCACTCAATTCTAGTATAGCTATGTTTTCCACTTTGAGGCAAGAATACCACAGAAATGATAAGCCCTTCTCAGTGCATCTTACTAACAGCACCTAAAGTCAATATGTCTTTGGTTTTTTGTTGTTGTTGTTATTGTTATTGTTTCTTTTTTTGTTTTCAGAGACAGGATCTCACTCTGTTGCCCAGTCTGGAGTGCAACAACATGATCGTGGCTCCCTGTAACCTTGAACTCCTGAGCTCAAGCAGTCCTCCTGCTTCAGCTTCCCAAATAGCTGGGACTACAGGTGCATGCCACCAAGCCTGGCTAATATGTCTTATTACTAGTGATGTTAACATTGGTCATGCGGTTAAGGTGGTATCTTTTGGGTTTCTTTGTCATAAAGATAATTCTTTTTTCAGCTTTGTGATTAATAAATATCTTGGGGGTGATCTTTTGAGACTACTAATTTTAGCATTAATCAATGGATCTTGAAAAATTACTGCTGTAGTATTCTAATAAATATTTTCTACTTCCCTAACTCCTTCTACATTTATTATTTGAAAGTCTCCTTTAAGGAAGAGTTGCCATTCTATTTTATTTATTTATCCAATTATTTATTTACATCAGTATGGATTCCTGAATATTTATTGTGTTCTATGGGTTATAATCCAATACAGTTGCTACTTATTTTACTGTTGTTCTTTGGCTACAGCTGGGCTCCTTTACCCTTTCAATAGCTGCCCCCATCATTTTTTGAGTACTTCCTTACTTTTTCGGCATCACGAAATACTCCTGGCTCATTTTTCCTGCCCCAGCCCTGGAATCAAACACTTTTCCAAGTATCCTTATTTCTTTTTTCACTGGAGAATAGTATGTAGAAACCAAGATTTGAGTGCTGGGTGTGCTCACTGCTACTGGGGTGTCATTGTTTTTAACTCCTCTCCATAGACAGAACTAGGAAATATATGTATGAATACTAGGATTGTACTAGGTACATACATAAGTCTGTATTTTTTGTATATATATTTTTAAAACCATGAATTCATACCGATATCTCTGACTCCAATATGACACCAGAATTCATTCTAGCCTTTTCCCTTTCCCTATTTGTAACTTTTTTCTCGGATAGTGAGAAATTTGGCTTTCATTATTGATGATGTATTTAATTATTAGTTCAACTGTAGTATACACACAAAGTAGTTTCAGAATTGCTAATCAATACTCCTGTGAGACATAAGTTTACTAACTAGAGTATAGTAGTTGTTTAGCCTCACAGTATCCAGTCAAAATACTGTTTTCCGAAGTAACTTAGTTTTTTTTCTTCTCCGCTCCCTAAATTACAGTTATGTTAATAATTTGTAATACAGTTGGATTTAATTGTTACAGTTTGAATTCCATTTTGAGTCCCCTCCCCCTATTCTGATTGTTATTAAAAATTTACATACAGTAAAATTTTCTCTTGGAGGAGTATAGTTCTATGGGTTTTGACAAATGTATGTTATACAATTTTAAGTTGTTTTTCTATGTCCATAAAACTGGAACTTTTTCTTGTAGATCTTTAGCCACTTCCACTTATTTTTCAAAGTGCCTGTGGTAATCTTTTGAACTGGTTATTTGTGAGGAAGCAAAGTTCTGCGTCTCTGCGTTTCACATGAACAGGAGGAGCTGAGCTATGTCTGTATAAAGCCACCACTCAAATTTGGTCAAATCATTACTTTCTATCACCTAAGCAACTGTGTCTGCATAATCAATTACATTGGCTGTGCCGCCAATCTATATCGACTCTTAAGACATCAACTAACTGGTGAGGGAGGATGTGTGAAATCTCAAGGGCTAGGAAAAAAAGAAGTGTTACAGGTGGCAGCTGGTCGGTTCTTCCTCCCTTTCTCTCTCTTTTCTGCAGCAAACATCTACCTATTGCCTACCATATTCCAGAAGTTTTTCAAGGCATTAGAATTACAATGATTATTAAGACCCAGGCCCTCCCCATGGGTTTCACAGCAGGTCAGGAAAATTGAAGATACACCACATGGAAACAGCATCCCCCCAACTGAGAAACGTGATAGCCTGAAATAATTATAGATCAGTGCAGAGAGTGCTTTGATAAGGGTAAACACCAAGTGATAGGGGTCCTCGGGTAATAGTCATCCCTCATGCTGGGAAGGTCCAGTGGGCAAAGAAGTCAGAGGAACTAACTAGCTAAGTAAGAGCCCCACATACACAAAGGCCTACAGACTAAATATCCTGGAACATTCCTAAGAAGTTCTGTACAGTGAGGAAAGGAATGGAGTCAGGTAGGGAAATGGTTGGAGACCACACTGGGGCAGTACTTACCAGAGATCAGTATGAAAGGGTTAGTGTACTTTGCTAAGGAGTTTGATTTCATTCTAAAAGTGGTCAATGATATCAATGAATAATTTTAGGGGTAAGTATATGACATGATCAAAGTTGCCATTTCTAAAGATGTCTCCATTAGGAATGTGCAAATGGACCAGTGAGGGAGGCAGAGGGGAGGCAGGGAGATTAATCAAGAGGCTTTTGTAATATTCCATGTAAGAAATGATGAAGGTCTGGACTAGGACAATTGCAGAAGAGACTGAGCTCAGGTAATGGATTCTGGAGAGATCTAGGATGTGGCACTATAGGAGGTAGTGATGACAATTACCTGTGAAGAATGAAGAGAAAGAAGGTGTCAAGAATGATTCCCAAGTTTCTCTCTCAGACAGCTAGATAATCCTGTTGTTACTCAGGCTGTTTAAGACTATTTTGTTTTTAAACATCAGACATGGTGAGATAAGCACATTGTTTTTCTTCTAAATAAGTAGGGCTTTGCTAATATTACACAAATTCATTGAGGAGGGGTCAAATATAAGAAAGTTTCACTGTTCATTCCCATCATTCCTAGGCCACACTGGAGAAGAAAGGAGAGGATCCCAGTCCCAAGGAGTGTAGAGGATTACAATTTCAGATAGCTTTGAGTTTGGTGTGTCCAGCAGGGTCATGAGTTGTGCAGCCAATGCAGTTGCACAGAGCCTTGCACTCAGAAGGGTCCTGCACTCAATTTTAATTTCTGGGGATACCATTGTGAAATTTTTAATGAACTTATCTTTGAATTTATATTTTGAAAGTGAAATTCTATGAGATAATAGAGCATTCACTGGGGGTTTGGAGCCTCAGCTCATGTGTGGTCCTGCCTGCCCCTGCCTGCCCCTGCCTCTCTCCTCCCTGGGACAGGTTCTCAACCTCTCACTCCCTTGCCCCCTGGTGCCCTAGCCTCCTCTGATCTCTCCCTTCCCACCCCCACTCCATGACCTCAGTCACCCTCTGCCACTTGGCAGGGTCCTGGGTGTAACCATGAGGAGGTTCAGGATAAGGCATGTACCCCATTCTCCTCAAAAAAAGGGCAAGGCAGTGGTTGCTCCCACCCTAAGCTGTCAGCTCTCAGGCATGTTCAGCCAGTGACTTGGCAGGGACCTCTAGTCCACCCCTTAGCATGTCTCAGTCTGGAGGTTACAATCCCTTGGGGGTCACCTCTCCTCTGTGGGTTATGAGAAATGGAGATTGACTTCTCTACTCCTTCTGGGACCCTGCATTTTTATTTTACACCCTGTGAATCATGTAAGCAACTCTTGGTGTTGGCTGATGACAAAAAAAAGGGTGGATGGAATTATTCTAACTCATATGTATCTTTCAGGAAATGAGATCCTTTCTTGTCCCATCAAAAGAGGAATAAGACATTCTACAGTGAGGTCAAAGAGGGTGTAAAGCAGAGACCAGGTCAGGGATGAATTCTATTGCTATAAGCTTTCTGGGAGAGACTCAAGTCCTTCTTTTATGGGGTCAAGTGAGCATGATCCAGATTCTTATCGACTGTGGCCATTCTGGGGATGGTCTGCACCTATACAATAAGTTACAAATCATTTTTTTATTGCAGTAAAAAATGTATCATTAAATTTGTCAACTTAACCATTTTTAAGTGTATGGTTCAGTGTGTTAAATATATTCACATTATTATGCAATAGATCTCTAGAACATTTTTATCTTGCAACACTGAAACCCTAATCCCCCTAAAAACTACTTCTCCCTATACCCTATCCCCAGTCCTTGATAACCACCTTTCTACTTTCTGTCTCTTTGATTCTGACTACTTTAGATGCTTCATATGAGTGGGACCATATAGTATTTGTCCTTTTGTGACTGGTTCATTTTGTCAGCATAATGTCCTTCCGATTAACCCATGTTGTAGCATGTGAAAGGATTTCCTTCTTTTTTAAGGCTGCATAATATTCCATTTTTGCATGGTTATATCACATCTTCTTTATCCACTCATCTGTCTATGGACATCTGGGTTGCTTCTACCTCTTGGTTATTGTGAATAGTGCTGCAGTTAGTGCTACAGTGAACATGGGAGTACAGCTATCTAGTCAAGATCCTGATTTTAATTCTTTTTCAAGATCCTGATTTCAATTCTTTTGGATATATACCCAGAAATGGGATTGCTGGATCATACAGTAGTTCTATTTTTAATATTTTGAGGAACCTCCATACTGTTTTCCTTAATGGCTGCACCACTTTGAATTCCCATCAACAGTGTGCAAGGGTTCCAATTTCTCTACATCCTCATCAACACTTAATTTGGGTTCTTTTTTTTTTTTTTTTGAGAGTTGCCAACTTGTAATATTGCATTGTGGCTTTGATTTGCATTTCCCTAATTATTAGTGATGTTGATCATCTTTTCATATGCTTATTGACTGTTTACATATCTTCTTTGGGTAAATGCCTACTCAAATCTTTTGTCCACTTTTAAATCAGGTTATTTGGTTTTTTGTTGTTGAGTTAAAGTTTCTTAGATATTCTGGATATTAATCCCTTATCAGATATATGACTTGCAATTATTTTCTACCAATCTGTAGGCTGCTTTTCATTCTGTCAATTGTTTCCTTTGTTGTGCAGAAGTTTTTAAATTTGATGTAGTCCCCTTTACCTATTTTTAAATTTTATTCCCTATCTTCTCAATGTCATAATCAAGAAATTGTTGCTAAATCTAATGTCCTGTAGCTTTTCTTCTATGTTTTCTTCTAGGAGCTTAATAGTTTTAGGTCTTAGTTTCAGGTCTTTAATAACTTTGAGTTAATTTTTTGTAATGGTGTAAGGTAAGTGTCCAACTTCATTCTTTTACATGTGGACATCCAATTTTCCCATCACCATTTGATGAAGAGACTGTCCTTTCCCCATAGTGTAGTCTTGGCACCCTTGTTGAAAATCATTCAGCCACATATAAGATGGTTTGTTTTTAGGCTATCTATTCTACTGCATTGGTCTATATATGTATCTTTATGATAATACAGCATCGCCTTAACTGCTATTGCTTTGTAATGTGTTTTGAAGGCCGGGAATGTGAGCCTTCTGACTTTGTTCTTTTTCAAGATTCTTTTGGCTAGTCAGGGTTTCTCGAGATTCCATATGACTTTTAAGATGGTTCTATTTCTGTAAAAAAAAAAATGCCATTGGGATTTTGAAAGAGGTTGTATTGAATCCATAGACTGCTTTAGGTCCACAAATTAGTTTGAAAACATAAAACCACTCACAAATAGGTGTGCATGTAAAACTGGCAAAATATGAATATGGCTGATGAGTTTATCAATGTCATTTGTTTAAGATATTGTACTATAGTTAGGTTAGCTATTGTGCTATTGTCGGGGGAACTGGATGAAAGGCATAGAGACTCTCTCTGTATTGTTTCTTACAACTCGTGACTCTATAATTATCTCAAATAAAAACTAAAAAACAAAGTCAGTCATACGCTATCATTTCAAACATACCATTAGCATCTAAATGCAAAATACTGTGTACAGACAGCTTTATAGCTAAGACAAACCAGGCTTCACCTGCTTTAGGCAAGGGCCCGGTATTTAGTTGTAAACCTGTGGTTCCACCCCAGGCCCCGTATTAGTTATTGGTATTCCTTCAACATTACAGACCATGTAGATCCATTAGGCTTTAATATATATCCGTGCTACAATAGGGATACTTGATTTTGTTAATTCTTCATCCACTTGATATATTTATATATTGGGCATCCACCATGTGCCAGGCATCATGCCAAACCTGAGAATACAAAGATGAAACAGATTGCCTTTGTAGTTGAGGATATTCCAGCAAGAAGACAGACAGATCCACAATTATAATTACAATGCTCATGGTAGATGCCAGGCAAAGGCAAAAAAGGGTTTCATTAGAGGGCAATCCGAGTTAGGAAGGGAAGGTTTGAGTAAGTCTTCCTAGAAGAGATGATGTTAGAGAAAATTCTTAAAGGGTAAGTAGGAGTTTAATGAGTGGAAAAGAGGAGAAAGGAAATAAGTCAGAAGGAAATAAAGTGGGCAGGCTGGAAAGCATGATAAATTGTGGTGCTTTGAGGAAGGGCAAGGAGATACTGGAGCACAAGATACAGTTTAGTGGGGCCCTGAGGAGCCAGCCTGGGGAGTTGAGCTGGACCAGACCATGGAGCAGGGAGCACTTGTGCCTTATATCAAAGGAAGTGGGGAGCCATCAAAGAAAGGCAAGGACATGAATGATCCCATCTTCATCTCTCCTGAATAAACAAGGACAAGGCCTATAGATATTGCTTTTTAAATAATTAGGAATCAGTGAACTGTGAGATTAACTTTCTTAGTCGTTCCTTATCTCAGGCACAGTTTCACATGCAAGGTATTGGGACCACCAAGCCTCTAACAATTCCATTTTCTAGTTGATGAATTCAACAAATAAAAGGCAAAGAATATACAGCTGTTTTCTGATTCTCAATGAGAGAGGTGGCAGGGAGGCTTCTACAACACCACCAGCCCCAGAATCTATATTCTTGTCAATTCCTCTCCCTTCCTCATGGCTCTGCCTGCAGGTCCACAGAGAGCTTCCAACCACTGTCCAGGGAGGCCGGTCAACCTTCCCTCCATGACCAGAACTGCAGAGCAGCTTGGGCCTCCCTGTTAAATTCTGCTTGTGAGTGGAGGACTTGAAGAAGTGGGGTAAGGTGGAGTAGGGTCAGGCATAGTTAGGTTTCCTGATGCTGTGGCCAAAAGTCTCAGAGAATCGCAGGTATCTTATGAAGGAGAAAGAAAATAACACATGTAGAACAAAACAAGATGGCATAATACCTGCCTCAAAGCTTGCAGTGGCAGCTTTGGCATTAGATTCTGCCCAGCTCAGTCCCCAGAATATGGATTCCCCTCCATGGAAGCATCTCATTGCTAAAAACCCTTACAAGATGTGTGAGAAACTTCTTCCCCCTTAAATGGCTGACTGAACAAATTTAACGGAGGCTGTTATCCACTGAGTTTAGTATCAAAGCTCTGAGATCCAGTTCTCTTTGAGTTTTTGCTTTCATCTGGAATCTTGCGCCCCTGCCCTCTTTGCTGCCGTCACTGCACAATGTCAAACAGCTGGAGTCTGGGCAGCACCAGAATCCAACTGTCTCAGCCTAACAAGTGAAGGGATGGGGGAAGAACAGATGGCGGGAGATGAGGAAGGTGGGGGTGTCATGGAGGACGAAAGGGGGCTGTGCTTGCTTTAGAGAATCTGATATCTTGGAAAAGTGGTCTCACGTGGAATTCAGTGTCAATAGATTCTATTTGTCTAGGGCTTTGCAAAATCAAGCACACAGAAGTGGCCTTGGACTATTCTATTTTTCATTTCTCTAACCCAGCTTCACCTCTCACTCAAACTTTTACTAATTTTCCCTCCATTTATTGAGTGCCTACCAAGGGTTTATATATACATATATACACATATATATATGTGTATGTGTATATATATGTGTATACATATATATGTGTATATATAGAGAGAGAAATAGTACATATATATTATTTCCAATATTCACAGAAACTAGGGTTTAGGGATGTAATTAATTTGTCTAAGCTCATGCAGCTTATTTAAGACTGGATTCAAACCCAGGTTTGTCTTGATGCCACAATATTCTTTTTTTAAAAATCTCATCCTCGGCCAAGCACAATGGCTCACGCCTGTAGTCCTAGCACTTTCGGAGGACGAGGCAGGTGGACCAGTTGAGCCCAGGAGTTCGAGACCAGCCAGGCCAACTTGGAGAAACACTGTCTCTACTAAAAATACAAAAAATTAGCCGGCCTGGTAGCAGGCACCTGTAGTCCCAGCTACTCCAGAGGCTGAGGCAGGAGAATGGCGTGAACCGGGAGGCGGAGCTTGCAGTGAGCCGAGATCACACAACTGCACTCCAGCCTGGGTGACAGAGCAAGACACTGTCAAAAAAAAAAAAAAAATCAACTGGGCATGGTGGTGTGCGCCTGTAATCCCAGCTACTCAGGTGGCTGAGGCAGAGGTTGCAGTGAGCCAAGATCACACCACTGCACTCCAGCCTGGAAGACAGAGTGAGACCCTGTCTCTAAATAAATAAATAAAATATCATTCTCCCCCTGGGGTACACTTGTCCATAGGGAGCCTTGTGGGGATCTGGTGATTAATTCCTAAAAGTCAACGGAACATATAGCCAGTAGGAATGCCTGAGTTGACAGCCTGGGGCTAGAGAAGTCAGTCCCAGCCAGTTCAACTTGTATAAGGAATAGATGGCATCATACCAGGCTCACCTGTAGTTCTGCCTGAACCATGCAATTTAGGGTTTAATTATACGCTGTCTTGCATTGTTTCTACTAATTGTTGCATAGGTCAATCTTATACTTTCATTCATCATTCTTCCTTCAGTCAACAAATATTTTAGAGCAACTGGGCATATTTCTTCTCCAGCAGCCCTTGCAATACCCAGCATAGAACGGTAAGCCAACTCAGATAACTAGTTAATGGTCCAGTCAAGAGCAAATGAGGGCTAATTTTCCTAATTATAAATTAATGGATTATGTTATGCATCTTGAAATTGTACTGAGATATTGCCTTAATAAATAGACACTTTATACACTCAACAGCTTGAATTTTAAAGCAGAAAGTTGGGTTCATGAATATCTCATTTCCAGTATCATTTATCAAGATAAAATGTCTTTATCCAAATATAAGCTTTTGAGAATAGTTATGTGTACAAAAGCCAATTTACTAATATTGTTAAAACTGTGAATTTTGGTATCTCGTTTATTTGTTTTTTTTTTGTTTTTGAGATGGAGTCTCGCTCTATTGCCCAGGCTGGAGTGCAGTGGCACGATCTCAACCCACTGCAACCTCCCGCCTCCCGGGTTCAAGCGACTCTTCTGCCTCAGCCTCCTGAGTAGCAGGGATTATAGGCATGCGCCACCACGCCTGGCTAATTTTTGCATTTTTAGTAGAGATGGGGTTTCACCATGTTGGTCAGGCTGGTCTCAAAACTCCTGACCTCGTGATCCGCCCCCCTCAGCCTCCCAAAGTGCTGGGGTTACAGGCGTGAGTCACCGCACCTGGCCGGTATGTCATTTTTAATCTTAACCCATACATCAGAACTCCATTCTCTTCCTGTATATAATATCCTTAGACTCTTACATTAGTTACAATTAGTAAGTTACCTTAGTTCTTGGAATGCACTTGAATGTCTCTTTCGAAAAAAGAAAAACACTCCTTGGAAAGCCCATAAAATACTTCTTAATGGCTAGACAAAATTTGGGCATTTTCTAAACAGTTTTTTTTTACTGCAAGAAGTAGCCTGCAATTCATGAAATAGTTGTGAAGTAGTGTGTTTCACTGGAAAAATCTTGGGTTTGGAATTCTTACCACCATTTAGTTGTTGGGGATCTCAGGCATGTTATTTAATTTTCCTTATCTATAAAATGGAGATAATTGCACCTATATAGCACAAGGTCATTATGGGGATTCAAGATGGAAGGTACACACAGAATCCAGGAGAGAAACTGGGAGAGGAAGGTGCTCAATAAACATTAGCTTATTTCTCAGAGGCTTGTTGAAAAGGTTAAATAAAATCATAAATATGATGCAGTTCATAGGGTAAGCAATTAGTGCCCAGCTCTTCCCATTGGAGTGTTGTTTCCACTAAAGTGAATATTTGGCAGTTGTTTTCTTTATTGTTCAGTGTAATCATTCAGACTAGATAATTCAATCAAGTCTTCACTTGGGACCTTGTGTTTGATGATCTCATTGTTGTTTTTAATTAAAATAATCTGAGAGATGGAAATGTACATTGGAACCACTGGAGGACAATTTTGTAATACCAACTAAAAGCATTTAAAATGTTATATCCTATCCATTGATCCCAAACTCCTACTTACATGAATTTACCCTTAGGAAATAATCAGAACAAAAAGATTTATAGCTAGATGTTTAGTCAACTGCAATACAGGATGATAATAAAAATGGAAACGATCTAAATATGTAACAATAGAAGAATGGTTGAATAAATAACAATCTCTCTCTTTGATGGGATAGTACACAGCAGTTAAGTCAAATTTTGAAGATTACATATGGGGAAAATAATCATTAAAATGTTAAATTTAAAAGCATGATAACCTGTATGTACAATGAACCCAAATTTGTAAAATATGAAAGTACCAGATAAATCAATGAAGAAGCTGGCTCCTGCCTGAATTACCAGATGCATTAAAAATTGTATAAAATATTGAATAAACTCACCCCAATTATGTTTCCCTTTAAATGTCTTTCAATTCTGATTCAATTAGAATCATATACTCAGTGTCGATAACGTGTTTATTTGTATTGATGAGAAACAAAAACAAGAAAGAAAAATGACTAGAAAAAACACTCCACTATGTTAATAACAATGTTATCCCTGGGTAGTAACTTTAAGTTGATTTTCTTCTTTTATGTGTTTTTCTACATTTTCTAAATTTTTGTCAGTGCACATATTTTATAATCAGGAAAGCAGATTTATATTAAAACAGAGGAAAACATCATCAAGTCCTTCTTTCTTGTCTACATCTTAATAATTTTCTCAGCATAATCCTCTCCAGATATCTTTCACAGTCAAAGAGATCCCTGTTTATATGATACAGGTAGAGTATCTACAGCACACTGAGAGGAAACCACGTCTTTTCATGTCATTCACTGAATTCCTTCCAGTTTATTCTGCACAGCCTAGCAACATAGTGACTTATATAGACCTACAATCCCTACTCACCTCCCCACTCCTTCCCCCGACCAAGCATTTAAATTAATGTGATGATCACTTCCATACCAAATGCTTCCTTCTTGGTGGAGGCCCATAACATTTCCAAGAAAGCAAGGTGCTAGAGGTAAATCACCATCAACAGAACGGACAGTAGCAAAAAGCACCTTACAAGATCCAGACTCCACCTAACTGTTTTGAAATGGCTAGAGATGCTGGAATGGGTTGGGGTGGGTTAAGATAGAGAAACTAATTGAAAGGGGAGGAGGGAATTAGGCAAGAAATACCCTCCAGGCAAAATGGAGTGGGGAGAAAATTCAGATACGTTGTTCTTACAGGACTAGTAGTAATAAACACAATCACATTAATACAAAGAGCAATAAAAACAATAAACATATCTGAGGTACCAACAGTGTGCTTGATGCCGCCAGCAGAATTAAGTCCTCTTTATTAAGCTGTGATCTGCATTCTGCCTAAACTATAAGAAAGGTGAGCAGCAGGCCGGGAGCAGTGGCTCATGCCTGTAACCCCAGCACTTTGGGAGGCTGAGGCGGGCTGATCACCTGAGGTCAGGAGTTCGAGACCAGCCTGTCCAACATGGTGAAACCCCGTCTCTACTTAAAAAAAAAAAATTAGCCTGGCGTGGTGGCAGGCACCTGTAATCCCAGCTACACGGGAGGCTGAGGCAGGGAGAATCGCTTGAATCGGGGAGGTGGAGGTTGCAGTGAGCTGAGATCATGCCACCGCACTCCAGCCTGGGTGAGAGAGCCAGACTCCATCTTAAAAAAAAAAGGAAAGAAAGAAAGGTGAGCAGCCTGCATGCATGAAGGAACAAGGCAGTGTGTCATTCTCCTGACTAAATGGTGCTGGTAGGGACTGTTACATTCTTTGTGTTCTGTTGTGTTCTGATGCTTAACTCAGAGCCTAGGGCTGTGTGGACCCAAAGACCAGAGTAAGAGAATGGAGAGTCCTAGGAGAAAGATGACAGAAGGGGTAGAAGATATCTTTGAGATGTCAAGCAACGAATAGTATATACAGGAATATAAAAGAATGAATCTGAGACCTTCATGCATCACGTTCTCATTGAGCGGTACTTGGAATCATCTTTGAAAAACAGAAGGCTGGATACGCTGCTTGGGTCCCTGGGGAGAAGGAGTGTTATCACTGCAGAGGAAGCTGGTTGACCCATTCCCTTGGGGGAATTAAAAGTTCTGTACCCAGGGTGGACCCCAGGCCTTGTAGTCCAGAATTGTGCCTTGGAAGGAGGACAAAAGAAAGTGGAAGCTAATATAGTCAATGACTGGAAAGAAAAATAGGTCTTTGAGAATGTTGGGGGAGATTGTTAGAGATTAAAAGGGAAGGAAAATTAGGATGATTAAGTAGGAAAAGGAAATGTAGGTGGATAATGCACAGAGAGAGTTCAGAGTCCTTTTCACCTTCTTGCTGAAAATGCATCATCCTCCAGATCCATTTTGCCAGAGGAACATGCCTAAGAATCCAGGCACAGAGCTGAAAGTACTCGATAAATCAAAAAGGAAATTGGCTTCTGCCTGAATGACTAAATACCGGAGAAAAAATAGTGCAAAATATGGAATAAAATACATTTATGTTTCCTTTGTAAAGGTCTTTTGGTTCAGATTCAATTAGAGTCCTATACTCAGTGTAAAGTATGTATGTTTACTGACAAGAAACAAGTTAATAAAAAACAAAACAGGGCCGGGTGAGGTGGCTCACGCCTGTAATTTTAGCACTTTGGGAGGCCAAGGTGGGCAGATCACTTGAGGCTAGGTGTTCAAGACCAGCCTGGACAACATGGTGAAACTCCGTCTCTACTAAAAATACAAAAATTAGCCGCGCATGGTGGCAGGTGCTTGTAATCCCAGCTGCTTGGGAGGCTGACACTGGAGAATCTCTCGAATTCAGGAGGCAGACTTTGCAGTGAGCCGAGATTGCACCACTACACTCTAGCCTGGGCGACAGAGTGAGACTCTGTCAAAAAACAAACAAACAAACAAACACACACACACACACACACACACACACACACACACACACACACACACACAAAACCCCCAGAGGCCCAGAAAAGTTAAGTGACTTTCCAAAGTCACAGTGGCTTCCTGACTCCCAGTGCAGCTGTCCAGCCACACAGGGAAGGCAGCACCCCCATTCACCCTACTACTAGCCTGGCTGTCTTATTTCCAGGACAGCTTCCTCACCAGCTTGGCACAAACTCCCAGTTCACTTTAAACAAATGGCTTAGCCCTGCTGGGACTTGGTTTTCTCAGCTGCAATGAAGATACGGAATGGATGACCGCTCACAACCTGTGCTTCATTCCTAAAAAATAAGAAGGGAATCCAATTTGCCACCAACTCAACATTTGCCTTCTCACTGCCCTGGAAAGGTAGTTTTTAAAACGTGGCCCCTGACCTGCAGCATCAGCATCACCTGGGAACCTATTTGAAATGCAAATTCCCAGGTCCACCTACTGAATCAGAAACTCTGGAGGTGGGGCCCAGCAAAGGGATTTAGCAAGCCTTCCAGGGAGTCCTGCTGCAGATCAAGTTTGAGAACCACAGCTCTGAAAGTTTTCTGACCAACACACACGCGCGCGTGCGCGTACACATACACACGCATAGGTAACTAACTTTTCCGTGGCCACTAGCACCCCCAACCCATGCCCCCAACCCCAGCCCCAGCTCTCCCTCCCCATTCCTCCCTGGCTCCATCCTGGGATGATGAATGGAGGTCAGGGCGCTGTCAATGGACGACGCGGCAAACCCTCCCCAACCGACCGAGGGGGTCGGGGGAGGCTGCGTTAAGGCTTCCCTGAGATTGGTTTCCTTATCATTTTCTCCACCGCCGCTGTCCCATTTTCTGATGAGTTTGCTTTTAATGATTTATCCAACAGTTTGTCTTGCAGAAGAAGAAGACCATTGAGAGGTGGGTGTCAGGAAAGTCTTGGAAGAGACTAGGCGAAAGGAGGGAAGGATTGTACATGGAAGAGCAAGGGTGCGAGGTGAAGCTAAAGAGAAAGTGAAGGCTTCAGGGGAGCCCCCTGGGTTCGGGGAAAAGGGAGAAGATGGTGCTTTTGGTATGGGAAAGCAAAAGAAGTTGGAGGAGAGCGCGGGTCTGAGGCACAGCAAAAAGTGGGTGTTAACGGGAAAACTGCCCTAGAGTTTGGGGGACTTTTTCCAGCTTCCTTTCCAAGACTTTTTCTTTGCTCCATTTTGCTCCTCCCCCTCCTCCCAGCCTCCTCCACTCCCTCCTCCTCCTCCTCCTCGCACGGTAATGGGAGGCTCCTAGGCAGGAGAAGCAAAAGAAGGAATTGTTTGCGAGTTCAGTCATCCAAAAAGCTTCTTCCATATGGAGGGACCGGGTGCGCTGGGCGCGGCGTCCCCTGCGTTGTCCTCCTGCTGCCGCCCCCGCGGCCGCCGCTTTCTGCCGCGGGGACCCTGAGCCCCGGCCCGCCGGTGTCAGCCGCCGCGCGCGCGCACAGACACACACACAGAGACACACAAACACACACAGAAAAGACACACACGCGCACACACGGCGCGCACACCCTCACGCCCGCCACAGCCACAACACGCCCGCACGCGCCCTCCCTCTCCGGCCCGCAACTTCTCGGTCCTCGGCTCCTTTGTTGCTCCAGCCGCGGCCGCTCGCCCGTGTTGTGTGTCCCCGGTGTCACCGAGCGTGTTGTGTGTCCGTGCGGCGCGGCGCTGTGTGGCTCCCTCGCGCCCACCACGCTGGCCCCCGGGCCCCGGCTCGCCCTTCCCAGGCGCCGGCTGCAGCAGAGGTGAGTCACGTCGCTGAAGTTTGTTTTCTTTTCATAAAAAGTTGTGTTTACTGTTGGTTCGGGGAGAGGAGGGGGCGGGAGGCGGCCGCAGGCCGAGGCAGCGCCAGCGAGTGGCTGCCGGGGGACGTGCCGGCGGCGGGAGCCGGGTCCCAGCGCTCGGCCGGGCGCCCGGGGCTGGGAGCTGCGGCCGAGGCTGGGCGCGCCGGGCGCCGGGCGAAGAAGTTGGGGCGAGGCGGGCAGCGGGGGTCCCGGGGGCTGCAGCCGCTACGGGGCCCAGGGGCGCCGCATCTCGTTCCCTGCCGCAGCGGTCTGGCCGGGCGATGGTGGTTTCGCCTCAGCGGTTCCCAGAAGCTTCTCGGGTGGAAGAAGGATCCAGCCAGCCTCCCAAACTTCCACCGAAGGTTGACACCAGCGCCCCGGCCCCATGCTCCAGGCCGTGGGGGGAACCCGAGGCGTGGCGGCAAATGCGTAGAGTCACTCAACACGCACTCGGCCTCTTTGGAGGGTGAGGGTTTCTCATAGTTGGCGTCTTCTAAAGGAAAAACACTAAAATGAGGAACTCAGCGGACCGGGAGCGACGCAGCTTGAGGGAAGCATCCCTAGCTGTTGGCGCAGAGGGGCGAGGCTGAAGCCGAGTGGCCCGAGGTGTCTGAGGGGCTGGGGCAAAGGTGAAAGAGGTGTGTGTGTGTGTGAGAGAGAGAGTTCGTGTGTGCGTGTACGTGTGTGCGCGCGCGTGTGTGCGTGTTCGCGCCAGCAGCGTCCTCCTGGGGTTTTTGTTGATGTAACTGTGAGAAGGTGTGGGAAATGAATCTCTGGAACCAGTGGGACGGGGCTGTGGGGAGGGCAGGGAACCCAGGAAGAATTTTCATGGGGGTGTTGAAGGGCCTGCTTGACTTTCAGGATGTTCAGTATTAATTTGCTTTTCCAGGTGATGGGAGAATGCTGAGGGATGAGAGAGGCAGGCAGACCTGAAGGAGTTAATGGAGCCTCGGGGATTTGTTTGGCAGAGTTTTGTTTTGGGGATGGGGGTGGCAGTGCCAGAGTTGCTTGGAACAGAGTTGTGCTCCTCCAGAGATGTGGCAGTAGAGCTAAGAATACCGAAACCACACACCAGCAATCCCAAACTGGCACTTTTTGGGTGTGGTGGGGTGTTCTGCTGCTCCCCTCATCCCTTCTCTGCAAGTTCAAATGGGTTCGCCTAAGTTTTTGACCCAGAGTTACCTCTTTGAGTGGACTGAGTGAAGATTATATTTTGATTTCAGGCCCTTGTGCCACCTGCAGATGCACTGTGCCCAGCACACATTTGTCACCTAGTTCTTTGTTGTCCAGAACTCGGTACACATTGACCATTGGATGAATGTCATTTTAAAACTTCAGTGTGCAGACATTTCTGATTTATTCCACGACTGGGTCTTAAACAGGCAGCCCAGCTCTGTGATGGTTTTTTTCATCCCTTTGGTTACAGCCAATAAATCAATCTTCGTTTTCTTAAGGGCAGCATGGAAAATATTAAACCACAGTCTTGGGCTGCTTGTGGGGGCTAGGATGCCCATACATCTGGGTGACCTGTTTTCTGAACTTAAAGTAAATCTGAGGCAAGAGGTTAGCCATTTTGAGGTGTGTAACAGGTTTCCCAGAAACATTTCTGAGGTCTTATAATTGGTACTTTTTAATGGTCTCATAATTGAGACCCAGAAGCTTCTCGTGGTGATCTGAAAGCACCTTGGGGTCAGTGGGACAGAGGCCGGGCAGAAACAGCAGTAGAGTTATTATTTTCCTGCTATGAGTTTTTCAAATGAGTTTATGCAAAGAGGTAAAATGAAAGAAAGAAGAGTTGCCTCATTGGGCCACTTTGCTGACACTGTCCTCCCCTGTATAGATTTGTCACTCAGAATTTGGGCCTTGAGGAGGCTGGAGGGTGTCTACACATTTATGAAGCCTGAGGATTGAGACCTCAGACACTGTCTCTTTTATCCTCTATCGAGATACTTCAGAAATGCTTCACTGCAAGAGACATTCGCTAGGGAGCAGTTGTCCCCCACGCCATAGGCCACTGGCTTTACTTGGGAAAAGAGGTTGCTAGAAGCCAGAATGGTTGATTCTTTGACTACAACTGGAGAGGGAGGGTGTGGGGAAAAAATAGAGAGGACTCTGCTTAGCTGTTAATTGGTGAGCCAACTCTTGGTAAGCTGTGTGATTTATGTTCCTTTCCACCCTCCAAATGGGTCCAGAGATTTTCCCTTTTTTTGAAGTGCTTTTTCAAGTGTTTGGGATCCCGGCTCTCTTCAACAACATGGTTTCCATGCCCTAAGAATGAATAAGAGATTTTACCCATGAAATAATTCAGTTGACTTTCACATGGACCCCCCACGGTTTGAAAAAGGAGAGCAAGAAGTGAGCCTGATGTGTCATAGTGTTCCGTGTCCCCTAGGGGGTCTGGGTTCAAATTTCGGCAAAGCCACTGATGTGGGTAATGAATTAGGGTTTATCTCTGTGTCTTTCAAACTACAACAGAAAACTCAGGTGCACCAAATAATTGCTATCCAATACCTTGTGGCCTCTGAATAAGAAAATATTAACTTGGCACCAAAAGATATTATATATTTGGAAGTTGCTTTCTTTCCTCCAAACTCTAAGCCCTCTTGCTGTCTGGGAAAATATGGGACAGGAGAAAAGAATCGAAATTTGAGAGGGAGAGGAAAGAAAATAATATGTTCCATTTAGAAAAATCTATTTACTCTAACATATGTAACTTCTTGTCATCTCCATACTTCAATTCAGCAAACATTTTTAGTGCATCAGGCACCAGGCTGAAAGCTTCCTTGTCCCAGGAAAGTAAGCTTTATTAGTCAAATGATGGTTCCTCCTCAGTTTTTATTTATTGTACAAGCATCTACTTGTAATTAAGAAAATGTTTTTTAAATTATCCACAATCCTATGGACTTGTGTTGCTCATCATGTGCATGCATACTTTTGACATAGTTGTGATAAGAGTATGAACTTTTGTCATCAGACAGCCCTGAAGTGTCTCTACATTTTTGACTAAAGACTCAGAGAACAGATGTAGCCAACTACTTTGCTGTTGGTTGGAAAGACCCAAATCCTAAGTGTGCTCCCACATGGAGCCTTAACATGTAACATTTTCATAATTTATGAGGTTGACTCAAATATTTGGGGTTAGGGGGTGGGATGGGAGAGGGTGTTTGTTTTTAATCTATAAACCCGTGTTTATGAAAAGCTTGCCTAAAGAAGGTTTTGCTTCTTTGGAGCCCTCAGGGTTGGTAACGGATAGAGAAGAGGAGGTGGAATGCAGGAAGGAAGGTTTAGAGGATCCATCTCAAATGGCACTGCCTTTAGGAGGGTTAGGAAACTGGGGTTGGAATCTAAGCTCTGCCTGTGAACTCCATTCACACTGACTCAAACCACTGAACTAATCTATTCCTACATCTCTACTGCCACCCAGTTAGACACCTTCCCCAAGTTTGCCTGCTCTTTCCTGCCCTTCCTTTTATTACTCCACCATCTTTTTCATTCCTGCCACCACCAGACTTGTTGATGCCCTTGACAATTGTTGCTGGCACGTGGCTGGGCCCCCAGTGCCAACCTGTGACCATCCCACCCATTCTCCATGAGTCCTATAATCAAGTCACCACCCAGCTTTAAAACAACCTAGGTTTAAAACCCTAATTTCTTAAAGCTCTGCTGTGTAGCTCTGTCCTACCTCATGATAGTATTACTTCAGTAGGAGCCACCTTCTCCAATCTAGCAGCTGACCCTTGGTTTTTGCTGAGTTCATTCCTTGCCCTCTGTATTATCACCCCAAATCCCTTCCATGTAAGCCTGACTGATTTTATATGAGGCCTGTTTATAATGTGTTCTTAAGAAATAGTTGATGACTATTGATGAAAATGGACTGCTGAACATAAAGGTAATGGTTTTGTAAAGTACAATCATTGTTCTTAATCCGTTGTTCATTTCAGCAGGGAGCCAGGAAACTGGACATTTCGGGAGGCCTATGGTCTTAGAAAAATCGCTTTTCTACTGTTTTCTTATTTATAAAATGTATTGATAAGGACTTACTATGGTTTATATCAATGCACCTTGTAAAAAGCAAATACTTCAGAACTGTTTATTTTGTTCAAAAGATGAGATAATTCTCTTTTTCCTCAGTTTCAGAACAAGCTTCCTGGAACCCATGACCCATGAAGTCTTGTCGACATTTATACCGTCTGAGGGTAGCAGCTCGAAAGTAGAAGAAGTGGGTGAGGTTTTCTCTTCAGTCTGATAGCTCTGGCCTATTAGGTCAGCCATTTGTTCATGTTTTGTGTTACCACTTAGAGATAGTTTTTCTCATCCTCAAGTATTGGGAGTCCAACTTTGAGTGGAATCTGGACTAAACTTCAGGTTAGTTCTAGCTCGGTTCATATGCTCTTTTAGTCAAAGCCTGTGATGGCTATGTGAACCCCCTTGCTCTGTGGCAAGCTCTGTCAGACATGTTAGATACAAACCGTTTACTATGGGATTTGGAGTCCAAGCTTGCTGTGAAAAAGTCCCGCGTAGGTTTGGGTGAGGAAAGCCATGTGTTTATGTCTCTGTCAGTGGTATCACAGCAAATGCCTTGTGGTCTGATGTACTGGGCAATGTTTATCTCACAAAAATCAGCGGGATTGTGATTCTTCCCATCTTCTGAAATAAAGTTAGGAAATAATTTCTCTTTTCCTAATAGTGAATTTGGCCTTCTCTTCAAAGAAGGCCTTTGATGTTTGGGACAGGATTATTGGGCAGTAAGAGGAAATCAGAGCAGAAAGACACAGTTAACCTAATTCAGTTGCCAGAGAAAATGTTGAGGAAAGTCTCAACCCGTTCTGCTGGTTAGCAAAAGGAAAGTGCATAATATGGGTAGGGTGGGTAGGGTTGAAGAAAAATTACCCGAAGCTGAGCAGTGGAAAGTAGAGCAAAGAATGTTTATTCTTCTCCAAAGTGAGTTTGGACAGTATTGGACAAGATGAAGGTGGTGAAGTAGGTGGAGGTTGGCGCCTTCATCCTTTCAACAATGCTTGCTGTGTGCCTGGCATCAGGTGTGGGCTGGCAGGAATTAATACCAGAGCCCATGCGCCATCCAGAATCCTATTACTGGCCTGAAGGGAAACGCAGAGCACTGCCATGCAAACTCTAGGGTTGAAGTGCTTGGAATGGGTCCGTTAAGAAAGACTTCTTGGCCTGGCAGAGTGGCTCATGCCTGTAATCGCAACACTTTGGGAGGCCAAGGTGGGAAGACTGCTTGAACCCAGGAGTTCCAGGCCAGCCTGGGCAACATGGCAAAACTCTGTCTCTACAAACAAACAAACAAACAAACAAAAATTAGCCAGGCGTGGTGGCATGCGCCTGTAATCCCAGCTCCCTGGGAGGCTGAGGCAGGAGGATCCCTTGAGCCCAGGAGGTTGAAGTTGCAGTGAGCTGAGATGGTGCCACTGCACTCCAGCCTGGGTGACAGAGTGAGACCCTATCTCAAAAAAAAAAAAGAAAGAGAGATGGGAGATGGGAGAGGGAGAGGACTTCTTGAGAGAGAGAGGAGTTGCAATCTCAGGCAAAGTCTTAAAAGCAGAGATGGGACCAATAGTACCAAAGTGTTCTTTTATCTCTCCTTGTATGTGTTGTTCATTATTTTCTTCCCTAAAACTCATTTTCCTCAGTGAATGGTAGGCCTAAGTATGCTTGAGACACAACATTTCATGTTCAGCATAGTTTTTTTTTAAAATACTTTTTGGAAAGTTAAAACCTGGTATCAGCATTAACTGTGCAAAAACGCAGAAATCTGGGTCTTAAGTTCCTAAAACCAATTATTGAGTGGCTTTCGGGGAGAAAAGGAGAAGTGTGTGTTTTTGTAAAAATTTTCATCTACATGAGATTTTAGCTGAGAATCCTAGAAATACATGCCTGAATTCAGCTTTTTACCTTTCAATTCCATTTGCCATTTGTTTTACCGTCTGTGGCTCTGAAATCATTCCCACAGTACCAAGTGAGGAGACATTTATTTTAAGGACGTGAAAGTTGCCGGGCTCTCAAGTTGCCCAGAAACTTCCTTGACTGCTAAGAGGAAGATAGCACACAGGATGGGAGCTACAGGTGAGGAAAGCGGAGCCTGTGGAACCGGCTGGCCGTGGAGGCCTTGGAGCCCCCGCCACCAAGTCTACGTTGGAACTGGACTTCGGAAGAGAGCCCTCCCCCACCTTCCCTGGCTCTGCCAGTATTTTTCCAGATTACTCCCAGCCAAGTGCCTTTACTAGTCTGAGCTCACCTAATATTACAATCCTAGCAGGTTTATTAGGTGTGGGTCACAGTTAATTGGAGAGGAAAATTGGGGAGTTCTGGGTTTATTCGTTTTTCTGTGAAAGCAGAGGCTGCTCTGTCTTTCTGTTTTCGGTCTTGTGACTATCATTTCATAGTGGTGTGAGGGGAGCTCTTCCCTCTTACATAGCTGTGCCCAAGTGAGAGAGACTTAAAAATGCAGTCAGTCAACACAGTGCCCTCTTTTGCAAGTGAGACCACATCAAGTCATGGAAATTCACAGCTGTTTACCTCTGTCATTATGAATGGATGTTTTGTAGTGAACAAGTTATATATGAATCTGCTGTATTATAGCCAAGAGTCTAATGGATCATCCAATGTACAGACTTCTGAAATAATCACCTGCAACCCTGCCTTCAGAGTTTTTGTGGTCTGCCATCTGCGAAGGCCCCACAGTCAGGTGCTTTTCATTCTATAGGCTTCTGTTGCAGAGCTGGAGGCTGGGAAGTTAGGCCTGGCTTTGCCTGTCTGGACTGTGGCAGCTTGCCAGCAAGTGTCACTGGGTGGTCTTCAACAATGGGAGAAGGGGGGTGGGGGAGCTCAGCTCTCCTCCCCAAAGAGGAACAACAAGGTGGCTTTCTATAGGTGGGTTTTGCATTGGCAACCAGTCCCTTTGTCACTGACACACCATATAGGTCTTGAGTGTGGGTGAAAAGAATTGAACAGGTTGTCCAAAGGTGGTATTGTGATGGGGTTAATGTGTGTTCCAGATTTTACAAATGAAGCCTTGTGTTTATGTGGCAAGCCTCCCTCCCAAGAGAAGGAGCACACACAAGCAGCAGGTACCCTTCATCGTGTGAGGGAAGAATTATTATTCTCACTTGGCATGGGAGACGCAAACCTCCCGGTGCAGGCTTTCACCCCATCGCTTAGGGAATTAACGGTGGACCTGGAGGGCAAACTGAGGTTGGTTTGTCAGTGCCAAAGAGGCAGAGCTACCTGCCTCCACTGCCCTTCCAGCGATGGAGAGAATGTAACTGCCATTTAATGAGCACCTACTGTGTGCCAGGCCTTGTGTTAAAGCACTCCAAGCATTATCCCTGCAATCCCCCAGCAGTCCTGGGAAAATGGGCATTATTATCCTATTCCACAGATAAGGAAGCTGAAGCTTAAATAATTGTAGGGACTTGTTCTAGTCTCACAGCTGGTAAATGGCAGAGCCAAGATGTCATTGCAGGTCTGCCGAGTCCAAAACTCAAGTTTTTCATGAAAAAGAAACGAAGCAAGCTTTCCCGCAAAGCAGAGCTCTTCTAGCTTCGGGAAAACTGTCTTTTACAGCTAACAAAGTGTAAGGGGTAGGTGAGGGTCTTTATAAGACTTGCTGTTAAGAGACTCAAATTTAAAACTGGGACTACAGCTAGGAGATTCTGAATGGCTCAGCAGCAGCCCCACAAGAGAAGCCAGGCTTTGTGGCTTGGCTGGTGTCAGACTTTGCGGCCAATGGCTTTGTGGCATAGCTGGTGTCAGACTTCGCAGCTAGTGGTGAAAGCGACCTCCAACTTAGGTTTCATCTCAGAATATGTCTCTTATTTCTTCCCCCCTCCCCTGGGATGTTGTCTGAATTGGCTGTCCTGAGTCTGCTGCTTCTTAATCTGCCAGATGAATCCTTTTGCTCCTAGGATCTCTGCAAGTCTGATCAAGCAGGTCCTCCATGCTCTTGGTGGGGTGAGGGGGAGAAGATATTTGGCCCAGTAGATACTTTTTACTGGTCAGGAGAAGTGGCAGCTTGTACAGAAAACACCCTGGGGAAGGAAGTAGCAGCTTTGACAGACAGGTAACTGACAGAAGATGGTACCTTCCAGGCAAATACTCATAGAGCAGCCACCAGAAAGAATTCGACAGGCAGTTACCTGCAGAACAGTAACGCAGACCTCTCTACTGGCTTAGGAGAGTGATGGCAATTTGGCTGCAAAGGACATGTAGTTAGTTACCCTTGTTCCTTGTTTTTTTGTAACAAACATGGAAAACCTGAAGCCACGGTTTTCTGGGTTTGGGGGCACACAGGACACCTGGGTTTAAGATATAATTATGTGACCAGCTACTTGGGTAATGGAAATGAGGTCATGGAAACTCAGTGTGACTTTATTTCCCTGTTTTTATATGCTGCCTACTCGAACATTATGAGGAAGCAGTGAAATGGGAGAGGCGTTCCTCTAAACGTGAGAAGTGCCTTCTCACCTCAGAAGCCCAAGGCCATTGGCTTCTGTGCTTACCCAAGTTGAGTTAGGAGATGAGAAATTGTAGGGAACTGGCCAGAGGTTAGAGTCTGGGGACAAGGGATTCATCTGCTTCTGTGGTTCTGTTTTTATTTCTCAGGGCAGGAGCCTGGATTAGAGGCATTTTGGTCGTGTTGTCAGAGACCCTCCTGGATCCCTCCAGACAAGCTGCCTTTCCCAGCCTTGTGGGATCGGGCAATGTAGGGTCTCAGGTCCAGGAGGAATTGAGAGAGGAAAAGGACTCGTGGCCAAATAATTCTGGTTAACATTCTTTTTTGAGAGAGGAAGGAACAGAAGGCATCTGTGAAGTTTCCGGAGTTCCCATCTGAGACAACAGAAGTCAGGAATGAATCTTATTAGAAGAAGGGTGGAGTGCTGGGAAAGATGGCTGTGTTGCAGGAAGGAGCCATATTTCTGGAGCCACTTCCAAGTTTGAGATTGTGCAGCATCCTGGTTGAGGGGAGGCTTTGGAACCAGACAAGCCTGGGTTTCAGTTCTGGCTTTGCCAGTCGATAGGTATGTGACCCTAGGCAAATTACGTAGACACTGAGAACCAGTTTCTTAGGGTTATTGCAAAGAAGAGGCAAGATAATTCACATAAAGCACACGAAATGCGTTGGGAGCAGTCTGTAGAAGGTAGCTGTTATTATTAGGGAAGGAAAGAGGAACAGAGTGAAAGGAGGGTTGCTGGTAGGATTGGGCAGCTAGAAGGATGAGCAGGTGGGAGAGCCCACTGATAGAGTCCTCACTGGCTCAGGGTTTACGGAGAGAAAGAAATGTGAGGATGGAGAGATAGAGGAACACATGGAGGGGCAAGGCCCTGCCTCAGGTGCACCGTTCGATGCCAGTCCTTGGTCCTGGTCACTGGGTAGATAAACCCCCCATGCCTTCCCCTCTGCTTCTTCCCCAACTCAGTGTATCCCATTCTACCAGGTGTGCCAAAAATCTTGGAGTCATCCTTGACTATGTTCTTTCTCTCATCCTCCACTTTAAATTGGCCAGTAATATTGGCCTTACCTTCAAAATGTTTCCTGAATTCTGTACCTTCTCACCGCCCTGTCTTCTATCAACATTTCTGGCTTGGATTATCAAAATAAGCTTCCTAAGTGTTCTCTCTGCTTCCACCCATTCTTCATAGAAAAATCAGTGTCACACTTTTGAAACAAAAGCTAGAGAAGGTCACTTCTGTGCTCAGAACTTCCATGGCTTCCTGTTTGATTAAGAGAAAATATCCAAACACCTCACTCCTTCCCTCTCAGGGGTCCTCACCTCACCCCTTCCCTCTGAGGCCTCCCTTCCCCCCTTGCCTACTCCCACAGCCATGTTAGCCTCCTGATTGCTGCTCACACTGGCTGGGCAGCCTCCTCCCAGGGGCTGTGTGCTTGCATTTGCCCACTGCCTGGAAGGCTTCTCCCCAGATGCCTGCACAGCACCCTCCCTCATTTCAATCAGGCCCCCTGCTTTCATGGTCACCTAAACCTGACCGCACTTTATTAAACAGCACTCCCACCATCATTCTCTCTCCCTTCAACCTAATTTCTTTTCCTCCATGTTATCACCTCCTGGCTCGTGTTTATTTGTTCTTTTGGTTACTGCCTGCTTCCCCTCTAGACTGAAGATCAGTGGAATCAGGGACTTTGTTTTCTTCCTCACTGTCTTCCCAGTGCCTAAAATAGAACCGGGTTGGTAAGTGGTGCTCACATTTTTTTTTCATTTTTGCTAGTTTGCAGGCCTTTTCTGAATCTCAAAAGCGATGTAATAGGAGTTTCAAACAAAATGAAATAATTACATATAGATTTATGTAAGAAAATGCATTAAATGCATTCTGGAGTATATGTATATGGGGGGAAAATAGGAGAGATGTCCCGAGAATGCTACTGTTAAGAGTATCTGTTTCAGAGAAGCCAGGAAGCAGTGTGCAAGGCTGCAACAGAAAGAGCCCAGTTTCTTCTCTCTTCCTCAAGGTAACTGCCCTCAGGAATGTCCGTGGGTGTACCGGTTGCTCCGTGTCGGGGGATGTAAGCATGGATGCCCTGTCTGCCTTTCTCATCATTCACTTAAGAGGAATCTGTTGAACGTCTGCTTTGTGCACAGCACTGTGCTAGGCCTGGCTAGGAGACGCAGGGGGGTGCCCAGCTCACACTCTCATACCACCAGCAGTTTGCAGTCCTGTTTTTTATCTGGGATTTCCTGAGTGTGCCTGGGCCATCCACTTTGCCGCCCTCCTCCCTTAGCAACCTGAGTTGATTGGACTTCCGTTGAATCTGGTTTGGAACCACAAGCCAAGTACAGGGGGTGAATTTTAAAACAGTTTAGTTCCCCACACACCAGAGAGGCTGGTAGGGCTGGCCCTGTGCCAGGCACACAGGTGACAGACGGTCCCTGCCATTGGAGAGCCACAGGCCGTGGAAGTAAGGAACTGCACATTGGGATGTTCACCCAGAGGGGGACAGATCTGACTTAAATTGTGTCTCAGTCACTTCTGACTTGGTTCTAGATTTGGAAGCTGAGAAAAAATAAAAATAGGGATAAAGATCCTAAGAGGTCTTATGCTGACACCAAAGGTGGACAGATGTGCCTGAGAAATTACACAGGCAAATCCCAAACCCCACATGTAAGCCTCTCAGGGAACTGGGAGAAGAGCCCAAGCCTCCAGCTCCAGTTTTGTTTTGTTTTGTTTTGCTTTTAATTAGTAGCCCTTTTTAAAAACAATTTCAGGTTTATAGAAAAGGTTAAGCAAAAAAGTCCTATACAGACTTGTCGTTCCAATTTCCCCCAATCACTTAACCCCCACCAGGGTCCCCTATTATTAACATCTTACGTTGGTGCAGTATATCTGTTCCCATTGATGAGCCAATACTGACACATGATTATTAAGTAAAGTCCGTAGTTTACATTAGGGTTCACTCTTTGTGTTGTACATTTACTGGGTTTGACAAAATGTGTGATGACATATATCCACCATGAAAGAATCATACAGAATAATAGTTTCACTCCCTAAAAATCCCTTGTGCGCCACCTATTCATCTCCCCCTCCCTCCCCCAGCCCCTGGCAACCGCTGATCTACTATTGTCTCTCTAGTTTTGCCTTTTCCTGAATGTCATGCGGTTGGAATCACACAGCCTATGCCTTTTCAAGATCAGCTTCTTTCACTTGGCAATCCCCTTCAGTTTTAAGTATGGCTTTCTCTCCTTCCCTGCCCCATACACACTTCCAGCTGGGGAGCAGAGACTGAAAAAGGAGCCCAAAGTTGTGCGCTGAGACCCCTCGCCCGCAACCAGAGCCCTGCAGGTCTGCAGTGTGGTCCCTTTATCAGCTTCCACTGAGCATGCCGGCCCTGGCGCTACTGGAGTTTAGCCCAGGCTGGTAAACTGTCAGGAGCTGCCTGTGTTTGGGTTCCACATCTGGAAGTATCAGCTGTGCAGACCTTCCCATCCCGTCCCTAAACAGAAAGACACGAGGAGCACATGGGCTGTTTGCCTTCCTCCTCGATAGTTTGTTTTACTTGCTTTGGAGCTGCGGATAGCGGTGGGGAAGTGAGCGTCCCCTGGGCAGGCAGCGCTCTTGCACGCCTACATCCACATCCGGTGGTGGTGGCAGGCCACAGATCCCTTAGCTTCTAGAGTTTCTGCTTTTGGTTCCGCCCAGGTTCCAGTGGTGTCTGTGTTGAGCCCTGAGAATGATTGAGGGACCTGTTTTGTGGTCATTGAGGAGGAAGACCAGTAAGGCATAATGAGTTTGAGAGCATTTTCCCTGCAAAGAAGTGCCTCTTTCTTGAGTCAGCCTCGAAGACTAGGATTCCCTGGAGTTTGGTGACAGAACCCCCAGGATTCAGAACACTCACCAGCCACTCTCAACACAAGGCATTCTGGAGGACAGGTGATGATGGTGGATTTTATAAGGCATAGAATGAGGAATCTCTTCCAAGCCCACTCCAACTCTGGACCACATTTAAGAGAAAGGAAAGTGCATGTGAATTGGAGGGGGTGGGGGTGGGGGGTCACGTGGACCATCTGATCCAGGCTGAAAAGCTCTCAGGGCTGAGGAAAGGTAGACAGGGTTCCAACCCTGAGGAGCAGGGACTTAAATTTAAACCTGCTGGGCACAGTGGCTCATGCCTGTAATCTCAGCACTTTAGAGGCCAAGGCAGGCAGACCTCTTGAGGCCAGGAGTTTGAGACCAGCCTGGCCAACGTGGCGAAACCCCATCTCTACTAAAAACACAAAAATAGGCCGGGCATGGTGGCTCACGCCTGTAATCCCAGCACTTTGGGAGGCTGAGACCAGGAGATCGAGACCATTCTGGCTAACACTGTGAAACCCCGTCTCTACTAAAAATACAAGAAATTAGCTGGGTATGGTGGTGGGCGCCTGTAGTCCCAGCTACTCGGGAGGCTGAGGCAGGAGAATGGCATGAACCCGGGAGGCAGAGCTTGCAGTGAGCTGAGATCACACCACTGCACTCCAGCCTGGGCGACAGGGTGAGACTCCGTCTCAAAAACAAAAACAAAAACAAAACAAAAACAAACAAAAAACCACAAAAATAAGTCGGGTGTGGTGGTGCACGCCTGTAATCCCAGCTACTCAGGAGGCTGAGGTACAAGAATCACTTGAACCCAGGAGGCGGAGGTTGTAGTGAGCCGAGATTGCACCACTGCACTCCAGCCTGGGTGACAGAACAAGACCTTGTCAAAAAAAAAAACAACAAAAAAAAACCCCAACTTCTGTTTGGAATAAATAGAGAGCTGAGGCCAGCCAGTACTTTCTCACGCTGAAAGACACTGGCCAGGTATTTCAGAGTTCTGTACAAAGGAGGAATGAGACTCACAGCACACGTCAGAAAGTCAGCTTTTGGACTATGGAAATTCCATGCTGAAGATCCAAGTCCACACCACCTCCCCCTCTGGTTTTCTTTTCTTCATCTGGCCCATTCTCCAATCTATAGCCTGACCAGTGACTCACTAAGAGTGCTGGGCTGCCATTCAGTGGCTCTGCCTACCCCATGTAAGTGCAGTATTATATATTTGCCTGGCTAATATTACATGTCCCAGGTTTGTGCCTAAGACTGTGAATGCTAATGCAATGGAGTGTTTAAAGCCCTTTCAGCTCTTCAGAGAAAGAAGTACACTCTACCAGCAAGCTAGCCTTGCTTTTGTTAATTATGGAATCAGGGTGCAGTCTCCTGGCCCCTGTCTTCTTAGGTCTAACTGTAGAGCCTGGAAGGCTGTAACGGTGGTTACTAACCATTACCTCATCTAGAAGCCTTGGCCCTTGCCTCAGTTTACCTGGAGAGGCAGATGATAAAGAACTACTGAACTGTGTAAGTGTGGGACCCATGTTCCTTATCAAATCCAGCCTTCACTTCTAAATCTCACTTCCTACATTCTGCCCCACAAGTAGGTACAGTGATAGTCCCAAGAAAGAATCCCAGACTGGCTTCCGTGGATACACACCAGGTATCCAGTGTGTGTCTATGAGCAGGGGCCATATTTTCTGAACCAAAAGACAAATGTATGATCTGAAAAAGCATTTTGTTATTGTTCTTTTCTTTCCTAATGTGGGGGGAATGGGGGAATCTCAGAAAGGCTAATTTATAAATATCTTGTAATACATGAAAAAAACTCACCTTTATCAAAAGGAGTGGCATTCTGTACAGTAGGCTTATCCAGAACCTCCCAGTGGTGTGGTCTTCAGTCAGAGCAGGAGGTGCAGAGAGCGCAGAATGGGTCTTTCTCCATGTGGGGTGCTTCAGCCAGTGCTGGTGGAAAGAAGTCTCTGGTGTGGTCTGGGTCTTCTCTAGTACTTTCTCTCCAGAGCAACCTGTAGACATGAGGGTGGGCTTCTGGTTTTACTGACCACCATTCCATGTCCCTCTCCAGAAAAAGCCAGCCTCCAAGCCATTGGAATGGGGAGACCCCTTAATAACTAAGTTCCAGATCCCTTGAAAGTCAGGAAGTAAAGAGGAACTGCGTGTCCAATTGAGATGGAATCTTAAGCAGGCAGAACTAACTTTCCCCACATGAGAAATTAACCAAAATGCCAGTGTTAATACCCTTAATCTGGATGGGGGAAAGGTAGTGAGACCTCATTTCTGTGCATCTCAGCCAAGATGAACTGGCTAGGGGGTGCTGACCTGTCTCCCTTGTGGAAATAATGCTACCCACTAAAGCTTGTGATGCCTACTGTAGCCTGCCTCTCCTCAGTCACTTGAGGTTTAGCACGGAACTGTTACTGCTTATCCGAATATCAACAATAAGCCTTGCCTGACAGCAGTACATTCATGCCTCTTCAGTCAATTGCCATAGGGGCCTGAAGACATTTGTAGCCATCAGGGTGGCCTTTCAATTGACCAGTTAACAGATATTGAGCACTATGCCTACTGCCTTCAAGACATCTATATTCTAGTTTCTGAATATTTCTCAGATCACAACAAGAGGTCATACTGCCTTGAACTGCATTATCCATATAATCTCCTTAGAAGAGTGCTTGGCTTAGGGTAGAGGCTTTGATGGTCTCTATTATTATCATCATTATTATTAGCTTGAGATGAGCTGCTGATTTATAATTCTCCCACAAGAACCCATATTCTTGGAGAATTTGTCTATTTGAAGAGTTTTGTCAATTATGGTAAGTTGTATAGGTAGAGAAGTGGAGGCACAAGGAAAAGTACTGTGTTCATAAGCCCAAGCTGGCTTCCTTTATGGGTCTGCACCTGGACCTCAAGGCCTCTGCGCATGGTTGGTTCTACAGTCAGGGAAAAGCCAGTCAGAGTTGGCAGCTTGTCATTGGTGAGATATGCACAGTCCTGGGAAAAGCCCTTCCTGGATAGGGAAGCCCCAGAAAGATGGAAGTGGGGAAGAGCCAGATGGCTCCCAGTATTGAGTCCAGAGATTCAGGGAGATAGGCCCCTCAAGGTTTCCTCTGGCTGTGACCAGCAGTCCTCTTTTCAGGAGTAGGGCTCCCTCTTTGGCCCAACCTTGCAGAACCCTCTTTTCCACCAAAACCTGGGCAGTCACTGAAACCTGCCTGACAATGCAGCTTGCCTTAATTGAAAGGACATTGGGTGGTTGGGTGAGTGGGGGTTTCTGCACCTTGGTGCAGGATTGGGAAGGTTTGAGAGGAACTTATTCTAGTTATCCGACTGAAAACAAGTGTTTTATTTTGTAATTAAAAAAAAAACTTTACCCTTTAAAAACTCAAAGAGCTATAAAAGCACAAAGAATAGTATCATGAACCCCATGTACCCATCACCCAGATTCAGCAGTTATCAAGACAAACAAGTGTTTGGGTTTTTTTTTTTCTTTAGTATGATTTTGTTTTCATTACTGTGCTCTGTGTGCAGGATAGGTCAAAGATGGATGCCACAAGGTTACTCTTTCCAAAAGAAGTCTGTAATCCAGCTTTTCTACCACCTTCCAACAGTGAAGTGAAAGGAAAGAGCATTGCCCAGGTACTAGGGTTTGATTTGCGATTGTTCCCTGGTGCTCTGAGATGTTTCTGTGCATCTCCTTTACCATATGTTGAGCTTGAATTTTACCTTTGGATTCCCAGAGCCGAGTATTTAATGGATGTTCAATAAGCATTATTGACTTGTGAGGCAAGTGATTTCATGAGACATTGGCTTTCCATCTGGACAGGTATAAGTAAGTTAGTGCTTAGCGCACCATCCTGGGGGGACGGGGCAGATGATGGTGTAGAGTTGAGGTGGGGCCCATTATTCGAATCCTAGGGGACACTGAGAGGGAATGACAGAGCCTCTCAGGTGAAGGATTAGGAGTACAGGGCTCCTGATTTTGCTGAGAAGGAGGAAGTCAGCAAGGAGGAATAGGAGAGACTGGGGCAGAACTGCTCTCTGTGCCTGGCCCCCAGATTCAGTCATTAATAGGCCCTGGGTGAGGTAGGTCAGGATTATGAGAATGAAGACTCCATCTCCAGACCCTTTTTCTGGGTGGCCATAAGCAGCCTGCAAGCTGCCTGCACTACCAGGCCCCATGTGCCATTCCAGTGACTGTTTTATTCATTTTAAAGTTGGCAGGAGAAAGCAGGCAAAGAATGGGGCTGTTCCAAATGTTGGGGGAGTGGGGTCCACTTCCTGTCTCTGGAGTGCACTGCAGTCCAGCTGCTCTGAGCTCCTCTGGGTCAGGGCTGGGTGGGGTATGTAGTTAAAGGGTATGAAATAGGGTGTTGTAGGGACAGGAGGGAAGACACTTCAAACCCTTCCCCTCTGATCTGATCCCAGGGTGTAGCAGAGGCCTCAGGCAGGGTGCCTCCAAGGCCCTGACTTTCAGCAGGCAACCTGCCCCTCCCATCCCTGCCTGGTCTTTTTCAGTTTAAAGTTCCAGCCTGCTCCTCCGCTCCCATACATGCATGATGTATGTGTGTGTGTGTTTTAATTTTTATTCTTGGCAGAAGTTAAGACACAAGATGGATTTGGAAGGAGATTAAACTAGTCTGGGTATATGTTGGGCAGCAGGCAGCTTCATTCCTGGACTGGGAGGGCCGGGAAGGAGTGCGGCTGCAGCTCTGAGGTGGGGTAGAGGGTTGTCTCCTCCCCCAGTAGGGACCAAACTGAAAATCGACTCCTTCGGGAAGGCCAGGAGCTAGAAGCTCACTGTTAACCCTTTACAGCTGGTTTCAGTGGAGCCAAAGCCCTCTGGTCTGATCTGGTATTAAGAGGATGTTGGGACCCTTGGATGGCCAACGGCTGTTCTACTTCTCAGTGATCTGAGTCCCTGGAAGCTGCTGGCCTTGTTAAAGCAGTCATTGGTGGCTTCTCAGGCTTTGATGTCCAAACGCTTAAATTTGCGCATGCTTGGAAAACATCCCACCTCTGCTAGCATCTACCTTAGGGCCATCCTATCCCTGCCCCTAGAAGCAATTGTTCCTGGCCCCAGTCAGCAGCAGCCACTATGGCTCAGGGACCTGTTTGTCACCTTTGCTACTGTAGAGGCCGCCTTGGCCCCCAAAGTAGATGTTCTTTGCAATGGCGGCCTCCTCTTTCATCTTTATTTCTGTGCAAAGAAGAGAAAATGAAGAATCTGAAAATCCAGAAAATATCTGGGGAAATCTGAGAGAAGCTTTTTGGGAAAAATGTTTTCTTCCTTAAAATGTATTAAGATATTTAATTTGTGTGAGAAAAAATATGTATTTTAGCTTTAAAAATTATAAGAATTTCTTTGAAATGATACAGTAAGGAACATCTTTATGCAAAGTGTTCAATTTCAAACACCGTATCCAGTACAGAACATTTCTGGCAGATATTCCTTACCAAAATGACCCCAAAATCCACGGCAGAGACACCTGCACTGGGATTCTCAACGCTGGCTGCACATTACTATTTCCAGGAAGGAGTGGTGAAAATATTGATGTCAAGCTCCCATCTCCCCAGAGATTCTAACTTCATTTGCTTGAGGTGCTGCCCAGGCATTGTTATATTTTAAAGTATCCCCAGATGATTCTCCTGTGCAGTCAGAATTGGGAGCTACACATTTAATGTTATCAGAGAACAGAAGGAAAATGAGAGAACCTAGGTTAAGAAATGAGAAGCATCTTCTTGTCTCTCAGTACATAGTGGTGCATATCACCTGGATCCTAGATTCAAAGCGCTGCTACCAATCTTTGGGCTGTATTTCAATACTCAGACACTCAGGACCGACTGTAGGTGTGGAGAACTTCCGGGACTGCAGGTGCAAATGCATCTTCAGGAGTACGTATGCAGAGTACATTGTGAGAATCTGCCAAACCAATCCATCCTGAAACATGGTGGCTAGTGCATGATTCCAACTCAGACTTACTTTGTTTTCTGCCTTTCTTAATTCCTTTGTTGAAAACAGTTTTGTTGTATAACTGCTTTAAGCTGCCAAGGACCCCAAGACCAGCAAGCAGGGGAAGCAGACAGTCTAGGCTTTGAATCCTTTACTTAAGCAAGTTCCTTAATCTCTTTGAGTCTCACTTGCTGCATCTGTGTAATGGGATGAGAATACTACCGACCTCATATAGTTGTTTAGTAGTTAGACAAGATCATTCATATGTATTAGCTCATTATCTTGCACATGTTAATTCAACAAGTGGTCAAATAATTTTATTTAAGATTGGTAGTTTCTTTTTGTTGTAAATATATGCCTCAATCCCATGTTGCAACAAAATCTAGTGTAGTACATTCAATAAATCTCAGTGATTTTTAACTTGTATTTACAAATCAGTAGGAAATTAGTAATTTAGCAGGAAAAAAGGCAATCTTTAAATGTTAACTTGCTCAACATGACTATTTCAGCAAACTAAGTATTAGATGGTATATTTTATATAACTTACTAAACAAAGCAATTTCAGATCTGTAAAGTTTGTTAACAAAATATTAAATGTATTTTCTTCTTTTTCCCCAAAAATACTTATCCACATTGTGTGAATGCAACAGAATCCTGGAATTAGGGGAAGTGTTCTTTATAAGCTGGAGGAATTGATTGCTGGAGATTAAGGAATATGGACATAGCATATTCCTTAAATGTGATAATGGGGCAAGGAACAACATTTTATGGTTGAAGGGGTGGTTGGGAAATGAGGCCTATGGGAAGATGGGAAGATAAAATATCAGTGGTGGCATGAGAATATTTGGAGATAGCTTTTTTTCAAATTTGCCTTTTTAATTACAAAAGCGATGCTACATACCTTGTTTGAAAATTTCCAAGGTATTTAAAGCTAAAAGGGCAAATCCCCTGATCTTCAGAGATAACTGATACTAAAATTTAAGTGTCTCCTGACATTTTTCTATGACAACCCAGATAACTACACACCACATATTCATAAGTAACTTTTTTAAATTATAAAATGGGATCATGATGGTTTGCAAATTGCTTAAGGACATTCTTCAGGAACCTCTTAGGCCAGTATTTCTCAAAGAGTATTTGGTGAAGGTCTCATCACTAATGGTACTGTGAGAAAAAAGGATAGTTTTGTCAAATGAGTCCAGGTTTGTGGTCAAGTGAGTCCAAGCCTGTGGGTACAGACTTTAGTGCATACTCTCTCCCACTCTTGGTGATTCATGATGCATAATAGCATACTAAAGGCTCAGAAAAGGCCTGCAGTAAAGAAATCTGATAGCTTTTCTTAATATAGCATTTTCCTAAATTATTTTCGGTGGCATATTTTAATATCTGGTAGGTTTTTAGAATATTCCTCACTAATCTCCTTTCCACCACTACATCCCCACCCCTCTGCCACTGTAACCTTGTGAGATAGGCAGGAAAAGAGCTCATCTGTTCATTTAATCAACAAATACTTACTGCACTCCTACTATGTGCCAAGCATTGTGATTGATGCTGGGGATATGTGAATGAACAACATAGAAGGCTCTCTGCTCTCATGGACTCTCACTGTTTGCCTGCAGCATAGTGATGGTATTAGTCACATCCATCATTAGTCATGGTGGATGGCTGTGCTGTGTGTACCTGGGAATGGCAGAACCTCAGCAGGGGGATCCTCTTTGCAACTGGTGGAGCCTAAGAGCAGGAGGCTAGAATTATCCCCACCCCCTCTGCTCCTTCCCTTCTTCATGCCTCTCCAATTCCCCACACTTTGCTCCTGCTGTAAACAGTGGTGCCTGATCCAGCTGGCAAGGCTCCATGTGTTTGTTTTCTCTGCATGTGCCAGCCTTGCACCGAGGCCACTGAGCTTCCCAAGTTGGGGAGAGCTGGCAGGGGTTGGGGCTGGGGGCTTCCAGCAGAAGGCAGGGACTGTTTGACAGACCAACTGCAGCATGCTTCAGATTTCCAAATTGATATTTATTTAAGTTTTAGGTGATTTAAAAGAACTTTGTAATTGAGAAAGGAAGGATTGGGGATGAAGTTGGGGACTGAATGTGTATATTTGGGGGTCAGGGAGGTGGCAAAGAAAGTGAGTTTGTATGAGGTCAGATGGGAAAGAAAGTAAACTGTCATGACTCCAAAGCATACTTAGCAGCTAGAGCTGGAGCTGTTTGCTGTGCGAGTGTGTGTGTGTGTGTGTGTGTGTGTGTGCACACGTGCACATGCCTGCCTGTCTTAGAGGTGGAGAATGCACATGTCCAAGGCAGGATGCTGGGCCACCCTATGAGGGAGGTATCCAGCCCCTGAGATATTGCCTCTTCTTAAATATTTTTTGTGAAGTACTGGGGATGAATCTGCAGTAAGCATTAGACTAATGAAAATATTCCTAAAAGTAACCCTAAAAGGAGTTATTCAGATTTATTAAGTTGCTGTCACTTATGGGATACCTACTTAGTGCCAGTCATTGTTATAGATGTTTACTAATGTGATCTGTTTTTCCTTCAGCATCCCTATGCGAGTTGATTTTGTTGTCCTGTGCCAAACTGTTCCTTTTAAAGTTCGGGGTAAGGGTTTCTTGCTTGCATAAAAGTCTAGGAGGAATGTTGTCCATGTCGCAGTGCAGCCAGATGCGAACTGAAGAATGGTAGCTTCTCACCTCCCATCTTGTCATTGACTTCAGCAGTTCAGCTATTTTACCCCAAGGCCTAGATTTTTATTTGAATGCATCAGATTTCCTGCAAGCATGCATGAGCATGTAAAGGATTGGGGTGTGTGTGTGTGTGTGTGTGTGTGTGTGTGTGTGTGTGTGTGTGTGTCGGGGGTTGGAGCTGGCTTTGCCTGGCATCTGTTTGAATCAGCCCCAGAGAAAGACAGGCCAAGATGCAGCAGCCTGATCCTCATTCAGTCCGGGTCACAGCACCTGAGACCTATTTTGAGTCATGTGGAGGGTATAAATGTGGGCCTAGGGCCATTGGTTGCTTAATCATCACGAGGAAGGGGCATAGAGAATGACTGCAAGTGACAGCTTAATTGGAATTGGTAGTAATTATGTTGCCTAACTAACAGAGGAAATCAAAATGAGTCTTTTTAACCCCCAGACCTCCCTAAATGCCCAGCTTCTCATACCAAGAAAACAGCTCCTCGCTAGTCTATGTGACTACAGTGCTCGCTTCTCTCCACCATGACCTTTCACCTTGGCATCTCAGGTGAATTCATTGCTATTCCTGAGTCCTTGGTCTAACGGTCAGTTGAACCCTAAACACTTAACAGTGTGCTGGGCTCTGGGGGCATGAAGAGCTGGGGACCTCACCGCTGCCTAGTGGGCTGCCTGACATGGAATGGGTACTTGAGACCTGCCCATCGAATGGAATTGAGCTTCGTCAGGCGCCTACTTCTCTTTACATTCTTCTTCTCCACATTCAGCCCACCCCCACCCACCCCATGCTTGGAAGGTCTTATGTCCTGCCTGCCTTCTCCACTAATTAAGAACCACGGCGGGCTCCCAAACCAAATCCCTAAGGGAGATAGGAACGGGAATATCAGACACTCACGTATCACCTTCCCCTGCTCAAGCTCCACTTTGCAGCCGGAGTCCCACCTGGGATTCATCAGATCCAAACTCCATGGACTAGTTAGGCCTGGAAAAGACCTTAGAGGTAGGAGGTCTTTACAGCTTAGCAAACATTCTTTGAGTACCTGCTATATGTTGAGGTGGGAGACTTATAAACAAGTAAGTTACACTGCAGTGTGAAAATGACAGTGTAGATGATAAAGCTGAAGCTTAAGCGATGCTGACACATAGACTTCTGTTAGCTCTAGGGCTTTTTCCTGCCTTAACTGACAGACTTTGACAAATCTTCTAGGACTGTGTGAGGAATGAATATAGATGATCGAAAGGGGAATTCTTTTAAGACTTGTGAAAGAAGCTACATTGGAGAACTGACCTTCCCATGTACTGAGGACGGCCTGTGTGTGTGTATGTGTGCACATGGGCATGTGCACACATGTGTGTAGGAACCTGTGTACATTTCTTTTATCATTCTCCTGATGCCTTTGTTAGTGTTTCTGGCTCCCTGCCTGTTCTTAATAAAATCCACAGTTTATCTTGTAGCTTAACCTTTCTTGAGGCCATGCTACATTTCAATTTTGGTATAATAGAAAGATGTTGTCAAAGCTGATGGGGGCTAGGTCCTAAGCTCATTGAAGACTGGAGGCTGTGCCTTGTTTTCCTCTACATCCCCTAAGCCTTTTGTACAGTGTGTGGCACCTAGAGGGTGCTTACTGTCAGCACTGAATTGCGCCCAGTGCCCACCAGGGACCTGCACCTCTCATCAGGAATGACTTTGGGATTGCCAGCTGTTCTATCTGCTCCTCTCAGCATGAACACTAAGCAGAGTGCCTTGTTTTTACTGCACTTGGGAGCCATATCCTGTTGCCTTTTTGGATGATTCGGGGGAAATTCCTTGTCTGTGGTTCCGTATGTGTTGCAGGCTGAGGGTTGGCTTGCTCCCTCGAGCGCTTCCTGGGATAATACACTGTGTTCTTCTCAGGGCTCCATTGTTTCCCATAGGCACTTTCAGCTGGAGTCAGTGTTCCAGTCTTCCTCTGAGCCTGTTTATAATAGTAAGGTTTGTGTTCACACACTGGTCGCTAGTCAAATGGGATTGGTTTTCCTTTGTGTAAGACATAGGACTTTAAGCTCTTAAGATCTGCTTTAAGTGCTGTTCAGGTCCTGGGACTGTTTGTTTACATGCCTTTTGGCTACTGTCCACCCAGGCTTTAAACACTTCCTTTTACATGGGTTATTTTGTCAACTCTGAGCACCTAAAGGTTGGGAAGTAGATGCTCTTATTTCCTTTCCAGCCACTATATTAGCGTTTTAGTTCATTTTACATGACTTATGTGGGTATAACCCTGGTCATATGTTGTAATTAGAAAGAGGGATGGAGAAAAAGAACAGGTGGTTTTGTTGTGGCTTTGAGCATTCACTGAATGAGGTCAGAGGTGGGCTCCTCTCTGGGGCTGGGAGTGGGAGTCCAGGAGGGATTATAGGGGTATGTTTTCCTTTATATAAACACTTCTCCACAACGTCTTGTCTCAACTGACCTACTGTATGATGATGAGGATATTTTCCTTTTTCCCTCTGAGCAAGTAGAGACACTGTGAAGAAATTATGATGATTATTGTCATTATCATCAAGAGTGCAGAGAGGGCATAAGTGGGGGAAGGTGAAGAGGTTATTAGCTTAAGTGATATTAAATGCTGACTAGTGTTGGGTAGAGATGGAGACATTAGGAACTACATCTTGCCACAAACTTGGGAACACTAGAGCATTCTCCATGGATCCCTATTCCCCAGACCTATTTCAAGGGTCTACAAAACATTATATAGAATATGTTTTTAAAACAACGAAGAATATTTTTTGAACTTCTGATGCAGGTGTGTAGGGTACGAGAATCAGCCCATTGCTTAATTTTGTATAGGAAAGAGCAAAGAGATGAAATCATGTGTGTCTAGAGTTGTTAAAGTGTATTATGTCTGGCAAGGATGTGGAGAAAAGGGAATGCTTATATACTGTTGTTGGAAATGTAACTTAGCACAACCCCTACGGAAAACAGTATGGAGATTTCTCAAAGAACTGAAAATAGAAGTATCATATGATCCAGCAAGCCCGCTATTTAGTATCTACCCAAAGGAAAGGAAATCATTACATAAAAAAGATACGTGCACTTCTGTGTTTATAGCAGCACTATATCACAATAGCAAAGATATGGAATCAACATAAATGTCTATCAACATATGATTGGATAAAGAAAATATGGTATATATATACGTGTATATACGTATATGTGTGTGTGTGTGTGTGTGTGTGTGTGTGTGTGTGTGTATATATACCCATGGGTATATATATATATATATATATATATATATACCCATGGAATACTGCTCAGTCATAAAAAAGAATGGAATCATGTCTTTTGCAGCAACATAGATAGAACTGGAGGTTTTTCTCTTAAGCAAAGTAACTCAGAAACAAAAAGCCAAATACCACATGTTCTCACTTGTAAATGGGAGCTAAATAATGTGTACACATAGACATAAAGTATGGAATGATAGACATTGGACACTTGGAAGGGTGGGAGGGTGGGAAGAGGGTGAGGGATGAGAAATTACCTAATGGGTACAATGTACACTATTGGGTGATGTTTACACTCACACAATGTATCCATGTAACAACACTTCACTTTGTTATCCATGTAACAAAACTGCACTTATACCCCCAAATCTACAAAAAGTTTTAAAAATTTTTAAATAAAAGATGAGCAATGAACATTTTTTTAAAAAATGGAGCATGTCTTTAGGTCTTAAAGGATGTTGATCTATAAGCCAAAAAGGTGGCATTGCCACTGCATTAAATCAGGCATCCAGTGAATGGCTTTTGGAAGAAAAGTTTCATGACCCCTGACTCCCGAATTACTGCATGATTGGTATATGCCAGGTTGCTTTTGCGCATTATCTTACTAACTTTTTTAAATAGCTCATCAAAGTATTACCATTCTTATTTTCACAAAGTATAAACTGAGGCTCAAAGATACTAAGTAACTCACTCAAGGTGATCTTCTGTGAAGGGTAGAAGAGTTTCAGAAGCCAAGGCTTATGGTTCTTCAGTACCTGATCCTGCTGAGCTCCAATGCTGTCACTTAGTAGACAAGCTTTGTCTATAATAAAATTTGAGATGAGACCTAAAGCCCTTAAGTGATGGAACATCAGGAAGGGTTTTGATAACATATAAAATGGAGCTAGGAACACTCTCTGGGTGGTAAAGATTAAAAGTGTTGGTGGATATGAAGCAGCCAGCCGTGGGCTCAGCACATCATGGGAGCTGGGGTAAAACTAGGTGCCTTTCTCACATCTCTGCTCCCATCCCCCCTGCCCTTCTCATGCTCTTTTCTTGATCTTCTTAGGCCTGAACCTGTCGTCTTTCTCACTCCATACTTTCTTATTTCTCCCTTTCCCATCCTCTTTGCCTGCCTTCTTCTACCCAGCCTCCAACTCAGGGCCATGGTGATGGTGGCACAGGCATGGTCTCATCCTAGATTAGATTCTCCTGCAGCCCAGTGGCTATAGGACGCCTGAAGCCACAAGCTTAGTTGGGTGTTCATTTTGGAAGATGAGATGAGAAGGAAAACAAAAGAAGCTTCTGGAATGGAACCTCAAGGCACAGGAGCATCTGCAGGGACACAGCCTTCTGTCCTTAAAGTGCTTAGAACCTCATCAACATTCAACTCCCCTCCAGGATTGCCCACACTGACGTGGGGACCTTTTGGTTTTGAAAAATACAGGTCACATTTATAGTCCTTTCCCCCCAGGAAAAAAAATTGGTTCCACCATTAATAACAGTGTGTCTCTCTCTGTATGCCACACATGTCCTTGGTCAGGCTAACGTTCTTTCTCGATCCTAGATTTCTAATTTGACCAAACCCTTCAATCCAGCAAACACTGAAAAAGCACCTATGATGTGCCAAGGCTTTTCTAGGTGCTAGGGTTACCAAGATAAATTGGACACATCCTTGCCTTCAATGAGTTTATTGTCTGGGGTCAGAAGAAAGAGATAAGAGGTATATGACAGACAGATGCATGATCAAAACCCAGAAATCCCTGTAGAAATGTTATATAAGGTGTGTGAGATGCTACGGGAACCAGAATGAGGAACAGCCACAGAAGGCTTCATAAGAGGTGACATTTGAGGTAAGATTTAAAGATAATTAGGAGTTCCATGCATGGAATGAAGGGAGAAGGGAAAGGTGGTTCCGGTAGAAGGAACAGAGAGTATGAAAATGCAGCCTCCCCAGATTTTAGGGCTTACGGGAGGCAGACAGAGGAAAGGTTGACTGGAACCCAGTTACAAAAAGCCTGGAAGGCTTTGCATTGGAATTTGAACTTTATTTAATCATACTCAGATGGGGAGCAATCAGAGTTGTGTCTGTTCACGTATTCTCTTTTTTCTTTAACTGAACTCCAAATAGGAAAAAAAAATCATAATTCCTCCACATTTTTAACTCAGCTGCTTTTTAGAATGTTTCAGGCCTCACCCAGATGCTCACTTGCTTTTTACGAAATGGGATCTATGTTACTTTTCTCATCTTTTAAACATTTATTTTCATGTTGCTACTTGAGCTTTATAATTATCATTTTAATAGCTACGTAATAGTCCATCAATTATTATGCCATAATTTACAGAAAGCAGCATGGTAGAGTGAAAAGAACCAAGGGTTTTAGGATCAGGCAGACCTGGTTCAAATCCTCACCCTGAGATTTATCATCTGTGTGATCTTGGACAAGATTTTAATCACTCTGAACTTCAGTTTCCTAATCTATGAAATGGGTTGACCATACACACACCTTACAGGGCTACTGTGAGAATATAAAATTCGATGAATTCTGACAATGGCCTATAGGAGGTGCTTGCTCAAGGAATAGTAGCTTCCCAGTTACCTTTTACTGTTTGGTTGAGCTTAATGTTTTAGAAAGAAGGTAGATGGCAATGCAGAGGCTGATTAGATGGAGAGAAGACAGTGCCTGAGAGCTAGTTTGAGGGCTCTAGACCAATGCTGTTCAATAAATTAGCCACTAGCCCATGTGGCTGTTAAGCACGTGAAATGTGGCTAGTCTAAATTGAATGTGCAGTAAATACAACAGATACACTCGATTTGGAAGACAGCATCAAACAAAGTGTAAAAACATCTCAATTTTTATCTTGATTACATGTTGAAATTATAAATTTTGGATATATCATGTTAAAAGACATTATATTATCTTCACCTGTTTTTTTTAAGTGGGTACTAGAAAATTTAAAATTACATAGGGGGTGGAATTATATTTCTGTTGGACAACACTGCTCATGGCAGAGGTAGAGTCCATACAACTGATCAGATACTGGGGCGGAGAAGCAGGGAGAAGCAGGAGACAAGATGACTCCAAGGTTGGACAGCCAAGTAGGTAGCAAATCTTTTCGTGGCTTTAGGGAAGATAGGAGAGTAGACAAGTTTATGTTTGTATAAGCAGGTTGTTAATGGGTGTCCTCTGAGCAGTGACATAAAAGGCAAGGATTTGGTTTAGACTAGAGTAACTGTCCCTGCCTTCCTTATGAGTTGGCCATTCAGGCTCCTTCCATGTCACATACTGTACATGCTTTCATTCCAGCACAGGCTTGTTAGGGACACTTCTTCCCACTCCTATATGCTTACAGCCCACATGGCGGGCTTGTCACCAGGTTCAGAGCATACTTGGTGCCCAGAAGCTTCTAGAGTGAAAGATTACTGACCAATGTGCTCTTTGCAGGGAAGGTTGGGAAGAGCTTGGCTTCTCCGTGGTGCCCTCAGAGTGCTCCAAGACTGGCTTGCCAGAGAGCTCCAGATATCTCTGCTTGCCCTTGTGTGGAGCTCTCCTCTGTAAACCATGAAATATGCTGGGTCACAGTAACCTAGAGTAGGGCTGTACAGAAAAAAGAAATTGCAGGGAAGCTTCCACAGGGAGGCTAACTGTTCACAAAGTCCCGTTAGACCCAACTCAGTTGTGTGTCTCCACCGACTCTGGCTTTTCTAAGATTCCAGGAGTCATCAGGGAGTTCATACCGAGGACCAAGGAGCTGAGGCTGGCTTCCGGATAGCATTTCAGATAACTGCATGATACTTAGGTTTGAGAGCCAGGAATTGAAATTGTACCTGGCCTCTGAAATAGCCAGTGTACCATTCCCTGCAAAATTGTTGGGATATATGGCCTTGGGTTGAGCTAGGAAACTAGAGATTGATGATGCATCTCAGCAGTGGGTAAGAACAGGGAATGTGGAATGTATCAAGCTTGGAAGGCAAAAAACAACAACAACGAGCACAGTGTCTGCCTTGGTTTTAGCAGTTTCAGCTGACTTAGCCTACCTGGCTTTGGTACTGGAGGAGGGGATAACAAAGGACACCTGTGAGATACTCGCACCACTCTGTCAGGGTTATTGCCACACATACAGTAGGAGCCTTTTGCTTCTCCTAAAGCCATTTTCATCTGCCCCAACCCTGACTGTAGTTGTCAGGGAGCATTCCAAGTTGTTTGTCACCAGTAGTAAAACTCTAGGAGCATGTATTCATTCAGGAACCATTTATTGAGCTCCTTCTATGTGTTAGAAATACCATAGGATTAAAGTTTCAACTATAGGGAAATATATGAAAGTTCTTTTAATTTTCCTTTTTTTCTATCCTGATTTAAATTTGTGATTTTTTACAATCACAGAACAAATAGCTTTAGGCTTTACAACTTATAAAAACTATCCTTTGAGGAATTCTATCATATCTTGGTTATGAATTTTATTTTTGCTGCAAAGATGGGAGAAGTTTACTGTGTTTCCTTCCTACATTCCCTGCTCCTCCTTCCTTTTTGAGCACTGGCGGGGGAAGATGCCCTTAGACCTCAGGGATCCCCAAGCCTGACTTCCAGCAGATATACTTGTGACAAGGCCCACCCTACTGGACAGCCCACTCCCGTAATGCAAAGAGGCGCCTAATGCCCTTAGCTTGGCTGTGGCAGACCACACCTTCACCTCCTTCTCAGCCAGAGCCAGATGAACCAGAGGAGGAAATGGCCCAGACTTGGCAGGCTGGTGCGTCCTCTGCCCCTGTAGGGGTTTATTTCTAAAGTGGTTTCATCCCAGCACCACATCTGTGACTTCTCAAGGCCACTGGAGAGCTGAGAATTGGCCACAGGCCTGATACCCCAGGAAGGTAGATGTCACTGGCCTTAATGACCTTGTATTGACTGGGATTGAGATAGGGCTGGAGTGAGGATTCAAGGGACAGAGTCAGAAATACCTAGGCATAGGTGGCTAAATATGAAGGTTTCTGTCCCCAAAGGCCCTGATGGTTGGGTGCTCTTCCAGAGACCACACTCACCCACCCATACTCCCTTACACATGTGCACAGACTCAAACCTGCACACATCTGCACACACAACATCAAGTGTTCCTGGCCCTGTGTGGATGCTGCAGCCCTCTCCCCCTCTGCTCTCCCGGGAACTCCTACTTCTCACTTCTCCCCAGCCCCCAACACCACCATGGCAGTCCTCACACCTAACCCCAAAGTCCAGCCTTTCCACCAGCCCCAACCTCTCTAGATTAGAACTCTCTGGGTACCAGGACCTTTTGAAAGGAAGAAAGAAAGAAAAAAGGAGGAAAAACAGAAAGAAAGTGGGAAACAGAAGAATGAAACCGGGAAGGGGCAGTGGTGCCTTCAGCTATCTCACTGCATTACAATGAATATGGACTCTATTAAGCTCCGTTCTGCCTGTTAGTGTTTCCCGGGGCAACACAGCCCCCATATGGCAAGCATGCAGCAGATTAGGGTAGGCCCCAGGGCCGCATTGAAGGCCAGTGGCTTGACTGGCAGTTGAACCCCCTCCCCACCTCCCCCTACTCCTCACACTTGACACTGCCTGTGTTTATCTAAAGCAAGGAGGGGGGTGCCATTTGAAAGGTTTTTGTCCTGACTCAGAGAAGGGAGGAGGAGGAGGCTGGAGGCAGGGTGGAGAGAGGGAGGTTGAGGGAGGAAGGAAGGTGGAGGTGGGGTAGAAAGGGGAGAGGCGAGGAGGGAAGGCTTCATAAATATTCAAGAGGAGCTCTGAATGAAGAGAGAGAAATAAAGCAGATGGAATTCGTGTTAAAGAACAGCACAATCACCCTGTTTTGAGCCCTCCAAAAACAAAAAAAAAAAAAGAAAAGAGAACGGCCTTCTAGGAGTGTAGGAGCTGCGTTTATCCAATTAGCAGGGTTGTCAAATTGAATTTATATGAAACAGGAGTGGGGGAATTGAGCCGGGAGTGTAGAAGAAAGGAAGTGGTTTTCCTTTTCTTTCGGTCTTCCAGTTTAGCAATAAAACCCCCCACACTGTGGGTAGATTTGTAGATTTTTTTTGAAATCTCTTAAAAGAAATGAGGTCATTTTGGGGAAGAGGTATGAGTGACAAAGAAAACTCCCCAGTAACTTTTTCCTCCAGTGCTGGAGCAGGGAGAGGATTAGACGTGTTTTAGCAGAAGCTCTGTGGGCAAATCAAGAGATAAGACCTCTTCTCCTTGACTCAGATGGCAGAGGTGGCTTCTCCTCGGAGAGGTTCCTCCCCGAGGAAAGATGCTGTATCCTGGCTCCTTCCCTTTCTGCTTGCCTTGATGGTGAGTGGAAATAGGCTCTGTTTGTTAGCACTTTGTTATAAATTCTGGGTTCAGTGAGAGGAACCCAGGTTTTGCTAATCTCCCCAAAATGCCACTTTGATTATATATTCCCTTGCTCAAAAACCATCACTAACTCCTCTCCTTCTGTGGTATGAATTTTAAACTCTTTTCTCTGGTCTTCCACAGTAAGACCCAATCTCAGTGTCCTACCTTGTCTCTTTTCGTTCTTTTACGTAAGTCTCCAAAGTGGGGTGCAAGTGCCAAGGGGAAAAAATATAAGCAATTCCGTTGGAGCACTGTAAGATAACAGTAGAGATTCCCTTAATGTTTTTTCTACCTAAAAAAGGAATAGGAAAGAAATTCAGCTTTGCTAATATTTAATATAGGGGTTGGCAGTGGTGCCTTCGGTCTGTACATGAGGTTGTCATGTGTCACAACAGTGTCCCAGGCATCTCCATGGGTAAACGGCTTGACAGTGTGGGGGCCTCACTCGTTCATTCACTCCCCAGTTTTCCTGTTCTCCCTTAAGTGGATTTACAGATTATATTATTTAGTTTAACTAAATTAACTCTCACAAGAGGACAAGTGGCTTAAAGAGATTGCTACAAAGAAACTGGGTTGAAGAGAAGGCTGATAATCCAAGCACATGCAAACAGGAAGAAAACAGCAGAGCTGACCCTTTTCAAGCCACAGGAGGGAGTAAAAACAATGATAATGGAATCACTTCTGATGAGAAGTCAACAAAATAATTAACAGTCAAGCAGACTATTTGAAAGAGATTACACCCATATCATTAGTGATGATACTAATCCTAAATAGGCGTTCTGCCTTAAGGTATTAGCTAATGATATTTTAAGACAATCATGGTTAAGGAGTTATTAAAATATGGTTTCATTTTTACCTACTCTTTTTAACATTTTAGTTCTGCAGTGCATGTGTTTGATTTATAAGTAGAGAAGTATGCACATATTAGGGATGTTTGCCCGGAATATTTCACTCAGGCGGTCGTAGGATTAGGGAAGTTTGGAGACCACTGTTACAGATAAACCCAACTGTTTGGCACACCACCCTCCCCACCCTGCAAACACAAGACTAGCATTCCCACCAAGTCAGTATCACCTTCCTGCTGTGCCCTCATCCCCCTTGCTTGTACATACCTCAAGAGGCCCAGTTTCAAATCCCATTTCCAGAACACCTTCCCTTAAGACCTGAACTGAAAACTTCTGCCTCTGCTCTCATTTGCCACTTCACATTGGTGACTGAACTGATCAGTGAAAGTATTAAAGAATGCTAAAGTTGTTACAGGAGAATAATCACAAAATTTCAGTGGTTTTGTGCAACAAACCTCTTCTCATGTCACATCTTGAGCTAATTGCTTCGATCTTATAGCTGTGCCTTCTGAACCATGTGACATATGGTCACCAGACTGGTGAGGCAAAGATGGAAGCAGCTGTCAATCTCTTAACCGCCATGGCCCAGTAGTGACACGTGAAGTTCACTTACACATGTTCATTGGCCAGCACTAGTCACATGGCCCTAAGCTCACTGCAGAGGAGGCTAGGAAATGAAGAGGAGCTTGTGGATATTTGCTGGGTGCTAGTGAATTTATGTCCCAAATATTGCTTTAAGCTCCTAAGGACTGAATCCATTTTCTAATACTCACAGTACCTTGCATATTGTGTTGTATGTGGTAGAGTATAGCAATATTTTTTTCTTCCCAGTAATATTAATAATTAAAAGCCAAGGCACACATCATTTGTTAACAGAAGACTCATTCACAAAATTTGGATGAGGAATAAGGTAAAATATACTTAGAGGCTGGCTAGAGCATGACTTATACTTAAAAACATCAAACCGTTGTTTTTTTTCTCCCCTATTTGACATCAGAGTGTTCTGGGTAGATGTTCCAGATATTAGTCTAGAACTGTGCTGTCTAATGTGGCAACCACTAGCTCTGTATGGTTATTTAAGTTAAATTTAAAGAAAATTAAAACTTCAGTGTCTTAGTCACATTAGCCACATTTTGAGAACTTCATAGCCCTGAGTGGCTAGTAGCTATCTAGTGCTTTAGACAGCACAAATATAGAATATTTCCATCATTGCAGAAAATTCTACGGAAGGGGCTTATGCAATGAACAGTAGGAGATTTTTATAGATTAGAATGTATGATGAAAGGATAAAAATGATCACACAGAAAGTTACTGTTATAGATAATGATCCAGGTAACATTATTCTTATGTATAAGGAAGTAAATTCAGAAACATTCTAAAATTGGCTTTGAAACCGTTTCTAGCCAGTTGATTAAAGTGGCTCCAGAAACAATTTGCTAGGAGGTAGTGTTAAGATAGTAAAAGGAGCACTGGACTAGGAGTGAGAAGACCTGACTTGTAGCCCAAAGTCTCCCTTCTGAATTAGCTGGGAGACCTTCTACAAATCACTTAGACTCATTCAGCCTTGACACATTATTCATAACACTCAAAACACATTAGGCATTACTCTACGATACTTGTTTATTTTCTCTGAGGTCCCTCCGAATTAAAAAAAATTTTAATTAAAAAAATTTTTTAAATTAGGTCTGTGTGTCAAATACAACTTTTTAAGTAAAAATGACCTTTGTTTTTTGTATATATTTAAAGGTATACAACCTGATGTTTTGATAAGCTTTCTTTCTCTTTTTTTAGAGACAGAGTCTTGCTCTGTTGCCCAGGCTGGAATGCAGTGCAGTGCCTGTCATAGCTCACTACAACCTCAAATTCCTGGGCTGAAGTGATCCTCCTACCTCAGCCTCCTCAGTAAACCTTTCTTTCTTAATTCCTTCTCCTAAGTCTATCTAAACTCACATATTCAGCCCTCTGAAAATTAAATTCACTTATTTCCCCAATATTTGCTTCAATGCCTCTCTTCTGTGCAGGAGTACTACCCTCTTTCTTGAGATAGGGGGCTGCCAACACTTGCACCCCAGACACTTGGCATCACCTTCTAGGAGCAAAGCTTTCCCTGCCTTTAAGACAATTGGGAAAGGTGATTCTTACTCTAGAAAACTGGGAGCATGCAAAATGAAAAGTAACTTGGAGCAGGATTTTTTTCTTTTTCATGTAGCTAGTCCCTCTCTACCAATGGAACAAAAGACTTTGTCAGATCGTATTCTTGCCACTTGAAGAATGTTTTTAAGAAAGTCTCTTTGTGCTATCTGCTACATCACACTCTCTCCTATTCAGCTCACCTTTGTTATTGGTCTTAGGACATCCAAAGGGCATGTTTTGTGTTTTAGATCATAGAAGCTTCCCTTTCTGACAGCTGCCGTGGCATGGGCGTCCAGGGGATGAGCCGACGGCTTTTTGTGGTGTTCTCACTCTTGATCCAGTTAGTCAGCCAGCCCTCTTGGGAGGAAGTGGAGCTGGCCTCCTCCTGATGATGATCGACTCTCAGTTGTTTGTAATTTTCTCAAAAAATAAATACTCTGAGGCTACAGTTTCTCAGGATTGGTCTTAACCCCAGAGTGTGTTTTGTTGTTGTTGTTTTTGGAAAGTTTCAAAAACATCTGTTTGGAAGAGATTATTTCAGTGGAGAACATGTGTGTCAGCAGTTAAATGTTTCAGACCCATTTTCTTTCTTTTTTTGTGTGTGTCCAAATAACCCTTTAAACTGTCAAGTACCTAGGCCTCAATGAGGTGTCAAATGATTTTGATATTTTTTTCTTGATTTCTCTGCTTTGTCTCAGAAAATGACTAAGGAAAATAAGAAGGATCTTAGATATATTTTGCATTGCCAAGAAAAATAATAGGCCTTACTGTTGCCTTCACCCAACTTTGAAATTGTACTTTGTTCATTTCACAATGGGACAACGTTACACTGCAATTAGGTTCTCCAGCTTAAGCGTTACTTGCCTTTTTTCCCGAAACATTAAAATAAAGTTCTCAGGTAACTGAAATCTCTAGAATTATCTTTCTAAACCAAACTCACTAGGTAACTTGGTTCAAAAAGTAACTCACTTTCCCCAGATACTAAATAAAATGCATCATTTTATGTATTTATAATTTTATTTATTTATTTATAATCATCATCCAGTGACCAAGCCCCCCAACCTTCCCCAAACATAGCCATATTTTTTGGTCATAGTTCTGCTTTTACATGAATGAGACCCCACGCATCCTGTTTTGGGGTCCTTAAAATGGTACTTCTTACAACTGTGTTGTGGGGCTTAATGGGTTAACTCCTTTCTCCCTCTCTGGATACCTGCACCTTCTCACTCCCTCTCACTCCCAATTCTTTTCTCCTTGTTGTTTTTGAAAGCAGGATGGTGGCTGGCAGCAGCAACAGGATCTGTTTCCATTTTGAACCTTATAAATTACCGAGGGTGCAGAAGTAACAGGAATTGTTTGGCTGGTCCTCGTTAAGCAGGAGAGGGTCTGGGCTGAATTTCCTCAGTAAAATATTTGTTGCTGTTACAACCCAACACCTCCGTAGCCACCGTGTGTTCAGATAAGAAACAACCCTTCCATTCCTCTTTGTCTGCTTGTCCTCTTTTGCCCTTCATTACTTTATGTTCATTTTCTGTCTCCCTACCTCCCTTCTTCCCTTTCTTCCTCCCTCCCTTCCTTCCCTTCTTGGGGCATGGAAGGAACATTTGCTTTCAATTTCCTTAAGGGCCTGGGGAAATTGGGGCATGACTTGAACAAGCTAGTTCCCTAAAATCCCATAACTGGGAACTCATGCAATGATCTATATAAATACCTTATCTCATTGGGGAAAAGCAAATTAGAGAATTAAAGCAAGTATCTGGAAAATTGAGAGGAAACCAAAAGCTTACTTTTTGGTGTAAACTTTCCCTCTAGAAATCACTGTTAAAATGTCCCACTGTTCTACATCAACTCTGTTTGCTAAACACCCACTGGTTTCAGAGCCCTGATAGGAAAAAAAAAAAAAAAAAGGGAAAAAGGCTACTATTGTGATTAAAAAGCACAGAGTTTGGGAATCAGCCTAAACTGGGTTTCAATCCAGGCCTACTGTTATGTGATCCTGGGCAACTTCACTTCTGGAACTCAATTTTCTCTCCTGTAAAATGGGGATATAGTCGTCACCTTGCAGGGTTGATGAGAAGGTTAAAGGAAATACATTGTGTAAGAGCTTAGCGAGTTCCTGGAGTAGTGGCAGGCACCCCCAGCTTTCCACCACCACAGCCCCTCCCAATTGTACTCACATCCTTTGCAGCTTTCATGAATTTTACTTTGCCAATAATATGACCCTTTGATTTACTGGATTGTTTGAAAAAGAGCAAAAGCTCTCTCTCTACACCAACGGGAAATTATCTTAACTTGCCAGGAAATAACTTTTGAAAAACTTCTTTAAAAATGTTCTTTCAAATCCCTTTTAGAAAACATCCCCTTGTCCTATCCCAGAGTAGTGCTGAAGTCTTGTGAGTCCTCTGATGTCAAAGTCATGAGGCAAAGGGAGAAAATACAAACCATCGGGAAAGAACTCTTGGAAAACATTCTGAGCATCCACAGAATGCTAGGGGCTGGGGTCCTCCATCTGGTTTGGAGGGGTGCTCATTGGGCAGTGTGGATATGGCCCTCCTCACTCCCTCTGCAGCCAGGCAGAAAGCCAAAGGACCACAGGTCTTGGGGAAGGGAAAGGTTTAGGTTAATCCGAAGCACTTCCCAACACAGCAACAGTCCCCTGTGTCAGGCAAGTCGGGTGTCTCCTGTTTCTTACGGCAGTCTCTGCAGGCAGCCTGAACTCTAGGACTGGCCAGCACAACACATCTCTCAGTTGAGAAGCTTAACTACTTCTGAGTTTTAAATGGTGACTGTAAATCTTCGAGAGAGTCTCTGGTTAGGTAGATTGATCTAGAAGAGTTAACATTTTGAATGTATGTCACACTCCTAGAAATATACTATTAATATTGCCACAGGTGAATGATCCACCGTGCAGATCACTGGAATGTTGCCTTCAACGTTATCCGAACTCATTTCAATGCCTCCCTGCCTAATAAGGCTGTTGATACCCCATCCTTATTTGTTAATGTTCTATAAACCCATCAGTGAAAAGCACAGAAGCAAAATCTTTGTTTTGGCTGTGACAGAAGTGTGTGTGTGTGTTAGAATATACACTTGCCCATGTGATTTTGATAAATCTTGTAAGGACCATAGCTTAAGAAAGGCATAAAAAATTGTGCCTTCTGGAACAGGAGATGCTACTGTTCTAGGCAGAGAGGGTGACTGATAGCTGAGGTGTGTTGTCAGATGGCTGGAGGTGCAGTGTGGTCTGAGCCTCAAAGCAATGTTGTTCTGGGTGGAGATACAACTTGGGTAATCAAGAGTGTAGATTTTGTAGAGACGGAAAAGTTCAAAATTTTCTAGCACCGGGAGCAGAGAGAAGTGGGAGCTAGTGAGTGAAGCGAAAACAAGGCTCTGTGCCCTGAGAAAGTGAGGGGTCTTGGCTGGCTTATGACTTTGGGCTGTGTTTGTACCTGTGGGAGTAGATGTTATGGACAAGCTGAGGAGAGCAGGGTGATTGCAGGAATAAAAGGGAGTTTTCAGGGATCTAGGCATAGAGCTGGGGTGAGGAAAATCAGAGCAGGAAATATTTCATGAGTCACTGAGATGCTAGGATTCATTCACTTAGTAGCATTCCCTGCAAGGGCGTTCTGTATGCATCACACACACGGCACTGCTGTCCCACAATAGTCTGCACTAACCACATGGCAGGGCACATGGCTGTGACCAGCTGGCCTTTTGCAAGCAAATGGTAAGAATAATCTCATCTGTTCTAGCATCTGTGCCAGATAGTCACTGTCCTGTGCCATGGATATGGCTGCAGGCCTCAGCCTCTCTGTATCCTCTGCCCCTCCTCCTCGTTGCTGTCCATCCACTGGGCAAGACTCCAGCATTCTTACTACAATAAAATCACCTTCTAGCTAGAGAAAGAGCCCTAGGGGGCAACTTATAAGAAGCTTCTTTTAGATGAGAAATGGCACTATAGTGTTCTTTGGTCTTCCAGCAGCATGACCGGGTCTCTAGTTTGAATGTTGCCAACAGGGAACAAGGGACAAAGCCAAGCCCTGTGGCCACCACAGGTGCACCCCAGGCATCCTCATCATGGCCATTGCTCTCCCTTTCTCTCTTACAACAGAGTGTTGCCAGGGACGGCAGTATCTCTTTGTGTGACCCTGGCGGCTTATGGGACGTTGGCTTCAGACCTTTGTGATACACCATGCTGCGTGGGACGATGACGGCGTGGAGAGGAATGAGGCCTGAGGTCACACTGGCTTGCCTCCTCCTAGCCACAGCAGGCTGCTTTGCTGACTTGAGTGAGTGCTTTCCTTCCCTTTCCCTGCCCTTACAGTCAAATGGAAACATTCCGCATTCTACAATAACTCTTTAAAAAGGCCTTCTTTACCTGGATTTCAAAGAACACTTTATTCCCATTGGCCTTCAGGGACACAAGAACACAAGATGAGACATGATCACAACAACATCATATTGGTTATAGTTTGGTATTTGACTCATTTCAAAGCTATACCGGAGGAGGAGGAGAAGTAATAATAATAACTGCTTTTTATTGTGCACTTACTGTACAGTGTCACGGCAGGCAATTTACACATATCGTTTGCAAGACTCATGACAACCTTGTGAGACAATCAATATTAGCTTCATTTTACAGGTAAGAAACGGACACTTCACAAGGCTAGAGTCACATGGCTCAGAAGTAGTGGCACTGGGATGAGACTCAGGTCTGTCCAAATGCAAAGCCCAAGCTCTTGCCTTTACAATACATTCTCACTCCACATCTACTCTCTGGGAACAAAGGCAGGTTGGGAAATGGACAAGAGCAGTAGAGTCGGAGAAAGACCAGCTTCTCTGGTGGCCACTTCTGGAAGACTTCCTGGGTGCAGTGCTTCTAAAAACGTGATGTTGTTTTCTTGGGGGCATCAGTTCATTGCTGCATCCCTGTTCTTCCTCCAGACGAGGTCCCTCAGGTCACCGTCCAGCCTGCGTCCACCGTCCAGAAGCCCGGAGGCACTGTGATCTTGGGCTGCGTGGTGGAACCTCCAAGGATGAATGTAACCTGGCGCCTGAATGGAAAGGAGCTGAATGGCTCGGATGATGCTCTGGGTGTCCTCATCACCCACGGGACCCTCGTCATCACTGCCCTTAACAACCACACTGTGGGACGGTACCAGTGTGTGGCCCGGATGCCTGCGGGGGCTGTGGCCAGCGTGCCAGCCACTGTGACACTAGCCAGTGAGTCTGCTCCTTTGCCTCCCTGCCATGGTGCGGTCCCTCCTCATCTCTCCCACCCTGAAGCCCCCACCATTCATGCTGCCTCTTGTTACTCTTAGCATAAAATGGGCCTTAACTGCAGAAATGTCAAATCAGAACAGTAGCTGCCTAGTAATGCCCAGTGATGGGGGACCCTTGTGCCCTTGGAAAACCTCACTCCAAGTAGAGGCTGTATCTGGAGTGAGTGTCTACAGAGAGGGGAATTGGTCAGTGCATGGCAGAACTTGACATGGCAGAACTGTTCCGTGGGCCCCAGAGCAGGGCCGTGCCGTGCCTTCCTACTTGGTCATCCTGTGGCTGTAGGTGCACTGTCCCAACTGCTCACACACCTTCCAGTCCCCTCCCTCCATTCTCACCACAGTTACAGTCGGAGCAGGGAGAGACAGGACACCAAGAGACATGGGCAGGGCCACGTGTAGTCTGGACAGAGCCCACCCAGCCCAGACTTGGCCTCCTGTCTCTCTGTGAGGGGCAAGCATAGTCCGAAGGCCTGGATTATAAATATTAGAACATAATGAAAAGGAAACTGTGTGGCAAAGGGATAAAGGGATACAGAGAAAAGAAACAAGGAAGAGATGAGGTGACAGTTTGGACCAAGGAAAATGCCAAGAGAAGACTTCACACTACCTTTTTTTTTTCTGGTTTTGCCATTCTTTTATTCATGTTGTTACACTCAGTATAGGATAGTTTATTAAAATCATTATGTCTGTAGACATTCTATTTGTGATATAGAAATTGTGTTATTTCTGACCTCTATTTTTTCCTATTATGTGACAAAGAACATAGGTCCTCAGACCAACATGTGGAAACCAAGGGCCAAATGGCTTCTAAGGTCCCTCCCAACTGAATAATTCTGGTAAATTCCATTTCCATGTGCTCACTGACGGATGGTCCTAATAACCGCTCTTATTTCTTTTATGCTTGTGAAAGTCATAGTTTTTACAAAATTACTTGAGGGTGTATTATAAAGATTCAACAGAGCAAAGTAAAGGCCAAGTGACTTGACATAGTCATAGCTGGAAGAGGAGCCTTACCAAGACAGGTGTTTCTAGTTGCCATTATACTTATTCTACCTTATGAGGACCCATTGTATGAGGCTAGATGGAAGTGAGTAAACAGACGTCCTACCTTTGCATGTGACTGCCACTTGGTGTGCTGTGTCCCAGGCGCAACACATACACTATCTGATTTTCTACTCATTGTATGTATGGGCACGTGAGACTTGATGGATTCAATACACCACTGAAGGCTGGAGAGCACCCCTGACAGCCATTCTTATATGCTGAGCCTGTGGCCAGGAAGCTTAAAGAACTGCCTCCAATTTGGCCCCTTTCCTGGCGCCTGAGGTGTAGAAAATAGGGAAACTTGTTGAGACTTTAATGGTATGTGGATTTAAACTTTGAGAAGATTTCCAGGGCTTGTTCCCTCATGACTCAGCAGCACCCCGTTATCCCTGAAAGCCCTGCTTTGGGCATCCATGTCACCATCATCATCATCATCATCACCCTTGTGGATGACGTGCTTCCAGGAGGTTGGCGGTGCTACATCATGGGGCTTACCTAAGGCAGCGAACTTTTGAAATGCCCCTCTATCCAAGAAAGCTGGGGTCCTTGGGGTGGGTGAAGCTTGAGTCCTGGGAGGAGAGTAGGGAGGGATGGAGAAGCAGTAACAGAATGGAGGAAAGCCCCTACGTGCCCTCCAGTCCCCAGATCCCTGGAGGAGCTTCACTCTGTGGGTCAGTGGAATGGAGGCTGCCAGGATTCCTCTTTTCTTGGGACAGTCAAGCAAGGCCTGCCCTTTTCTCAGAGGGAAGGCAGAGTGTGTCCTCAGCTGTCTCCCTGAGGAGCCAGGCTGACACTGGGCTGCATCTTGGAGCCCCCCTCACAGTGGAGCCACTCCTCTTTGTGGCAGAAGGGTCACCCATGGAATCTGAGTGCCTGGCCTCGGGGAGCAGCCTGTGAGTGCTCAGGGAGGGAGGCAGGCCGTGGGTGGCTAGAGGGCCCTCCCTTCCAGCTGTGCTTGTTGGGCGGGGGCTGCTATGAGGCTTGGGTGTTGAAGGTAGAGGGTGCAGAGGGGTCATCTCATCACGTCAAGAAGGGCTGAGGTCAGAACTACGTTTCCTATCATTGTACAGTTCCCACCTCCACTTTGATATTTCCACATTATAATTGCATTATAGAATGTTTAGGATATATATAAAATAATCTCTCATAAGCCTGCTATCTTCATATAACCACCACCATCATTTTGGAGTATACCCTTCCAGTCTTTATCCCTGCTCATATTTTTAAGTTGTAATGATACAACAAATATACAAGTTCTTTTCTCTCTCTTGATGTTGTATGATAAGCATTCTCCATTGGCCATATGACCATGTTAACTTTTTTATTGAGTATAAAATGCATACCAGGTCTGGCACATAGAGATCAGAGATAATTATTACAATATGGCTTACACCTGTAATCCCAGCACTTTGGGAGTCTGAAGCAGGAGGATCATTTGAGGTTGGGATTTTGAGACCAGCCTAGGAACAAAAATTTTTTTTAAAAAAATAGCCAGGCGTGGTGGCGTGCACTTGTATTGCTAGCTGTCTCGGAGGCGGGAGGACTGCTTGAGCCCAGGAGGCAAGGCTGGGGTGAGCCAGTCTCTTACAAATGAGATGTGGCTTTTTTGGAGACCCTGTCTCCAAAAAACAAATAAATAAAATGCATACAGTAAAGTACACAAAGTGTACTAATCTTAAGTGAACAACTGATAACATTTTTCATGTACATCCACCCATGTAACCATCCCCAATGTCCCCTCATGCCCCTTCCTAGTTAGTCCACCCTCCCAGCCCCCACCAGTACTTATGATCGTAATTACTAGTGGTCCTAGAACATCTACCTTCTACCCTTTTCCTGTTGCTGGACAATTAGGGCCTTTCCAGTTGTTGATTATTGCAAATGAGATGCGCCTTTTAGCAATGCGTGTGCCCTTAAAGAGCAGCACTGCTCATTCAACAGGGAGGTTTCATCTGCAAATGGGCAGCACAAGTCTGTAGAGACTCAAGACCATAACCATTCATTTGGCCTAATTAGGAGCCAGGCTGAACCTTTTATTGTTTGGGAAAGGGAGAGTTGGAGAGTGGAAGATTTATCTTGGAGCCTTCCTTCTGCTTCAAGGTGTATCTGTGTGAGGAGAGACAATTTATTAGCCTTCATTTTAAAAATATTCCTGGCTGCTTCTTCCTCTGGTGCTTGAGGGGATCTGTGGTTGGCAGAAAGGACAAAGGGAAGTGTTTGGTTGCAACCCAAGAAGGCACAGTAAGAGAAGAAGGGGCTTGTGCAGAAGCCGAGCTGGGCTTATTTGAAAGCCAAGAACTATTGGCTTGTCATTTAGACATGAATCAGAAGGCAAAATGTTTGGGCCTGACTAGAAAGAAGAAGTGCTGAAAGTTGAGAGAGCAGGCATGGGGGGCTGTGTCATGAAAAAGAGGGAGTTGGTGGAGTGGAACTGCAAAGCTTGGAGGAGGCAGCAACGAGGTGGCGGGAAGGTGGGTGGGGGCAAGTGAAAGGGGTGCTGTCTTTGGGTTAATGCCATTAGGGGATCTGGCCCAGACGCAGCAGTAGATTAAGTTTCTGAAAGCACATTCCTGAGCAGAATAGGGGCTGTGTTTTGCTGGTTGGCTGATGTATGAGGGAGGCCAAGTGGTAGACGGGATTACCGAAGGCACGGTCTGCATTTAGAGGAAAGACTGGGCAGCGGCGTGCCGGTGCACACGCATGCACACCCACACACACTCAGCATGGTAGGCTTCCTTTTCCTCTGGCCTCTTCTCCACGCTGTCCCATGTTCATCCTCGCACAAAGCAGTTGCTGTCTGGCCTACCTGGCAAGATGCCACCTCCTGCATCCACCCTTTAGAAGGGTCATGGGGCTATAGGTCATGGGGCTTAGGACCAGGCTTGAGGATTCAGGGGTGGAGGGGAGGCCTCTAGCAGAATAATTTTCTGGTCCAGTGTTGGAAGCTGGAGGGTCCACTTGTACTTCACCCTGACCAGGTGACATCATCTTTTGATTTTCGGTAAAATGGAGCCAGAGGTCAAATCAACTGAAGAGTCTCACCTGCACTCTCTCCCTCCCTCCACCCCAGGTTGTCCTGGCCATGTGGGTAATGGCTGCTGCATGCTCTGTGGAGGTGCCCATCTCGCTGTCCTCTGAAGAGTTTTTTATTTCCTATTTAACCTAAACTTTAAAAAAAAAAGAAAAACTTTCTTGCTGCCAATGCCCTGCTTCAGATCATCTTGTCTAATTCTTGGTTTTTGAAATGCTTTTAACTTTGAACTCCTTCCTTTCACTTCCCTTTCCCTTTTCACAAGCCTCACACCAGGCAGCCAACCGCTCTACACAGCTCAGCTGTTCCCAGTCTGCTCCTGAACCAACAGCAGACCCTGCCAGGGAGCACTCCACTCCTTCTTACTGGACCCTGAGTTCCACCTCAGGCCTGTTCTCAACACAGTATGGCAAGGAGTCACAACCGACTCATCAGAGCTGGCAGTGGAAAAGCTGTTCTCAATCCCTTACCTCTAACAGTCAACCATTAATAATTGTTTATTTTTAACTTTTAAGATTTTTTGATAATTTTATTCTCCCAATTCTCCCATCATCCCTAGGTCCCACTGGTAGCTGGAAATAAAACAGGTGGTAACCAGGTAGCTACCTATAATTCTAAACTTGGGAATTTTAGTCCTCAAGTTAATGTGAAGTCTTAAGCTGCAGCCGGTATAATTGAGAACAGATCGGTCACCGCTCCTTAAGGCCTCCTAGCGCCAAGGCCAGGCATATACTCCTGAATGGTCCTGTCTCTGGCATCAGAGATCAGCAGGCAAGGTGGCTGACAAGAAAGGAAGGAGTCCCCCTCGCCACTCAACCTCATGAATCTCTGACTTTGAGAAAATGTCCAAAGTGACCAGGGGCCCTTTGTTACCATAATTTAATTTAACCCATGAATAAAATGAAGGGCCAAACTGGTATAATGGAAAAAACAAGAAGCTAAAAAAAATTTTTAAATTCTGGGTTTAAGCCTTAGCTCTGCCATTTAAGTGTTCCATGACTTTGAGCAAATCACTTGGTCTTTAGACTGACTGCCACAGCTGTGAAATGAACACAGTAATTACATCACCAGTCTCATGGGTTTTTTGAGGATAAATGGGAGAATGTATAATATTAGTATTTGAGAGCATTTTAGAAATCCCAGGCTTTATTTGTTCGCCCATGTGGTTGTCAAACATTTCTGGAGTGTCTCCTTTCTGGAGGCTCTAAAGCCCGTGTCCAGCCCTGTACTGCCCAGTTCCATTCTGGGAGTGACCCTTAGGAAGACAGTCCAGAGGGTGGCAGAGCTTCCAGTCATAACCAGAACCAATAGAGGGCTGGCTTCTTATAAAGAGAGAACTAACCCATTCCTGTGACTTTCTTAGTTCCTTATATACATGTGCTCTCTAACTCAGATTCCCACCCCAGCCGCCTTCAGGAGCAGCCACGGTGTCATGGTGCATTGTCAGTGTAGCCCGCAGAGCTGCTCACTGATGCTCCTGTGGGTTCACTGCTGCCCACTCAACTGCTGCCGTATACAGACAGCTGTTGTTTTGCACTGACAGGCTGGGCTGACCCTGGCCTTCAGCATGGTGAATCTTACAAACAGAAGCTATGTCTCTTTGCTCAGCTCCCCTAACCGCTAATTCCCATCACACACTTCACTAAGGTCACCTAGGTTCTGACTGTGAACTAGAATAGTCCATAGTCCATTAAGGACCATTGTAGCGATTTCTTTCTTAAAATATTTCTAGCTTCCTTTATCTCTGTATTAGGGTTCTCCAGAGAAGCAGAACCAATAATACATATATGTGTGTGTGTGTGTATATATATATGTATAATATATTTAATTTTGTATATGTATAATTATATATTATACAAAGATTTATTTTAAAGAGTTAGCTCATGCAGGCTGTAGATTCAGGTAAGAATTGATATTGCAGTCTTAGGGTAAAAGCAGGAAACTCAGGCATATTTTCTGTGTTGTGTTCTTCTCTGGAAAACATGTCTTTGCTATTAATACCCTCAATGATCAAATGAGGCCTATCCCCACTAGGGAGGGTAATTATTTTCTCAAAGTAAAAGATTGTCTAGCAAAGTTGACACATGAAATTAACCATCACAGTCCCCTACTGTCCACCTGAAATACACCACCTGCCTGGAGTTCTTTTGGAATATGTCTCTTTGGAGACAATGTGAAGAAATTAGATTCTCCCTAAGTCCAGCTCCCAGAATCATTAATGGCACCTTTAGACGGAGATGTTTCCACGCTGCCAGGACAATGGTTATTCCTTAACCTTTATGGAGCCATGAGCTCCATTCAAACCTCTGGATGCTTTGGATTTCAACCTTGGGTGGAGCTGACCATTGGAAGATGCAGACACAGAGACCCTGTTGCCCCAGCCCCTACCAGAGATGCATTCACTGGTTGCAGAAACAGCTTCATGAAGTCCTCTCACCTTGGCAGAGGCATATTGTTTGGATTCTCTTTGGCCACAGGTGTCTCAGAGCAAAATTGTGGTTTAATTTGGGCTATCTTATTAAGACTATCCTTTCCTAATTTTCCCCTAGTCTTGATTTTTAAATATATATATAAAACCTATGTCTTGATTTTTTCTCAAGATTTTTTTTTCTCAACTCCTCTGTGAAGTGTAGGGGTGGAGAGGATGAGAGAAGAAACAAGCAAGCAAGAACTCAATTAATAAAATAATTTATCTTTCATTTCCAACAGTCATTATAATTTTCTTCCCAGAATATATTTTCTTACTACAATTAACAATCTACCTCTTTAATTTAATTTTGTCCTCAATACCTTACAACTTAATGCATTCTATTTCTAAAGGCTTCTATTAAATAAGGCAAGACCAAAATTCATGAGTCCCACTTGAAAAACAGCAAAGCACTCATTCTCCAGTGCTGACTCCTATATTTGGATGTTTTGGAGGTTGGTGCCCTAAGAATTGGGAACATTTAGAATTTCTAACAGAGCACAGTAAGATCTGGTCCTGGCCATTGAACATCTCTCAGTCTAATGGAGAAGGTGGACTTTGTTAACACATTAGTCATAAAGCAAGCCAGCCCCATGAGTTGCCCGCCAGAAATGTGAACAGATTTTAATGGGAGCTCGGAGGCTAGCAAGGATTCATTTCCATTTCAGGGGATTGCGGAAGACTCAGCAGTTGAGCCTTGAAGAATGTGTACAAGACAACCTTGATTTTTAATTTCTGAGTCCTCACATACCTTTCTCAGACCTTTAAAAACCAAATTCAGCTCTTAACATTGTGTATTCAGACCTAGGCCCAGTTCAGTTTCTCGGATGGCACCGATACTGCCATAGAAAGTTTTATTTCCATAGTGAGATATTTCCATGGTGAGCTCAATCGAATTCTTAATCTAGCCACCAGGTGATTGTCTCTCTCTCTCCATCCTGTTCCCCGCTCACCCCATTTCTTAACTGTTTCTCATCTCTTTTCTCTTTGGGTATGAACATTTTCTGATTAAGAAAGAAACTTAGAGTGTTTTTTCCAGTACTCCCCACTTCCGCCCCCGTCTGGTTCAGTTAGCCAGTGACTCCCTGACAAAACAGGAGGAGCCATTCGCTCCAAATTGGAAAAACATTTATGTGTTGGCTTGGGCATCAGGGAATCCTGTACAAGCTTTTTGCTTTGGGATGAAGGGATGGCAGTGAGAAGGGTTGTAGGGAAAGAAAACACAGGTGGCTTCCTAAGCTGCCCCAGGAGGGGAAGGAGATTTGCAGCTGGGGCAGAGTGTGAGCCTGCTTTGGCTGGGAGAGACAGAGACAGCTCCACACAGGGGAATGGAGTTGGAAAAGGAGAGCCAGCTTGAAATTTAGTTGTTCCATACCATAAGTTATGTGTATTTTACTTTGACACTTGGGCAAGAAAATTATTGAAAGATGGCTGAGATCTAAAAGGTGCCTGAGCAACTTGAGCATCTTAATAGGAAATGAATAAGGAATACCTTATAGCTTTAGGACAAAGTTACATCAACGCTTTCTGTTTTCTACTGGATGCAGGCAGAAATTAATAGCTCACTAGAATTATCCCTGATATTCTGGTGAAATCTTCAAATGGCATTGGCTACACTAGTCCTATTAGCCCTGGTGCAAGTACCCAGACAGATCCGTGGTGTAAGTTCTGCTCAGAGCATCTTGGCAGCAAATGTCTGCCCCAAACAGCCAGGAGTCCCATTCTATATTTATCAGAGGTCACTATTTACCAAACAGACCTCAGGTTCATAGTGCATCTTCTACCAAGGACACCCTTAAGGACTCTTAACCCACTCCACCCTTGTCCTCAATTCATTCTTTGCACTCACAGCCAAATGCTTAAATACAATACTGGGTTCATTTTCTAAGCTAAGAGAAAAGGGAAGGGCTGTGTAGTATGTTGATTCAGTGAGCCAAAACACAGTTTGAGGAGCCTTTTGCACCAGAAGCCAAGGGAAAGATTGATTTGCCGGCTTGAAATCACTGGACTCCTTTAAGGAGCATGGTGCAAGATGCTTTCTTTAGAACAAAAAAGAAAACCAAGAGAGCAAATGAGTCCTTGGTTCCCTCATTTTTTAAAAACAGCTTCACACCTCAGCATCCCCTGTTTCTCGTGTGTGTGTGGAAAAGTTGAGCAATTTCTACTTTGACTTTGTTTTTAGACTTTCAGCCATTTTTGGAGTCTGGTAATAATCTTGAGCTCTATAGAACAGTGAGTCTGTCCTGCAAATAGACGTAGTGTTCACATCCAAATTAAAGGATGATCACTTCATAATGAGAAAAAATGTAAACAAAAGGAAAAAAACTTGCTGAAGTAGAAACAGCATTTATTTTCCTATAGGGAGAATTGTGATTAATAGTGAGGTGCTTACAGCCTTTCCCTCAGGCCCACTTTCCATCGCGCACTTTCTCCTAGCTTTCAGAATGGTGGTCCCTCAGCTGGCAGCATCTTCCTCTCCATCTCCGTCCTCAGAAAGTTCCCACCTCTGTTGGGTTACTAATTCCTTCTCAGTTTTCAAGACTCAGGTATCTTCTCTAGGAATGTTTCTTGACCCCTTCAACTTCCAAGTCTAGAGTAGGTTCTCTTCCCGGCTTCCTTAGTACCTTGGGTTTGCTTCCACAGCCCTTTCTTGCCTCTCTATCTGGAGGGTAGGAACTGTTATTATGCATCTGTGTCCACAGTGCTGTCCACGGGGCCTGGCACACCATAGGCCTTCTGTGAATGTCATGAAAGAGGAAGACTCCCAGATAAAACATGTTTGAGGTCTAGAAGATGAAAAAGGGCATACACAGGGTAAATTAACAATTTCTGAATTTCCTTTTCAAATTCTGATATATTTAAAGTTTTCAAGAAGTATATAAGAAAGGATAAAGCAGGGACTCAGGATACAAAGAGGTTGAAGATACAAATGGATTCAAGAAAGACTTAGAAAAATTGATGAATGTCAGAAGCATAAAACAACATTGGAAAGAAACTGAGATGTTTGGAGGAAATTCTGGAACCTCAGGGAGATGCCAGTGAATTTGGCTCCATGACCTAACACAGGGGTCCCCAACCCCCAGGCAGCAGACCAGTACCGTTCCATGGTGGTGCATGGCCTGTTAGGAACAGGGTCACACAGCAGGAGGTGAGCGGTGGACCAGCAAGCATTACCATCTGAACACCACCTCCTGTCAGATCAGCAGTGGCATTAGATTCTATTAGAATAGAATAGAACAGAACAGAACAGAACAGAACAGAACAGAACAGAACAGAACAGAACAGAAAGAACAGAACAGAACAGAACAGAACAGAACAGGTTTTCACCATTCAATAGAATAGGGTTCACCATTAGAGGGTGAACCCTACTGTGAACTGTGCATGCGAGGGATTTAGGAGGTTGTGCGCCCCTTATGAGAATCTAACTAATGTCTATTGATTTGAGGTGGAACAGTTTTATCCCAAAACCATCCCCCCCAGTCTCCCCACCCATGGTCCATGGAAAAATTGTCTTCCATGAAACCCGTCCCTGATGCCAAAAAGGTTGGGGACCACTGTCCTCACATATACCTCAAGGGGCATTTTGGAGTGGGTGGATGGGATTGGTGCCACCGAGGCTGATGGGAGTATGCAGTTTCCAGGTGTGTGGGAAGAAAAAGCAGGCCCCACTGCCCCGTCTCTCCCACCTGGAGTTCTGTTCATCACAGCCACACCAAAGTGCTCATCCCCATTCTTTCTCTCAGCTCCTCAGCCTCCGCTTTCTCTCCTCCCTCTCTTCTTGCACAGGCTGCCAGCCCTTCCAAAGCCTGTGCCAGGATCCAGCTCTGGCTCTGATGAGTCCAGACCACCAGGACTCACATTAATTTTCCCACTGCTAAGTTTATAGTTTGTATTTGGTTGATCAGAGAAATATGTGTGATGTGGGTTGCTGGCAAGTAAATCTTTTTTTCCTTCTGCTCTTTCTTCAGTATATTTTTTTTCTAACTATTTCATTCCTTCATCTAGTCCAAAAGAAACTCCCCAGTTCTGCTAACCAGCCCTACCTCAGAGCGGCCCTGAAGTCGGGTAGATGAGATGGTCTACAGACCAGACATCTGTGTTCATCTGGCTGCCAGACCCAGTGGAGACATGGCTCCATCCTTGACTTGTCTTTGAGGATTAATCGCATTTCTCGTTCTCTTATGTCTTTTTTAAAAATGAAGTATTTTTAATTGGTTCAAGCCAAGAAATTCCTGAAGCCTCAGGCCAATTCATTGCAAATCATTTAATGACATTGCAAAATAGGTTCTTTTTAGTCTCTCTCCTTCTTCCTCTCCCACTCCTCCCTTCTGGCCTGCTTTCCCCTCCTGCCCACCCCCAGATTTCTCTCTCCTGTCTTGACTTTGATTTTCAGCCCTCATCCCCCAGTCTCTTTCATCTCTTCCCCAATCCCAGCTTTCTTCCACTGCTCAAATCTGGGTGTAAATCCCACCTCAACTGAAAGGAAAAGAAAGAAACAAGATTTAACAACTAATGTGCTTGGCATCTACAAAGGTTTGTTTTTTTTTTTAATTCTTCTTCTTCCTCCCCATGGAAACTGTTTTCTTTAAATAAAAAAGAGCATGCCTTGCTTTCATCAGAAAGTGTGTTTGAGAAATTTCATGTCATGTTTCCATGGTTGTCAGGAGAGAGCTTGGGAGCCAAAATTATTTGTGCAATTGGACAGGCAGAAAAAAATCCCAAAGACAGCAAACATATTTATCCAGTCTCCCTGCCTGCAAAGGGAGGAGCAGTACTCACTCTGCCAACTGTGTTTCTAAGTGTCTCTGTAGATTACAGTGTTGACTTAGGCTGGAGTGCTGGTGGAGGTGGTGAGGACTACGCTGGAGAACACCACGCTTGTGAATTATTGTGTCCTGCCTTGTCTATGTGATTGAAAGCTCCCTGTGGTTAGGAGCTATGTCTTTTCTTCTTTGTATTTTCTGCAGTGCTTGGCATAATAGACAATTCTGCAGCACCTGGCTTGCTAAATGAATGACTCAATGATGACCAGAGGGATGGTATTTTACCAAATGCTGGTTTTGTCCCGCTTTGTGGGCTGCAGGGGGTCTATGTGCCAGGGCTAAAATACTTAGTCACTACCCCAAATGCATGGCTTCTGAGATGCCTGCCCAGCCCACAGTAAACCCCAACCACTCACCAGGTGCCAGGCTTTCTGACCTCATGAGAGCACAATGAGGCTCCAGCCTTCTGTTTCTGTAGTTGTCCCACATCCTCAGCAGAAAACTGCCATGGCGTTTCACTTGCAGATCATTTTATTTCAGAGGAATAACCTTGGGGTCATGCCAAGCTATGGTCCCTCAAGTGACTTGGGGGTTGAGAATTGTGTTGGGACTTTTTGTCCATCAATGAAGCAGTTTGGGACACAGGAGAGCCCCCATATTGTCCAGGGGCAACATAGTGAGGAGTGTCAGGGACCCTTTGTCTTCTCAGACTCTACAGCCAAGTCTGTCTGATAGCCATGAGCCAGAAGCTCAACCAGAGAAAACTCTTAGTGACTTTACTTCTCCTGCACCTCGGGTGTCTCTCAAAAAGGGACTGAGGTGCAGGGAAGGACCAAAGGATCAGCATGCCACTGAGTAGTGCTCCAGTAGAGCAGAATCCTTTGTGCCTTGTAGCATTAGCCACAGATGCAGCAAGCTGCCACAGGGACAAGTTGAGGCTTGGAGGTTGTGACAGTTGGGGAATAGAATTATCCATCAGTCCAGAAACCTGCCAGTGGCCCTGAGGCTGCTAAGTCATCCTGGCAGCATTGCCACATGAGCCCCATGCGGTGCCCCGTGACCTAATGGATCCCATCCAGACCTCTGTAGAGGAATGCAGGCTTGTCCTGTGATCCCCAGGAACAGGCAGGAGGGTAGGACAGGACTGTGCATGAGAAGTACCTGCAGGGGTAAAAGGCCAAAGTTTCTTTAAGCATTCAGCAGAGCTCATGGATATGGGGATATTGGTAACTCCATGAAGCATCCAGCGGATGGTGGCGTCTTACTTCTCTTCTTACTTCAAACAGAATCGAACTTCAATTTGCAGCTTAAAGGAGAATGCAGGAGAAGATTGAATGAATAACTCCCTTGGAAGTGATTGATAGGTTTATGGATTACACCTGGGGCATTTAACTGAGACCCAACACATCCTGTAGTTGGACACGTAAAGTCCATGAAAATTGGGGGATAAGCTTACAATTAATATTTGACAATTTGTGTTATGAGAATGCATGAACATACACCAAATACTGTAATTTAATTCATAGCTCTGCCAAGCCTTTTATTAATAAAGGAAAGATAGAGACTAGAAGGTGGTGAGAAAGAAATTCAAGAGACATTCAAGATAAAATGTGCCAATTTGCGGTTTCACATGTGATCTGCTGATGGCAGCCACATCTATGTACCTTTGACAGTCTAATTTGCTTTCTGTTTTTCCCATAGCCAAAAGGGTCTGTGCCTGATGTGCCCTTTGAATGTGAAGAGAACACAGAGTACATCACATGATGTGTGTCTGAACACATCCCTGTAGCCTCTGTGTTCAGACAGCCTACAGAAGTGATGTATCAGAGTGTACGTATTCCCTTTGGAAACTGAGCTCCCAGAAGGAAGGAACTGGGCCGGGTTCTATATGGAGCCTAAAATATCATGGGCTTTCTCAGAAATCACAAAGCTCTGTGACAAGTAAATAAGGTCAGTAAACTCAGAGATGGCCCCAAAGACCAGGACTTCTGACCTGTTGGGAGCTGAGAAACAAAAGTGGGTCTACTAGCGTTTGATTAATGCGGACAAGTTAATGAAGTAGCTGGAAAATGCACAAAGAGAGGATGCAAAAGAAGGGTGCGAGGGGAGGGAAGGTAAGAGGATTAAAGCTGCAAAAACATTCCTCTAATGGATTTCTCAAACACACCAGCCAACAGGCAAGGGCAGGTGTCCTGTCAAACCATTTCCCCATGAAACCTGATCCATCTTTCTGCAGCGGAGGCCTGCTAACCCTATTTGTAATTGAAGGGCCTGTCCCTTATTTCCAGTGAAGCACACTGAGCAGCCTAGGGACTCGGCCAGGAAACCAGCTTTGCAGACAAAGGGGCCTGGGAACAGGCTGGTTTCCTTCATATGCGCCAGCTAGAGCTCCTCTCTGCATCTGCCCCATCTGATGGCTGGTTAGGCTCTTATTGATCATGAACTCCCCACCCCTCCCTGGCCCCCTTCCTGTCCAAAAACACTAGAGAAAGGGGTCCTCTGATTTTCAGATCATTCATCACTTCATTATTCTGCCTTTGATCCCTTAGTGAAACTCAAGTTTTACTCAAGCAGCCAAATTGGGAGTGTTTAAGCTAAGGCTTAAGCTTAGGAGGCACGGGGGGAGGGGGGATAGAGGGTAGGAGGGACAGGGCCAAGGACCGAACTGCTGCTTATTTGTTTTGAAGCCAGGAAGGCTCGCCTGCCAGTCGCCCCTTGTGGGGAGCTGGATGTCCAGCTGGGGTGCCCTCGGTCCTGCCTGCACAGGCTGTTGTGCACATGTTGGCATCAGAACAGAGGGGCTGTCTGGCCGCATGGCTGACCAGTGCCCAGCTTCATGCTCCCCCACTGCACAGCCTTCTGTCTCCAACTGAGCAGCTGTCAGAGGGTGCAGCAGGAGCCAAGAGGGGATTAAAAGAGACAGTGTTTTCTACCACTGGGTTGCTGAGGTGGGTGCCTGGCAGAGTGCATGCTCCCTCCGTGCCTGGATAAGCCCTCAATTACAATGGGCAGGAGCCTGGGGCCATGAAGATGGAGATGGCATCCTGGTGCCAAACTCCTTTCAGTTCCTTACATCTTTCTTGCAAAATGATCTGCTAGCTTTAAGTATATTCTTTGCTTAAGGCAAATTTCCTTGGAATGAGGTGAAGAAAAGGAGGAGGAAAAAAAAAAAAGAAACCTCTTGGTGGAGTAGTTTGGGACTTATTCGACCATGGAGGAGAGTGCTTCACAGCGCCTGAGGAATTTTCCAGATGCCCCTGAGCTCACAATCACTCACAGCTCACAATCATTCACAGCTCGCTTTGTGGGGAGCCTCCTGACTTGGCAGGTACAGGGCGCACTGGCCTGAAGGAGGATTAAGGCCTTTGCATTTTTTAAGTGAATTGCTTTCAGAAAACAAAGTTACCGATGTTTAGCTAGAACATGTTGAGCTCAAGCAATTCCTTTCCCATAGTCCAAACCTTCCTCTTCTCTGAGAGAAAACTCATTAGCTATCTTGGCTGAGAGGCTCAGCCAGGACTGGGCTAAATAATTTGTGGGACCAAATGCAAAATGAAAATGTAGGGTCCCTTGTTGAAGCATTATTAAGAATTTTCAGATGATGAAAGCAGAGCATTAAACTGGGTGTTACCCCATCAAGTGCAGAGGCAGGTTGCACACCCATCAAGCTGGCCTTGGGCTCAGCCTTCCAAACTGTATTTATTTAGCAAGGATTTAGAAAGCATTTGCTGTATCCTCAGTACTATGCAATAGAACTTGGGGTTGGGGTGAAGAGTGAAAAATTAATAGGCTTCTCACCAGGAATTTATCGTTTAGTTAGGCTCAGATATCACACACAAAACATTAAATAATTTTGAAATCATTATTTAAAAGCCCAGGAGGCCCTACACTTACCCACAGGAAGGAATCTATGAGAGATCTCGCCTTGACCCGCAGGCATCATGCTTGTTCAGCCTGGAAAGTGAAATGGGGCAATAGAAAGGAATCAGACAGCCAATCTCTGTTTTTTGTTAAGTTTTGTGTGTGTGTGTGGGTACATAGTATGTGTGTATATTTATCAGGTACATGAGATGTTTTGATACAGGCATGCAGTGTGAAATAAGCACATCATGGAGAATGGAATATCCATCCTGTCACTGTTTTTAACACATCACTCCTTGAATAGCATGTATTTCTTACAGCACATTTATTAGACCCATTTCACTTCTTTCTTCAGATCCCACATAACGTCTCAAGAAACATTGTATTTGCAAAATAGCTTCCATTGGCCACACTTAGATATAATGTTCACAGAACATTTGTTATGCTAGGCTCTTGTCTGTTTGTTCAAAATGTAGACCAACTTCAACTATGAATTTATGAGTTCAACTATGAGTTTCTAGGCAGCATAATGGGCATCTTGTACCTAACTCGTGGGGCTCAGCTTCCAAGATATTCATTCGTTCATTCATTAACATTCATTCATTTATTCATTCAACACTTGCCAAGTGTGTACTTGGGCCAGGACCTGGGTTAGGTTCAGGGGACACAGACAGGAACAAAACTCGGTCCACGCCCCTAAAGAGTTCATAGTCTAATATTGTAATCAAAGGGACATCAATCCTTTCACAGAAACAACAGGGCTTCCTCCCCTGTGTTGGCTTGAATTGACTAAGAGTTGCTGGGAAGTTCCATTACGTGGGAAGCCTCCTGACCTCACTGAGTACCTTAATCACCAGGCACTCCTAGGGTGACACCAGTTTGTTTTTGGTCATTATCTCTTGTCTTCTGTGAGAAACCTGATTCCAGCCCTCTCTGGGTCTCCACTGGAAACAACAGCAGAGGCAGGTGCAGTCTTGCAGTGAAATTGCAGTCAGTCCCAATGCTGTCAGTCCCGGGAGCTGAGCAGAATTTGGTGTGGCCAGTATTCGGAGAAGGTGCCTTCAGGGCTTTCTGAGTACCTTTAAGAAGAGAGTGTCTGGGTAAAATATTTCCATCTGTCTTATACTCCATTAGTTTTATTTCTCCTCTTAAATTCAGCTATAATCCTGAAAACCAGATTTCCAGCTTGGAATGCATGCAGTTTTGTTGTGCAAGTGGTCCCTGTTTTACTCAGCAACATGAGTGATTTGTCTCATACAAAGAGAGATTTGTTGTTTGGACTCTTGCATTGTTTGGGAAACATTCTGCTTTTATTCTAGATGAATCTCCATGCTCTCCCAGTTTAGATCCCATGGTGCCAAGCCAGGAGAGATGGCTATGGGGCTGCCAGAGACCACAGTCTCATGTTAGGACCCTGGCTCCTCCATAGTCCACTGCCATTAAGCCACCCTAGGGTGCTGCCTGTTGTCCTGGCAGATTCCTCTTTGTCTTAGAAAACCCTTAGGGTATCCAGAGTCCTGCCCCCAGCCCCAAGGAAGGATCCTCCGTGAAGTGGGGTGTGGCTCCTGAGCAGCAAGAATCAGCCTTCTGGTTATAACCATGGCCGGCAACCAAGTGGAATCTCAGGCCTGTTACTTGTCATCGTGGATGCCTAAGGAGAACCTGGGAAGGCTGTTCTTTTTTTTTGAGACATAGTCTCGCTCTTTTCGCCCAGGCCAGCGTGCAGTGGCGCGATCTCGGCTCACTGCAAGCTCTGCCTCCTGGGTTCATGCCATTCTCCTGCCTCAGCCTCCGAAGGCTGTTCTCAATCAACTTGGAGAAAAGACATGAGCATTCTCTTGTATCGTTCCCTTCCATCTCCATTAGTTGAGCCTGCTGACAGCTCTGCTAGGACATTTGTACTTTGACCCCCCCCCATTTCTGGGGTGTAAGCAGAGCCAACTTGCCCCCACATCTCAGTGTAACAGATGGTCTGAGCCAGAGGCACCCCTTGATGGGATTCTCTCTGCACCTTTCCCCAGCTTGTATATACAAAGTGAACCCCATCAGTGATGAGGGCCCCACATTCTTACAAACTCCTGTAGACAACAAGGGGCTGGAGGAAGAACTCGGAGGATCCCCTGATATCCCCCTAGGTGTGAGCTTTGTCATGACTGACAACACCAAGGCACAAGCCCACCCTGAAATGTCACACTTTTGCTCTGCTGTCCTCCAACCAGCACCTTCCCTTCTCTTCACAGATCTCCAGGACTTCAAGTTAGATGTGCAGCACGTGATTGAAGTGGATGAGGGAAACACAGCAGTCATTGCCTGCCACCTGCCTGAGAGCCACCCCAAAGCCCAGGTCCGGTACAGCGTCAAACAAGAGTGGCTGGAGGCCTCCAGAGGTGAGTGGGCAGGAGCCCAGAGGCCAAGGCTGAGGCCAGAAGGGAAGCTGGCCTCCTCCAACCGCTCGCTGCTCAACAAAGCTAGGGCAGCTGCTGCTGTCTCCCAAACCCCCCTCAACATGCCAGCAGCCCTGTCCTCATGCTAGCCAGCTGTCCTCCTCCCCTTTTTTTCCTTTTAAGAGACAGGATCTTGTTCTGTCACCCAAGCTGGAGTGCAGTGGCACAATCAGAGCTCACTGCAGCCTCCATCACCAAGGCTCAAGAGATCCTCCTTCCTCAACCATCTGAGTAGCTAGGACTACAGGCACACGCCACCATGCTTGGCTAACTTTAATTTTATTTGTTACAGAGACAGTCTTGCTATGTTGCCCAGGCTGGTCTAGAACTCCTGAGCTCAAGCAATCTTCCCGCTTTGGCTGAAATTACAGGCTTGAGCCACCATGCTTGGTCATGTGTTCTTTCTTGATATTTGGTCCTGTAGGGTCCCAAAGCAGGTGGCTTCCATTATGGAAGTCCTCTGTCTTAGCATGAGGAATTTCTTTATCCTTTCAGGCTCCAGAAGATATTACTGAGATGCTGCTGTTCCATCCAGGCTCTCAGCACATGGTTCTGCATGCTGCCTGGGGAAGCTCTGTGCCTCCAGGCACACACAGGAAGGCTGCCTAATAAGCCCATTCATGGAGCCCCAGGGTTCCTTGGCAGGAGGTGGAGCTCTTCCCCATGCAGCAGAGCAATCTTTATAGTGGACTTCATTTTTCCCTCTCCCCGTTTGCATAGTAAATGCAGTTATCTCAGCTGTCACAGCTCCATGCTCAAGCCACAGTGGACAGACACGGCAGCAGGTCTAGGGAAGCCAAGACTTGGTCCACAGAATGCCAGAGGGGAAGGGGTTGTCCCCGAAGTCAAAGACAGCTTCTTTTCACAACTGACCCCATACTCAAGGCCAAGTAGACCTTACTTGACCTGACTCCACAGCTCAAAATGTACACCTTTTAACTGCTTGAGTCCAGGAGGCTAAGGTTGTAGTGAGCCAAGATCATGCCACTGCACTCTAGCCTGAGTGACAGAGTGAGACTCTGTCTCAAGAAAAAAAATATATATATATACCTTTAAAAATATTCTATAGATTTTAAGAGTTTTTATCAACTCTTTCTGGTTATGAAAGGAACATATGTTCATTATAGAAAACTTAGAGAATACAGAAAACTGTTTTCAAAAAGGTAAAACACCTAATCCAACCACTCAGAACTAACTGGAGACTAGGGGAAGAAGAGCATTAATCCCTGCTGTCCCCAGCAGAAGGTTGGCAGCAGCCTCTGGGAGAGGCCTGCCTGTCCCACCAGGGCCAAGGGTTTCTCCCACTCCATCTGGCACTTGCTAATAAGCAGCTCATACCTGGGTGGCCCAGCAGCAGGCAGGCACCAGGCTTGGCAACAGCACGGCTCTCAGGAGGGGCCACCAGGGCAAAGCTCAGCACTGATGGCCATAGCTTTACCTGCCAGGAAGCCAAATGCCACCCGAGTTGCTGGGGTGTCCAGGAGCTGTGACTCTGCCTCCTAGCTACAGAATCTGAACACCCGTGAGGCACCATCCCAGGGCACCTGTGGACCAGGAGCAGACAGAGCCTAACAGGCCCCTGATGTGGAAGAAAGGATTTCAGTGGCATTCATGGGGAGGACAGTGGTTGAAAGTCAGAATATTCCTCTCCAAGTAGCAGAAATGCAATAATGAGGCGATTCCGAGTGATGGCTATGACTGGTGGGAAGATTTGCTCATCATTTGGGAAGGGAGAATGATGGGAAGCTCCAAAATCAATTTCCTCCTTCCTGGAGGCTTGCAGGAATGATCTCATCTCTCATGTGTGCAGCCTGGGCCTCTCAATCCTTACAATAGCCCTGAGGCAGCATACATTAAGCCTTTTTACAAATGAGGAAACTGTATCAGAGAGATTAATTAACTTGCCCAAGATCACACAGCTAATACCCAGCAGACCCAGAGTGTGAGACCATGGCTGATTCCAAATCCTGCTTCCTTTCTAGCCTCCCTTAGCTCCCTTTAAAGTATAAAATGCTCTTCTATTGACCTATGCACTAAGTTGTGGCAGTTAGTCAGTCAGCCAGTCTGTTAGCTGGTTGGTTAGTTACCTTTTCTCTCTGGCACTCTGTCCTGCTTGTTGCAAGGTTTTATGGGGAGAACGGCATCTTAGGCTTTGTCTTGTGGGGACTCAGGTGGACATCAGCTCCTAGTGCCTGCCCAGCCTGTTCCTCTCCCTCCGTGCACCTCTCCTTTGTGGAAGCTGCAGAGTGAAGTATTCTGGACCCATCCCATCTTCCCCTGGCCCTGCCCTTTCCACAGGTAACTACCTGATCATGCCCTCAGGGAACCTCCAGATTGTGAATGCCAGCCAGGAGGACGAGGGCATGTACAAGTGTGCAGCCTACAACCCAGTGACCCAGGAAGTGAAAACCTCCGGCTCCAGCGACAGGCTACGTGTGCGCCGTAAGGCCCGGGCCCACCTGCTGGGGGATGGGGGATCACTGATGGAAGGGCTCACAAAGATGGAAAGGGAGGTAGATACCTGGAGGTGCCACATCCAAGCTCCAGTTCTGTGTGCACTGGCTTTGGCCAGGGGGACAGCCAGGGGTTCTCAGCCAGGGATTCTCTCCCCTCTGGCCGGCCTCAGGGCCAGCATCTCACAGCACACAGCACCAGGCGACTGCCTGCTGCCACACCTGCCTGATGGGAGGTTTCCTTCACGGTTACTTTGCGATTGGGATGGGTCAGAATGTGTGTGCTGGGACAGGACGGTGGGTCTTGTCTCAAGCTCAGCAGCGGACACAGCATGTGCCTAGAACAGATGGCCACGTGGGAGGCCTCCAGGCTGCTGTTCTGCCCTATATGAGGTCCCTGGGCCTGCACTCTCTGCACTGATGAGGTGTGCCCTGCACCACCCTCTGGTGAGCTTCCGGGAGGCCCACATGCTCTCAATGCACAGGAAAACAGCAGCTACCTTTCTGTGCGCTTGCCTGGATCCCTGCCAATTCAAAGGAGTGACATCTTACACGGAGTTAGGCTTAGAGTTGGCACCAGAGATGGAATCACTGTGAAGCTAATGAAGTTAAACTTCCATCGTCTTTCACTCACTGACAGAAGCCTCACAAGGCCCTAACTTTGTATGTATCATTTTCCATTCTTTTTGGGGCCTCCGAAACTGTATAAATTTCAGGTTTTAGAAAACCTGGGTGTGTCCCTGGTTGGCATATAAAGCGGAATCACACATAGTCCCCTTGCTCCTTGAAGGTTGCTGAGGAACGGCACACATTAGAGAGTAAACAGGCCTTTCAGTGAGTTCTCTGCAGTTTGTCCACAGTGTTGAAAAAAGATTACAGCTTTCCCAGCTGTGCACCTGAGGAAGTACATAGGTGATTTGCATTTGGGGACCTTGCAATATGAGAAATGCATGTGTTTAAACAGTGGATTCCATTCAGCTCAGCCGGAGGCCGGCTCTGAGATGCTCACTGAGAGACAGTTGGGCCTGAGAACCATAGGGTGGGGTTGAGAGCATGGCAGATTCTTGTTTCCCATCTCATCTTCAGCCTCACAGCGCACATACTGAGTGCAAGCAGAAAGAAATATCTGTACCATTTAAACTGCCTCTACACTCCCTCACCTTTCTCTCTTTGCCAGCACACAGTTAACTGTGCATATGTTATGTTGATGCTGCTGTTCTTCTGTGTTATCTCATTTCTTACTCATAACAGCTCCCTGCAGAAGCAGTCCTTGTTTCTGATAAGGACACCAAGCCCCAAGGGAATTCTGTAGCACGCCCCACTCTACATAGGTTGAAAGACCCGGAATGGCTGTTTGATCCCATCTCCATGCTCTCTGGGACTGCCTCCTGGGCATGCTCTACAGGACATCCTGGTCCACACGCCTTCTGTCCTTGCCCTCCTTGCCCCTCCAGGCTCCACCGCTGAGGCTGCCCGCATCATCTACCCCCCAGAGGCCCAAACCATCATCGTCACCAAAGGCCAGAGTCTCATTCTGGAGTGTGTGGCCAGTGGAATCCCACCCCCACGGGTCACCTGGGCCAAGGATGGGTCCAGTGTCACCGGCTACAACAAGACGCGCTTCCTGCTGAGCAACCTCCTCATCGACACCACCAGCGAGGAGGACTCAGGCACCTACCGCTGCATGGCCGACAATGGGGTTGGGCAGCCCGGGGCAGCGGTCATCCTCTACAATGTCCAGGTGTTTGGTGAGTGTCTGCTGTGGACTGTCTTCTGCTTGGCCTTCTCTCTGGTCTGTGCAGCCTTTCTAGAAATGTAACCCAGGCTCACAAAGGGTTAGCATCTTGTGAAAGGCCACATGCTGAGTGAGGAACAGGCATGCTGAAGAGTCAGGGCTCTTCGGATCCCAGAGTAAGAGCACGCAGTCCTGGAGCCCTCCTGTCATGATTCTGATGGTGGAGACATCAGACCTCTCCTTCCCTCTACTCTGCCCATTAGGAAAAAGCAACAGCCAAAGGGCAGGGGAGCTGCTCCTAACTACATCCCTCCCAGCCCATCTGGCCCTGGGACAGAAAGACACAGCCCTTCTCACCCTGCTCTGGTTTCCTGGCAGAACCCCCTGAGGTCACCATGGAGCTATCCCAGCTGGTCATCCCCTGGGGCCAGAGTGCCAAGCTTACCTGTGAGGTGCGTGGGAACCCCCCGCCCTCCGTGCTGTGGCTGAGGAATGCTGTGCCCCTCATCTCCAGCCAGCGCCTCCGGCTCTCCCGCAGGGCCCTGCGCGTGCTCAGCATGGGGCCTGAGGACGAAGGCGTCTACCAGTGCATGGCCGAGAACGAGGTTGGGAGCGCCCATGCCGTAGTCCAGCTGCGGACCTCCAGGCCAAGTGAGTGTAGCCCAGGGGTCTGAGATTCCAGCTGATGATTCACTGAATCCTTTTCTCAAATGAAATCTAACTTGGAACCCCAGTATATAAGATAGAAAAAAGTAGCTTTTAGTTGTAAGCTCAAATTTATATGAACTTAATAAATCTGAAGTACAGATTTTCACTAATGAAAATAACCCATTTAATTGCTGTATTTTAAAAAAATATTTCTGTGGAACCCAGTTTGACAACCACCACTCTAGTGCTTTGGTAAAGAAAAGCCAGTCTGTCCTTCTCAGCAAGCTTCATTCCAGTTGGGGCCTATGCCAGCTGAGCAGTGACCATGCTCAACCTAGGGAGAGGTAATGGGGATGCAGAGCAACAGGGCAAAGACCCTGCCCTCGAGAACTCCCCTATGGAGACGAAACTTACCAGGGAAACAACTTGAGAAAAATACAGCAATGAATATAATACGATGCTAAGTCAGCATTATCGGGTGCCCATGTCCTGTGGTGGGGAAGGTCAGGTAGAGGAGAGACAGGTGCTGGCAGATTCTGTGGAAACCTCCTGAAGGAAGCACTGCCCCTCCTGGCCTCACAGACTCTCAGAGGACATTCCCAGTTGCGTTCATATCTCATATTCAGTAGGAAAAGGCCCACATGGTGCCGTGGTGTTAAAATTCCACCATGAAGGGACATGTCCCCACCTCCAGCCTAGACCGAGAAGGAAGGCGCAGGGTTCCTGGGCCTCGGGAGAAAATTGAGTTAGTTCACTGGAGATGCACCTCACGTGGATTCAGGAGTTTGCTTGCCATACCCAAGCCACCCCTGAGCCCTGGCCAGGCAGGCCAGCCTGCCTTTTCCTTCTGGCAGGACAGGGACACCAGCGCTGTCTTCCACGGAGCCTGGCTGGGCAGCACAGAGTGGGTGGCGGTACAGCTGATGGTGGGCCCAGGTTGCCTCTCTGTCTTCTTTCTGTTTTCTCCCCAGGAACAACAGCTCAGCAGGTAAACCAGGAGACTAACCTTTCCTTCTGCTTCCTGTTGGTCCTCCAGGCATAACCCCAAGGCTATGGCAGGATGCTGAGCTGGCTACTGGCACACCTCCTGTATCACCCTCCAAACTCGGCAACCCTGAGCAGATGCTGAGGGGGCAACCGGCGCTCCCCAGACCCCCAACGTCAGTGGGGCCTGCTTCCCCGCAGTGTCCAGGAGAGAAGGGGCAGGGGGCTCCCGCCGAGGCTCCCATCATCCTCAGCTCGCCCCGCACCTCCAAGACAGACTCATATGAACTGGTGTGGCGGCCTCGGCATGAGGGCAGTGGCCGGGCGCCAATCCTCTACTATGTGGTGAAACACCGCAAGGTATGGCCCTGGTGTGGGGCTGCTGCCTCCCCTGCACAGCCTTTCCAGCAAGGCTGAGCAGAGTCACTGTCTCTTGGCCATCTCCCCTTGAGCTCCTGAAGCCTGAGCCGGTAATCCCCACCACTAAACAGGCCCTTCTGTCTCCTCCAGTGTCCATCCCTGCCACCTCCCAGGAAGCTGGTTGTAAGATGGGTGTGTGGGACCCTGGAAGGCCCAGGAAAAAGCCTTGTGCGTGCATCCAGTACTAAGCTCTATGCACTCAATTCCCAGAAGCTCACACTGGCTTCTAGTCCCTGAGGAGACCGTGAACAGTCTCCCTGGTAACCATCACCCTCCTTCTTGCTTTCCTCTGTCGTTAGTTGTTGATGTTACATTTTGGTTTTTTATGAAAGTAAGCCGTGCTGGGTACATACCTGCAGGAACCCTGGCATGGTAAGCCAGCTGTAATGCCAGGAAAACAAATATTTGTGAACAAGTGTTTTCTCTGTAGGCTGTGAAACACCCGCTCAGTTCTCAGAATCTGTCATGGCTTGGGTTGGACAAGCAGGCATTTGAGCTCAAAGCACATCATGTTGTTCAGACCTCAGCTGTTTCTCCTTGACAGAAGGAAGTCTGTCCAGGTGAATGCTTCAGGAGCTGTCAGGGAGGGAGTCTCGGGCTCTGACAGGATGCGGGGGCAGAGCCCAGCCAGGCCTATGCTCCTGGACACTGTGTCCTGTGAGGCAGGGCAGGGTCCCCAGGCCGCCACTCTCGCTCAAGGCCGTGCTCTTACCTGCCGTTACCCCACAGGGATGAGGACATGAAATTCCCTGTAAGAAAATGTCCTTGAAAATGTTTTTGTTCACTCCAAGTATATGCCATTTTCTTTCTAAGGCCATTTGATAGTAGAAAACTATTATTCTTAAATGGTTTTTTAAAAATTGTATGTGATAAAAGCATATACATGCTGATTTTGCTTATAAAAATGCTATGTGCACTTGATGGAAAGCATATGAATGTGGAATTAAAAGTCTTTCTCCACTCCTCCCCACCTCCACAAACAAGCAAGAAAACAGAACCAACCCTGCACAGTGGAGAGCGCTAGCTGTGCGGAAGCTGTTTCCCTGCCTTGGAGCCCTGGCCCCTGACTCCTTCTATTCTGTTTTTTTCCCCTTACATGCTCTCCTAGAAGTCCTTGGGTCAGGACAAGTCCACAGAGACCCTGGGGTTGTCAGAAAGACACCTAAGGCAGAGCACCCCCTATGCTCCCTCTGCTGCCTCCCCAGAGGCAGGGGGACGGGGCGAGCAGTTTCTCATTAGCCCTCCACCTGCTGGCCTCTTCATAGGCAGCCAGCAAAGCGGGTGAATGAGTTTTTAACAAAAAGCAGCATTGTTCACATGTTGTAGGGCAGGGCTGGTCCTAATCCTATTTCCCCATGTAACTGGACACCTCCATCTCAGAGTTGTAGACAAAGATCAGGGCAGGCCAAACGCCCATGGTTCCCAGGAGACAAAACCCAGCATGAGAGCAAGACTAATATTTTTCAGGCCAATAGGTGGCCGTGAAGCAGCCTCGCAGAAGAGGCAGATTGGCAAAGGCCATGCCGTGGTGATCCGGAAATGCCAGGCTCAGGCCGCATTCACCCCCTCAGTGTGTGTGACAGTGACTAATTACCCTTCTATTTCTTATTTTCATTTCTGGGCCCAGTGGAAGTGTGAGGCCAGTGCTGGGAGGGCAGGGTACATGGGGCGCAGGGGAAGTGAGAGTCCGGACAGGCCCCTGCTGCGTCTGGCTTCTCTCAGGCTCCAGCCTGGGGTCTCCTCAGCCTGGGGTTGCCAAGGCAGAAGTTCTGGCTTGAAAGCAGTTCCTCTCTTACGGAACTAACAAGTCTTAAAGATCACCCGAGAAAGAATTTGAAATCGAAAGTCAGCATTCGGGCTGTGTTTTTTCATCCCCCTTCTCTTGCTGGGGATTGGGAATCATTCAGCTAATTTTCACTGTTTCACATCCATGAAGCAAGTTTCATTTCCTGGTGCATCTGCAGACCCTGGGCTACTGTGTTTGGGTTTCCAGCACCACTGGGGAGTCTCAGTTTGTAAAAACGTCTCCCCTTGGAACAAATCCTGGAAGCCTGACAATGAGCCCAGACCATTCCTGTGCCTTGAATGGTAGGTTTTGTTCGACTTTGGAATATTCTGCTCAGAGAGAAGAGCTTTTCCTTACAGCTGTTTTCTTCCTTCAGCAAACCACAACTTGAGGCTCCAGCAGGTTCTCTGGGGTGTAGAGTTGGCAGTAAAGTCTGTTGTCCCGAAAGGTGGCGCGGCAAAGATGAGCAGCCTCTCAGCATCACCTGTTGGGGAGCCTGGAGCTCCCTTACTTTTTCCTTTAAAGAGCTAGGAATTTGAAGCTATTAAAGATTAATCCATCACAGTCACAATTCATCCACAGTTTTTAAGTTCTGAGCAAGGACTGAAGGCAGGAGCGGAAACAAAGAGGATTGAAATGATAGAAACTGCACTGGGCTGAGGATGTGGAGAGGGGTCTAGAGAGGCCAGGCATTTGCTGGGCATCTACTGTGCACCAAGCTCACTGTGGGGCACTTTATACAACTTCTCTCATTTAATCTTCAGAATAACCTGAGAGAGTTTATTTGCCTCATTGGTGAAATGCAGAGCTGAAGGGTCAGAGAGTTAGGGGACTTGCTCTGAGTTACACAACCGGGATTTGAACCCAGGACTTTGGATCCCAGACTCTTCTTCCCAGGATAGGGTGCAATGATGGGCATGCTCTTTGGAGTCAAGTCACCGTTTTGGTGCTCACTAGCCGTGTGGCCTTGAGCAAATTGCTCATTTCTCTAAACCTTAGTCTCCCTATTTGTGAAGTGGAAACAATATTAACACCAATCTTTTGGGCTATTTTGAGGAAAAGGAAGTAGCACCTATAAACTGCTTAGTTCCATGCATAGCACAGAGCAAGTGCTTAGCGAATGTTGCTATTTTAATGGGTGCTGATACTTTCGTTACCTTTCTCATCATTGTGTCTCATTAGAATATAAGCAGAGGGAACTGCATTTGGTTTACATACAGAAGGAGAAAGAAAACAAAACATGGAGATTCTTTGAAATACAGGGAGAGAAGGTCTTTGGAGGAGTTCTCAGCAATATCAGTCAGGCTGTCTGACTTCCCCCACTGAGGTTTCTTTGATGAGATCATTAGACGAGGGATCAGGGAGCCTGACTTGAATGTCCCAGTGAGGTTGGTGTCCCATAGCCAGGGGGGCCAGTCCGAGGCTGTGCCACCCTAACCCCAACCTGGCTTATCGTCCTTCCCCTTCTCCTGCCCTCTTGGGCTCAGCGCTGCTTTCTTTGTAAACCATAGCCCACTCGTAGCCCGAGGCTGAGATGCCGGTCTTTATACCAGCTACCTTCTCCAGCAGGTCACAAATTCCTCTGACGATTGGACCATCTCTGGCATTCCAGCCAACCAGCACCGCCTGACCCTCACCAGACTTGACCCCGGGAGCTTGTATGAAGTGGAGATGGCAGCTTACAACTGTGCGGGAGAGGGCCAGACAGCCATGGTCACCTTCCGAACTGGTGAGAGTCAAACATTGCCCCTTGCTTAGGGTTTCCGTGGGTCTAAGCAAGTTCCACTGGCCCAGGTGAGAATTCCTGCTCACCTTGCCCCAGCTGTTCACCTTGAACTTCATCTTTCCTTCCAGCTACTGCCTCCTTGTGGTTTGTGTGCTAGGCTGAGGTCCCAGCTCTCATCAGGAGAGTAGCCAGCCGGCCTCTCTGGCACCCCTTCATCCCTCTCTCACACAGGGGCCAGCAATAGTACCACAACAGAACCAGTCTCGGCCGAGGCTGAGCCCACACCCTCAGTGCCCCGGATGCTTATTTGCATCACTTTGTCATGCCGCTTAGCAGAGTCTCAGGCAAAAAGGACTCTGTGGGAGGGAGATCTCATGCCTGCTTCCTCCCTTGCTGACTACAACCCATTTCCACCCAGGACGGCGGCCCAAACCCGAGATCATGGCCAGCAAAGAGCAGCAGATCCAGAGAGACGACCCTGGAGCCAGTCCCCAGAGCAGCAGCCAGCCAGACCACGGCCGCCTCTCCCGTAAGCCGCTAGCAGCAGGGACGGACGCGCAGTCAGGACTGGAACTGCCTCAGAGGCCTGTTCCCATGGCTGAATGGGGTCTTGCTTCTGTAGGTCCAGGGTTTTTATGACATCTCCCAGTTAACCACAATGAGGAAATGTAGTTTGGAGCTTTTTAAATAAAAGGCTGGCATTGATGCTGGGATTGCTCACTGGGTGCATCCAGAGAGCAGCAGAGGCCAGAGCTGTGGTCCTTGGGCCTCCACACTCTGGCTTTGCAGAAGGATAGCATAAGGGGTCTTAGCTCAAAGCCCAGGCAGCCGTGGGGAGGTCTGATGTGAACACCAGTGGGTGGAGGGCTGTGGGGAGGAGCGGGCCCGTCAGGAGCAGGCCAGGCCCAGTGGGCATACAGCGTCATCTCACCCTGCTTCCTTCCTCACGTCATCTCACCCTGCTTCCTTCCTCACTGGATACGGTCTTTCCCAGCCCCAGAAGCTCCCGACAGGCCCACCATCTCCACGGCCTCCGAGACCTCAGTGTACGTGACCTGGATTCCCCGTGGGAATGGTGGGTTCCCAATCCAGTCCTTCCGTGTGGAGTACAAGAAGCTAAAGAAAGTGGGAGACTGGATTCTGGCCACCAGCGCCATCCCCCCATCGCGGCTGTCCGTGGAGATCACGGGCCTAGAGAAAGGTAGGGGCCTGGCCACACCGTGGCCTTGGCCTGATCCCCCAGCTGCCCCTTTCCGCCTGGAGGAGGATGACGAGCCTGGGATCCCCTTCTCTCGGCCCAGGCCCCCACCCACCAGCATGCCTCCATGTTGCTGTCTGTGGTGTTTACCACAGTCCTAAAGCCTTCTGCCTCCCTCCAGAAGAGCATCCAGAGCCATCTCCCCTGCAGCTCAGCTCTGACAGTGGCGGGTGTTCTTGTGAGGCCTTTGAGAACTTGCTTTGGGGAAGGGCTGCCCAGAAGACCCCTCCAGGTCCTGGGCCTTGAAAGGCCATGGGAGAATCAGAAGGTATTTCCCAGCTCCTGAGTTCAGTGAGTGTCCCTCTCACCAGGCACCTCCTACAAGTTTCGAGTCCGGGCTCTGAACATGCTGGGGGAGAGCGAGCCCAGCGCCCCCTCTCGGCCCTACGTGGTGTCGGGCTACAGCGGTCGCGTGTACGAGAGGCCCGTGGCAGGTCCTTATATCACCTTCACGGATGCGGTCAATGAGACCACCATCATGCTCAAGTGGATGGTAAGCGGGCCTGGCCGTGGACTGCAGTGGAAGACGGCCTCCCCTAAATGCCCTTCCCTGTGAGCCTGGGGATTAGACTCCCCCGAACAGGGCACCTGAAAGCTTCATCAGTGGAATTTGGGAGGCTCTTAGTGGCTGGAGCTGCTCTAGTGGTCTCCTGTTGATTCTGGTGCCTTGACCTGGTAGACCTCACCCTCCTTCCTGCCCTTCCCCTGACACCACAGGGGATCCCAACACAACTGTTCAGGGCCCCTTCTCAGCCACAGGGGCCCCTCACATGTCCAGGGAGATCAGAAGCAATTGAAGTCTTTGGAGAAATGGCAATTTGTTTCTTCTCTTCAAAAGCTTAGGGACCTCTAGGCTAAATAAAATAATGAGTAATCTTTACAACATTTTTCAGAGAACCTCAGGGATATCATTAGAAATCTTTGCCAGGGGTCCCAAGTGAAATTCAAACTCTGGACTGGGGTAGAACCTTCATACACCAGTGGTTTTGCTTTGATGATGTTTTCTCTGCCCATTGTCAACTTGTTTCTTCTCCATTCCCTATAGTACATCCCAGCAAGTAACAACAACACCCCAATCCATGGCTTTTATATCTATTATCGACCCACAGACAGTGACAATGATAGTGACTACAAGAAGGATATGGTGGAAGGTGAGACACAGTTCTGTGTTTATAGCTTCTGCGTGATATAGTTTCCTCCGCTGGCATGGGGGACAAGGTATTGGTGAAATCTGGTGAAGCATAAACCTGCATCTGGTGTGACACGAAGCTCTAAGCTCCGTGTCATTGACTCATTCATAATACCCTTGAAGCTGTCAACTTCATGAACCCATGTGATGATGGGACAACCTGGGTGGACACCTAGAACATTTCCTCCAGCGTTCCTCCACACGCCGCCCCTGTGCCAGTCAGTGGCATCCTCCCCCACACACTGCCCCAGCTGAGTCTGACTATGAGATTGGGATCAAGAAAACCATATACACATTGCCATGCACCATTCTCTGACTCTGTTTCCCAGGGGACAAGTACTGGCACTCCATCAGCCACCTGCAGCCAGAGACCTCCTACGACATTAAGATGCAGTGCTTCAATGAAGGAGGGGAGAGCGAGTTCAGCAACGTGATGATCTGTGAGACCAAAGGTGAAGCTCTTTGGGTTCTCTCTCCTGTCTTGGTGTTTCCAGCGAGGGAAGGCAGAGTCACCATTCCCTGTGCCTGTGCGGTGCTGGGCCTCTTTCCCAGGAAGACTCTTTGTTTTCCAAATACCCTCAGACTTGGTCATGTTTCACTCTCTACTCATTTGTCTGTGCCTAATACTAAATAGACCATGATGACACCTTCAAGGAACTTGATAATTAACTCATCCATGAAATCAGGGGATAGACCTCATTCTTAAGTTGGGAACTTCCTATAAATACTTTATTCCTGCAATGATATTTGGTGCTTACATGGGTTGGTTTATTTAACTGAACTACAATCCCATGAGATGGGAAAGGAAGTGGGCATGAGGAAGCTGTATACTGCAGCCAAGGCCATGCAGCCGGTTAGGGGTAGAGCATGCTTTGGGCCAGGATTGTCTTAACTACAAGACCAGCCCCTTTCTGTTGCACTTAAAACATGTTAAACATAGTCACATAATAACTTGTTAATATTTGCACATTGGTCAGATGGGGAGATAGCATTATCTCCGTTTTGCAGATACTGAAAGTGAGATAAAGCAGTTGTATTGCAAAGAACATAATCAGGAGAAGATCACAAAGGAATAGGAATAGAGACAGAACAACACATTTTTCTCTCATCAAGGCAATGGCATTCTCTCTCCTGCTTCACTGGCTTTCAGTTGTTCAGCAGATCCTCCCTGAGTGCCTCTGTGTCTCTCCCTGCCCTCTTCCATCATGCACACCAGAGGGAGGGCAGATACATGCACAGCCCAGAATCCTGGATCACCTGGTGCAGGGAGTGCCCAGAGGGAGGAAGAGACTTCATAAAGCCTTCACACTGGTCTTCTGGAAGGACCGAGTCTTAGGCTAGGATGAGGAGGGAGTGGCCTGGAGGACAAGGCTGGACATAGCTCCAGATGGTTGGGGTGTCAGGCACCGGGAAGGAGGTTATGGGAGTGAATGCCTAGGAAAGAGGCCACTGAGGATGGTGTGAGATGAGCCGGTGCAGCCAGGGAGAGCTGGAGCCACTGGAGGCTGTGAGGTGGAGGAGGGCTGTCAGTGGATTTGTCTGCTGAGATGGGTCACTGGTGACTGTGCAGGGAATGGGCTGAGGGTTGAGAACTGGGGCTCTAAAGTAAAGGTAAAGAGAAGGGATGGGTTTGAGTCTCTTTTCTAAGGAGGTGTGGGCGGGACCAGGGTCAGCTTGCATGCTAGGGCTGGGAGAGAGTGAAAGAAGTTAAAAATAAACTTCAAGGTTTCCAGCTGGAAGTACTGCACAGGTGATGTTGCCACTTATTGAAATGGCAACGGCAAGAAGACAGATTTCATGAGAAAGGAACAAGGTAAAACCACTTGGAGGCTTACTGAGTCTTTGACTCTTTGGAGACATTGAAATGAAGTGTCTTGATAAGGAGCAGAGCTCCTGCCCCGTGCAGGGGGTCCGGGTGGGGAGATTGGTTTGCGGCTCTTTAGGATATAGGTAGAAGTCACGGGACTAGGTGAGAATATACAGAGAGTACAGACGGGAGGAACCAGGAAGGCCTCCCAGTGTCTGTGGAGGCAGACGGCACAGAGAGGAAAGGAGAGGCATACAGAGCAGCAGAGAGGTGGGGGACATTAGGGGACAGAGTCCGAAAGCCGGGGGAGAAGATGGCCACGAGGGCCAGCAGGGTCAGATGCACCTCCTAACAGCAAAGCTAAAGTGAGGAGCTGATGGCCTTGACTCCACCTCTGAATTGGCATCTCACATGTACTGTGTGTCCTCGTGAGTCCGGGAACACCTGTCCCCCTGCTGTGATCCATGCTAATACCTAGTGCTTCACGTCTCAGTCCACCAGCAGGTAGCACGCTCTTGGGTGTCGGTAAATTCTTCCATTCCCAATTCTTTTTCTGGCTCCTGCATTTTAAATATTTTCTTCCAAAAGTTCACCAGTTCTTCCCAAAAGCACTACACCGCTTCTGCCGGAAGGACCCAGTCCAACTCTAGTGCATGGCTCACAGACATCTCGCTCTGCTTTGAAATATAAGGCTCAGGTCTCCGCCACAACACCAGATTTCACATTAGATTCCAATTTCATGCTGAGTGTGGACACCATTCAAATAAGAGATTTTGAGGCCCAATCTAGTGAGTCTGACCCCATTTCCCAAACCCATGGAATGGGGGTATTTTTTTTTCTATTTGTTGTGAAGGAAATATCAAAGAAACATATGCTGAAGTGAGTTTTGTCCACAATTACAGCTCGGAAGTCTTCTGGCCAGCCTGGTCGACTGCCACCCCCAACTCTGGCCCCACCACAGCCGCCCCTTCCTGAAACCATAGAGCGGCCGGTGGGCACTGGGGCCATGGTGGCTCGCTCCAGCGACCTGCCCTATCTGATTGTCGGGGTCGTCCTGGGCTCCATCGTTCTCATCATCGTCACCTTCATCCCCTTCTGCTTGTGGAGGGCCTGGTCTAAGCAAAGTGAGTGAGTGACGCTTTCAGTGGGAGGATCCTGGGTGGGAAATGGGGGCTCCACTAAGGAGGCCTCTGCCTAGGTCTGTGTCCATGGAAAGCTCAAGCCCAAGTCCCCCAAAGGTCTCGGAGGTCAGAGAACACCCAACGACTGGGCCCCTCCCCCAGCTCACAGACCTCGGCTTGGGGAGGAGGAAGGAGGGAAAGTTGGGCTGTCTTCTCTGCACCTTTGGAGCTCGGGACCTATGTTGTGCCATCTTCTGAAGTGTCCGAAGCTGCTCCTCTGACCTCACATTCCTACTTACAGTCCATCCTGCCTCTTCCCTGGGTGCGGAGCTGCCTTCAGCTTTCCCCTCTATCCTGGAATCTGACTTTTAGTCACTAATTTCTGCTTCAGATGGCAAAACATCTGGTCAGCTTACCTCCTCTAAATATTGTTCTTCTTTTCACTCACCGCCTCCTGCCCCCAAGCCCTGGACCCTGTATCTCCCCACCCTTCTCCCTGCAGAAGAGTCTAGGTGTCAGGTAGAAATGGGCGACACAAAGGAGACTCTAGGAGAAAATGTTCTCCATCGCTTGGGCACTGTCAACTCCCTGCCTACGTCCTTCAACCCTCTGTGGCCAGGAGCCTCCTGAGATCCTTGTGGGGCTTTTCCAACCCATCCCGGGCTACCTTGGCCTAAGCACACCTTTATTTTTCTGTCCTTCCAGAACATACAACAGACCTGGGTTTTCCTCGAAGTGCCCTTCCACCCTCCTGCCCGTATACTATGGTGCCATTGGGAGGACTCCCAGGCCACCAGGCCAGTGGACAGCCCTACCTCAGTGGCATCAGTGGACGGGCCTGTGCTAATGGGATCCACATGAATAGGGGCTGCCCCTCGGCTGCAGTGGGCTACCCGGGCATGAAGCCCCAGCAGCACTGCCCAGGCGAGCTTCAGCAGGTAGCGCATTCTTGGGTGTGGGCGGCAGGTATGGGACACCCAGGAGGGAGTGGCTGGGCTGCCTTGGGGGGCCTCCTCCCTCCTAGGGTCTCAGGCTGGGCTGCTGGGCCAGGCTTTCTTTAGTCAGGAGCAGATGCTCCTGTTGTTGAGTGAAGACTGGAAAGTTACCTGGACTCCCCGGCGTGGCCGTCTCATTACTCTTCCTTTTGAGCAGCAGAGTGACACCAGCAGCCTGCTGAGGCAGACCCATCTTGGCAATGGATATGACCCCCAAAGTCACCAGATCACGAGGTAACCAGGCCTCTCCCCTTTCACTCCCAAGCCCCACAGCCTCACTTTCCCTTTAGCTCCTCAAATCCAAGGCCTGTCACTGAGAGCCAAGCAGTAGTGCTGTACTCAGGGGTCCCCGTGACTGACAATCATGCTCCTCTGAACCATTGCCCTAATAGGCAGTTGTTGCATTTGCAATTGCGATGCCCTTTCTGCCTGAGGGCATGGCTTGGCATCTCGGAATCCTCCGTCACTAGACAGATCAGAAGCACCCACCACAACTGACTTTGCCCATGGGCCCCTGGACACCTGACTTCACATTCTCCCACATGGAGTAAAATGGAAATGGACTAGAATGATCAGTGGGAATGATGGTGTGGTACCTCTTGATGTTCAAAGGGGAGAGCAGTCCTTGCCCCATCTGAGCTCTCACCAGCTCTGATGCCCTCAGACAGGGAGACAGCCAGCAGGGGGATGGGGCGACAGGCCCACCCTGCCCAGCCCCACCTCCCCATCTGGGCTTGTGCACTGCAGGGGTCCCAAGTCTAGCCCGGACGAGGGCTCTTTCTTATACACACTGCCCGACGACTCCACTCACCAGCTGCTGCAGCCCCATCACGACTGCTGCCAACGCCAGGAGCAGCCTGCTGCTGTGGGCCAGTCAGGGGTGAGGAGAGCCCCCGACAGTCCTGTCCTGGAAGCAGTGTGGGACCCTCCATTTCACTCAGGTTGGTTCCAGGAGCAGGGCAGGGAAATTAAACAGGCTGGGGGTGACATGAGGTAGGCATCCACAAGCCAGTAGTAACAGTCTTCAAAGGTGGGGCTTGGTAAGGAGCCAGCCACAGCATTTATGTGGGAGGGATGGGGCATCGAGGGTGGCTGGCCACTTTCCTTCACTGCTGAAGGCCCAGTAGGTCTGTGGGATGTCCAAGTGGGTTCTACTGCAACATGATAAGCTGCGGTCCTCAGCCTCTGAGAAAAAGGCTATTTCTCCATTTCAGAGAAAAAAGCCCTTTTTGGTCTGTGCATTTCAAGGCCATTCACAAATTCCATTTGCTGCTCATCACACTAAGAGGCATTCTCTAATCACTCTGAAATGCCTTGCTTTGTTGAGGCTTGTCTCTTAATTAAGGAATAAGGTTGCCTCAATCATTAAGGAGCCAAATTCTTACAAACATCATCATCATAACTCTTTGTACTTCCACGGAACTTTTTCTCCAAGGAGTTTTGGGCCATTCACGCTAAGCCCATCCCATTGTCTTCCTCCATGCTAGTCTCCTTAGAAATCAGTGGATACTTGGTGAGGGCACCAAGTATCCACTAACGTTTCTTAGCTTCTCTGTGTGTGTGCCCATTCATAGGCAGATCCTGGACTCTGTCTCTAGGAGATTAAATTTAAAAGATGCTGGGTCCTAAAGCTCGACCCAGCATCATTTAAACTGGACCGTGTCAATCTGGGGGGACTGGATTGTGAGTGGGATGATTGTAACCAGAAGCCATAGCAAAGGGTGGACTAGCCGCCTAAACATAGAAAGAGCAGGGCTTCCTTCTGCGTTTCACGGGCTGCACTGACTTCATCTGCTCCTGTGGTGTGGGCTCAGTGCGGGAGTCTCTACAGTCCCAGCATGAGTGGGAAATGGGTGGCAAGTGGCCCTCCCTGTTTTGATGAGAGACCTTGGAGGGAACAGAAGTGCCCTTGTCTCGGTTGTAGGTTTCTGTCCCCTTTCCAGAGCCAGTGTAACCACCTCCACCACAGATAGAGATTGGCCCAGTGTCACTGGGTGTTGGCTCCTCGGTCAATCTGGATTTTAATGGTTCCTACTCTTTCTCCCCTCAGGGCCCCCATGCTGCTTGGGCCTTGTGCCAGTTGAAGAGGTGGACAGTCCTGACTCCTGCCAAGTGAGTGGAGGAGACTGGTGTCCCCAGCACCCCGTAGGGGCCTACGTAGGACAGGAACCTGGAATGCAGCTCTCCCCGGGGCCACTGGTGCGTGTGTCTTTTGAAACACCACCTCTCACAATTTAGGCAGAAGCTGATATCCCAGAAAGACTATATATTGTTTTTTTTTTAAAAAAAAAAAGAAGAAAAAAGAGACAGAGAAAATTGGTATTTATTTTTCTATTATAGCCATATTTATATATTTATGCACTTGTAAATAAATGTATATGTTTTATAATTCTGGAGAGACATAAGGAGTCCTACCCGTTGAGGTTGGAGAGGGAAAATAAAGAAGCTGCCACCTAACAGGAGTCACCCAGGAAAGCACCGCACAGGCTGGCGCGGGACAGACTCCTAACCTGGGGCCTCTGCAGTGGCAGGCGAGGCTGCAGGAGGCCCACAGATAAGCTGGCAAGAGGAAGGATCCCAGGCACATGGTTCATCACGAGCATGAGGGAACAGCAAGGGGCACGGTATCACAGCCTGGAGACACCCACACAGATGGCTGGATCCGGTGCTACGGGAAACATTTTCCTAAGATGCCCATGAGAACAGACCAAGATGTGTACAGCACTATGAGCATTAAAAAACCTTCCAGAATCAATAATCCGTGGCAACATATCTCTGTAAAAACAAACACTGTAACTTCTAAATAAATGTTTAGTCTTCCCTGTAACCTTCAAACTGAGTCATGTGTGAGTCAGCATTTTCTTTACATGTTAGAATTCAGTCTCTGAGTATTTGAAGAAAATACCCACTTACAATATTTTCAGGTCCATCAGAAATGAGATCTGAAAAAGGTAGTAAATGTTTCTCTTTTTTGTTTTTTAAAACAGTGAATGTCAGTTGTGCTTGGATTCATGCAGAACACATTACCGTTTAGTCCACAAGGGAACCGTTGTACAACAGACCAGGAAAAACAGGTTCATAGTTCTCTTACCAACTGGACTTGAGATGAAGTTTAGGTCATATTGAAGAAATAGAACTAATCTTTTTTATATAGGTGTGTGTTGAAGACCAAATATTTTCTCCAAAATACTGTTTAGCTAAGTGCTGTGCCACACATGGACATATGGTGCATAATAAATTCACTTCCCTTCTTTCCAAAGATACACCAACATTGCCAGAGTAGTTGACTCACTAGTTTAAAATCAACATTTACTTACTGTTGTCCAACCAAAGGATCAACCATAGATTCTTTTTTAATTGAAATTTTAAAATCTTTATATGTGGAAGTGGAATTAGATGGAGACTGATGCTTGCAATGAAAGCCTTACTACGCTTTGTGTTTTGGGGCTGGAGAGGGTGGGGGGAGCCTGTATTTTCTAGATTTCTGTAAAATTGAGTTACAGATGAAATGCCACTTGAGACAATCTCGTTAAGTGGGGGGCCAGACCCTGGCTTTTAAACATGAAGAATTTGATAAACAGGGTCCTAGGGAAGAGTCACTCTGACTGTTTAGGGCAAGTGCATCCTCTGCTGGCCAAAATAAGTATAGCACCTGCTATTCCTGACTTCTGCATCCTTTTTCCATCAAGCTCAACGTCAGAGAGAACTTCATGTGGAAGTGCAGCATGGTTTTCAGGAAAGCAGTATTTTAAAAATATTATTTAAAAGGAAGGACTGTAAGGAACAGGTAAATGTTAGGAAATGAGAAGCAGAGCAGGGAAGAGAAGAGAAAAAATAAGATACTGTGATTTCAGACAACCTGGCATCACGGCCCAGAGCTCACTTCTGGGGTGGGTAGGGCTGACGCTCTCAGTCATTGCTTTGCTATCCAGAGGCCCCCCAATCTGAGCTGTAACTCACCTTCTAGCCCCACTGGTTTTTACATTTTTTCCTTTTTCTCCTTGATGATCTAAGGTAGCTGTCAAAATGAAGTCTGGTGAACTTTTCTGAAGTGATAGGTGAAACATCTGCTTTCTGCACAGCACTGGAATCATAGCACTCAATGGATTTAGCTCTAAAGAGAAATTTAGCACATGGCTCACAGACCTCCCTAAGCTGGGGAGCCCGCTGTGGTGGGACAGGCTGGCTGGCAGGCATGAGCAACTCCTTTACTCTGAAGTTGTGACAGAGGGGCTGGACTCTGTGGTTTCTTTTTCTTCCAATGCTGAGATTGATCATCGGTGATACTATGGATGACAGTTCAGAAGAGCCAAGTTATATGAACAATTGACCCACAAGTAACTCAGTGTAGGCTGATTTTTGGCCTTACCCTCAGAGGTGAGGCTGCTCCTCTGGGAGCACAGCAGAAGGCAGGGAAGTGTGCCAGGAGCAGGATAGCTTCCCAGCCACCCTGCCCATGCCACACCCTGCTGGTCTACTTGTGTTTGAAGCTTAACTTCCCAAAGACTCAGATGCTCTAACTTAACTACAGATTTAAGACTAAGCCTGGAATCAAGTTGAAATGAACCTAAAGCTATCAACATATTTTGTCCAATTCAAAATAAAGTAATTCAGTGTTAACTGTCGTCAATTCCCAAACATGCGGAATGAAGCCCTGAATATTGTAGAATTAACTAGTGATTTAGTCCAGCTCAGTTTGGGAATAATTATCCCGATTAGCTTTCCTCTCAGTTGAAATGCACAGCAAGTCCTGATGTGGCTCTTCTGTAGACTGTAGGTCCATTCTTGCTGCAATCAGAATCAGAATCTCAGAATGGGAAGGAACCCATTCTACCAATCCTTCATTTGTCAGATAATAAAATGAGGCCCAGGAAGATAACGTAACTTCTCCTGATTCTCTACAATTACCAAGGGGATGGTATCGCCTCAAGACCTTTCTCAGAGACCAGCCACTCTCTCCAGGCAGCTGCTTCTTGTGGCTGCCAGCTCCCACGAAGGCCCCGGTGACCCCCACCTGGCATTCACACCCTGTTCAGTCCCCTCCCACATCACACAGGGTCAGCCTGTGACCCATATGACAATAGTGACGCTATGTCACTTCTGAGCTTGGGCTGTAAAAGACTGTGGCTCTTGTATACATCATTCTCTCTTGCTGTCTCCCTCACTCTTGGATCACTTGCTCTGGGAGAAGTCATATCCCAAGCGGCCCTATGGAGAGGCCCACATGGCGAGGAACTGAAGCCCTGCCTAATGGCCAAGGGAGTGAATTTGCTAATAGCCCCTCCAGCTCCAGCCAAGCTTCAGATGGCTGCAGCCCCAGCTCCTAGTGTGACTGCAACTCCACGAAAGACCCTGAGCCAGAACACCCGGCCAAGCTGTCCCCAGATTCCTGGACCTCAGAAACCCTCTCACTCCTGGGTGAGATCACAAGTTTGTTGTTTCAAGCTAAGTTTGGGGGTAATTTTTTACCGCAATAAATAAGACACTCAGGGCTATGACTAGCATATTTTTAAAAATACTTGAAAGGCACACATGGCTTAGGATATACAACACAGAAAGTGATTTAAAAAAAAAAGTGGGTGCTCTCCAGTAGAGAAGTGACTACATCAGAAATTAATGGTGACAAGTGCAAACAATAAGGTATTCTGACCTCTTAAATAGGAATATGAAGGAATCTTAGGAAGACAATAGGCCAAGTGGCCACCTCTAAGAATATGCTGATGTACAAAGAAAGCAAGACCTGTCTGTAATTTTGGGGGGCACATTAGCAGGCTAATCACAGGTGAGGAAGACTTGGCATTGCTGAGTTCCCTTCTACATTTATGCAATGTTCCTTTCTTCACCCGCCCTTCTCAGTGACCAGCTTATCCTGGAACAGCCTCAATGAGTAGCTCGTTAATACAGAGCTCTTAATCTAAAGAGCTATGCTCTGTTACTAACAGGATTCCAAATGTCAGTGAGATTATCCTGCAATGGTTATAGCCATGAACTTCAATGAGCACTTACCCCCAAACCAAAAGGATACTCTTCAATTAGTTTAAAATGTTATGCATAATCAAAGGTGATTGTTAAAGATGATCTCTAGTAAATCTATTTCATTATCTCCTCATCTATATCAAAACCAGCAAATGGCCCAAGTAAAACCTGAAAGAAAATGGCAGGGGACATGAGAAACTATGGGGAAAACTTAGAATTCTGACGGAGTTGCAGAAATCTTTAAAGAAAAGCCTCTTTATTGACTGTTTTATTAAGCATGCCCCTCTGCTCCACTCAGAACTGAGGAGTCTACAAAAACTGTGGGCAATCCAAGAAGGCTGGTTATTTTCCTGCTTTCTGCCAACCCAAAGCAAACTGCTCTGCCATGTCTGTTTGTATTTCCTGAATCCTGAGCCCTCAAAACACTGCTTTATGAAGTCAACAATGCCAAAACTGAAATTTGCATTTCTATTCTAAGATATAGCTGACAAAATGTCCTTTTCTCCTGCATCCTCTCAGAGAACACTTAATAACATCTAAGTTTATTTTCTAAGGATCAAGAAAACAAAGTTTTCTCATGAATTGCTGAATGATAGTTTTTCTTGCCAAGGGCTAAAAATTCAGGATACCCCCAAATCAAATTTTCCTAAAACAAAATATATTACAGGTGATTTGCTGCAATCATGAAACACAGCCTTCCGAGACTTCATATTCAATCTAGTAGGTTCGAAACATCTAAAATGATTCAGTTTCATAACAGAGGTTGGGTGCTGCAGTCAGTTCTAAGATAACCAAATTGTAGAGAGATTCTTAAAGTGACTTAACGTGACTGGATCTGGTTTTACACTTTCAGGCGAGTTCAGTTTAAAGTAATAAGATTGTTGGAGGTGATGAGGAGACAGAACTTCCAGTGAGTTATGTCAGAAATCTTGTATGGGTTTGAGAAAATAGCAAACTCAAAGGTCTGCGGGCTGTATCTCTTTCTCTCGTGGAGACTGAATGGGTGGGAGGATAAGACTGCCTTTCCTACGCAAAAGAGCAATCTCCTCCTTTAAGGCCGAAATCCTTTCCGCCTGGAGTTGGATCAATTCAGTGACCTCCTCTCTTGCCACAACATCTGCTTCCCGAGGGCCCTGGAAGGCATTGCCCTGTTGAAAGAAAACAGCTCCCTGTTGAAGCATCATTTGGCATGTGAAAAACTCCATGCCCTTATACTGTGTATCTGTGATGAGTGCTGGCCTGACAGTCACCCTAAACAGCCACTGTTCCTTAATCTCGGGAGCCTTCAATTCCTCTGCTAAAATCCCACCATTAGAAATGTGTGCCTTTGGGCTAATAAACAACTCTTCAAGTGCAAATCCTCTTTGGATGAGTACACTTTAAGCTAGCTATCAGTCATTCATTACCTAAAGAGCTCATCACTGGAATAATAAAAGACAGAGTATGTCTTTCTTTTTCTGGACAGCCCATATTTGGGTTCCCAGAATGAAATCTTCTGTTTCCTCATCGGAGTTATTTCCCTGTCCAGCTGACTCCTACTCATGTTTCACACATCACTTTCAGGGAGGCCTTCTTTGCCCCATGGACTAGGTTAGGATTTCCTGCTTTCTGTTTTATCGAAACATCCATTATACATATACATCACTATAATTTACAGAATATTACATGGTTCATTCTGAACCATGTAATATTTATGATATTTGACCATTTTTTAAATCTAAAACAATGGCAATTTAATATAGCATGACCAAAGTGCTTGTTTGATACCTATCTTTCCTGCGAGATCCTGTCTTTTAGAAACAGGGCTCCATATGACTAAGTCTCATCACTCTGCCAATACCTGCCCTAGTGCTTTCTACATAAGTAGATGCTCAATAACATTTGAATGCATGAATACATCTGTGAAAGGAAAGACATAATACTTGCGTGGTGCCCACTTTGTGCAAGGTGCTTTGCATATGCTCTCTCATCTAATCCCCAAAATGACTCTGAACTGGGTGGTATCATTCCAGTTTTACAGATAAGGACATTGAGACTCAGGGAGTCATTAACTAGCCAAGTCAAGCTGGAAGCAGAGTTAGAAACAGGTTGCCTGATGCTAAAAGTCCATACTTTTTCCATTACTCCTATGTACTATAGCAGACCTTCATAGTAAGGGTTACCCAACACCCTCTGCCTCTTCTCCCTTGCTCACTTTTATTTTAGAGCCCATGAAAGCTAAACACTTAACCTTACCCATTTTCTCTTCCAGCTAGAGAGAGCTAAGTGGATATAATCTGAAACTTTTGCTCCTTAATAAAAGGGACAGAAGAGGCTGGTGCATGGATGTGAAACATGGGAGCTGAAGCAGCTGTCATGTGACTTTGAAGGAAACTTTAGGAAAATCACAGAGATATGGGCTCTGGCATCATGGTCCTACAAAACCAAAGCGTGTAGTCATCTCCCTCTAGACTTCTTGTCAAGTGAGAAAAATGACTCCTATTTGTTTAAGGTACTCTCAATAGGGCTTTTGGTTGCTTGTAGCTAAAAGCATGCCTCATACACCAACTCATGCCCAGTCATTCCAGTGGGTTACTTTGAAGTCACCTCACTTTCCCCTTCTCCTCACCAGACTCAATCAAATTTTGGTTATTCTTACTTTGAGATGGCTTTTGATATTTGACACATTTTTGTTGTCACCAACTATATCCCAATTCCTGCCTACATCATTGTAAGAAGCAATGGAGTCAGCGTTGGAGGCAGACAGACCTGAATTTCAAAACTAACTTCACCATGCATTAGCTCTAAGAGCTTCAGCAAGTTACTCAGCTCCTCTGAGCTTTAGAAAGTACTGTTTTGGGGATTAAATGAAATATCCTATGTGAAGAGGCCATACATGTAAACATATACTGTGTAAAGAGACAGATAACTAGTAACTTCCTCTCCCATTCAGCTGATCTCCTGCCTCTAAGCTGTTTCCTCTCCAATGTATCTGGACTGATCAAAGCACATCGACTCAACAAATGTTGACTGACTACTCAGTCTGTGAAGATTTGGGTTAGGTATTAACCTTCTCAAACACTGCCTTGATCCTTCACTCAAAAGTTCTTCAGTGGAAAAAGACCCCTCAATATTCAAATTCTAGTCTTCCTTTCACATCTAATCTTCAATTATAAGCCTTCCCAATCCTCCTAATTCACTTTTCATGGAATAAACAACATTGTTTCTTACTTTGGGACTTTTGTTTAGACCAGTGATTCTTAAACTCTAGTGTGCTTCAGAATCCCCGGGAAGGCTGGTTAATGCAGACTGCTGGGCCCCTCCCCTCAGGCTTCTGAAGCAGTACAACTGGGTTGGGGCCTTAGCACCTGCATTTTAAACAAGTTCCCAGGTGATGCTGATGCTCTTCTTCAGAGGACCAAACTGTTGGAACACTTAGCTTAGACCATTTCCAGGGTTCTGAAAGAAAATATAAAGCAAAGAAGACCAAGAGAAACAACTGGCCTTTTTGCAGGTAATATTGTTAAGTATATAACATAGAGTTTGGAATATGCTATACATGTGTTAGGTTTGTAGAGGGCAAGACTTGGATTGGGTAAATATTAATTAGGTATATCCACCACATACAATGTATTAAGTACAATGTTAGGCTGGCTAAATATTATGTAATAGCAAGTTGAAACCCACACAAAGTGACAAGCATTTTAATAAGAAAACAGGGTAGATTTCACCACTCAAGATGCCCACTTCAAGTCAAATGAAATTTGCAGATATTGGAAATACATGTTTGACACCAAACCCAGGGCGTATAATGGTGTCGTTATTCATACCTAAGTAACCTTACACCTCTCCAGGACCAAGGCAATTCTATTGATTAGTACTTACGTGAGTTCATGGCACCCAAGAGGCGTTCAATAAAGCTAGTCCCTCAGGCCCACTGTAATGTGGCTAACACCAACTCAGTGTCCTCGGGGACGCAGATGGTCTGGAAGTGGTCCAAGATCAAGCAAGGTTTGTTTAAATGCCAGTACTTAACATTCTTGTGAATAGCTACCTTTGACAGAGCTTCCTCAATTCCGAAAAAGGGTCTGAAGGTAAAGAACATACCTGCTGATTCTGTAGTGTATTCAACCGAGAATCAAGTTTCTTCTTTTCAATACACAAATCATTCATCTGATAAAGCTTTCTGGTGTGTTCTTTTGTCTTCATCATCAGTTCCCATCGCATTTGAGCAATCTTTTCCTACCAGGGTGGGAAGATGCAAAATAGATGTAGTGAATACGAGAAGAAAGAAAGAAAAATGAGTGTCCAGATTTGGTCAAAATCATCAGGCAAATGGAGCAATGTGCCCATATGAAAATATAATCAGAAGCCAATATGAAAATGCAACACAAAGTGCATTGGGTCTGGTTTGATTAAAGATAAGAATATAAGTATGCTCAAGAATAGGAGTAGGTAGAAATAAGATAGATGTGGACATCATTGTATTATTGAGGAATGAAATTACTATGCATACTGATTGCTGGTACTCATTACTTAAAAGGAAGGGTGATAATTTAAGCAGCTAACTTTTCTGTATTGCTTTTTCCCCATCTTTTCCCAGTCTTGGCCCAGGATCCTTAAGGTAGCTGGCTTGAGTGGCCACACATCTGTATAATGGCTTTCTTTTGTTTTCTTATTGCTCCATCGGTTGCTCACTGCAACCTCTAACTTCTGGGCTCAAGTGATCCTCTGCCTAAGCCTCTCAAGTAGCTGGGACTACTGGTGTGCAACACCACACCCAGCTAATTTTTTATTTTTTGTAGAGACAGGGTCTCACTACATTGCCCAGGCTTCCAACAAATTATTTTAGATTGCATATATTATCGCCAACATTCCCTTAATAGGGACCAGTCCCACTGACATGAACACTATTTGCTTCTTTAAAGTACAGTGGTACATCTTGGATTAGAAAAGTTGAGATGGAGCCATTGGACAACACAGCACTAGGAAGCTCTCCTCCTACCCCATCTGCTAATGAGATAAGACAGGAAACTGGAGAAGTCATCATGATTTTGTGGACTTATAAAATCTTTGTGAAAGCTCCTATCTCTGAATCAGGCTGGAACCAGGCCAAGGCTCATCTCATGGCTCAGGGAACAATATGTAGGCATTAACATCCTCTAAGACTGTATCAGCCAAACAGTCTATGCCTTGTTACAAAATTTATTACTTAGAGGTGTTTCATAATTTCCAAATTGGCACAGCATGCAAAAACCATACAGTAATACAATTCAAGCCTGAGAGGATAGCCACTCCATTTCTAAAACTGTCAGAGCATTTATACTTTTTAAAAAAATGTAGGTTCAGGTGTACATGTACAAGTCTGTGACTTGGATATACTGTGTAATAGTGAGGTTTGGGTTTCTAGCAGACCCATCACCAGATAGCAAACGTTGTACCTAGTAGGTAATTTTTCAACCCTCACCCCCACCATCCTCCCCGCTGCTGGAGTCCCCAGTGTTTATTATTTTCATCTTTATGTCCACATGTACCCATTGTTTAGCTCCCACTTATAAGTGAGAACATGCAGTATTTGATTTTCTGAGTTATTTCATATAGGATAATGGCCTCCAGCTCCATTCGTGTTGCTGCAAAGGACATGATATCATTTTTTATGGCTGCGTAGTAATCCATGGTATTCTATATACATATATATACATACACACATACACAGCACATTTTCTTTGCCCGACTGGTGTGAGATGATATTTCATTTTCTCATTGTGGTTTTAATTTGCATTTCTCCAATGATTAGTGATGCTGAGCATTTTTAAATATAATTTTTGGCTGCAGAGCATTTATACATTAATGTAGGCCTCAAAATGAGATCTCTCCATAATCTTTCATCCATTTTACATAATATTTATATGCACCCTGGACCCCAAAACCTAGTGCTGGTGCTCTCACTCCAAGATAAACAAGTCCCTCTAACTAAGTGAACAGTAAAGAAGCCGAGACAAGGCCTAAGATCCTGGGGCAGCCAAAGGGGGCTCGCGGACCAGCTCCAGCTACACAGATGCTTCATGGGTACCACTTCCTGCTCCCTGGGATTTCTTGCCTCCAGCCAGATTCAACCAAAGATCAACCCCCTTCTCTTCCTTACCTCCCACATCTTCATCTCTTTCGCATTTGCTAGCTCCTTTCGAAGTTTTCTGATCTTCAGTTCTTCAAGTGTTGTATTAACAGAAAGCGTTTGAAGGGCTTCTAGATTTACCACACGGCCAAACTTGCTGATCATGAGCTGCCGGACTGTTTCCTCCATTTCTAAAAGAAGACAGTCACTGGCTCAGGTTGTTCAATGGCTCCCATTGTTATAAATGAACACCAGGAACAATAACATTCTAAGGAACTGCTTTTGCAAGATGATGAAAGATTTTATGCCATCAGTGATTTTTCTTCTGTGATTTTTTCTGCTGCTTTCCTCATTTAAAAATGCCCATTCGGTATTGTCTTTTCACCTTCTGAATCCTGTGTAAAACTGACTCAATGTTCCCAACTGGATTATGGACTGATCTGCCCCTCCTCAGACTGTTAACAGGCACCAACTAGATTATGAGCTTGTCAGTTTTTTCAAATATGGCACTTTACAGCATCTAGTATTAAGAATAGAGCAGGCACTTCAGAGAAGTCTCCATCTTACTCCAGGTAAATAATGACAATCCCTTTGGGAATTCAGGAGGCCCTGCATGGTCAGCCTGCCTACCCTGCTTTCTCTCCCCGCTGCTTTCTCATGCCTCTCCTCCTTACCACCCTACTCTAGACACACTGGCCACCTCTGTGCTTCTCAAACATGCCAGGCTCACCCCAGCCTCATTTCCTCCTATCTGAACTGCTCTTCCCCAGAGATCCACACGGCTTGCTCCTCCCAGCCCATTTTCTAAAAGCAAGCTGATACTGGAGCTGTGACTAAGAGCAGGCTCTTATCCTCTAGCCAGGGATAACTACATATTATCAGATGTGCTGTCTTTCCATGGAGGCTTTCCCTGCCTCCCATGGACCTCAGCACTCTTTTTCTCAATCCATTTTTAATTTTTCTTCTTAGCAACTAACTAACATGTAAGATCTAGCATGCAATATATTTTACTTTTGTTTTTGTCTTTCCCCAATGTGAGAACACTAGAACACCTCTCCAAGAAAACATAATCTTGTAACAGGACTTTCTCAATGACCAGACTGTCCCCTAAGAGAAGTTTGAAGGCCTTAATATGCAGCAAGATGATTCAATTCTTTTATAGTGCAGAAATTTGTATTGGGGCATAATTGTTACAATTTACATTTGAATTAGAATAGTACAATTGGCATGGCTGCCATTATGCACAATCCAGGAGGGGCTATTCACTTTCTATTCTATGTAAGTAATGCCCCACGGACATGTATAATGTGGTGGCCATCTAATCAGTGACGCAAATGAAACGATGAATAGATGATGTGCACGTGTGTGCTGGCCTGTGGCTGCCTGCCTGGCCTCTCTCAGTAAAGAGCTTTGATTTCCCCTCAGCTAGCCCCACCCCCATACAAGGGGTTGCCCTCTTGCATGGCAGCCTCATATACCAGAACATGTACTCTGATCCCTGCCAGCTCCATTGTGGAGCCAGCCCAGTGTCCTTCTCCTATGCTGAAGAGGCCAGCAGCTAATGCTCAGTAGGGACATAAAGTCTTCTGGAACACTCACTACCCACCTTCCCCATGGCTGTGAGCTGTGCTCTCCCTAGAATGGAGAGAACTTATTCCTTCTCACCCTCATGTTCTAGGCTCTCCTCTTCTTCCCCATTGGATCTAGAGATGGAGAAAGGCAACAAGCTAACTGCAGTGTTATTCACCACTTCTAAGCCATATGGTCCAGCCATATATCCCAATTCTGGGCACATATCCAAAAGAAATGGAAGCAGAGACATAAAGAGATATTTGTACACTCATGTTCATCACAGTACTATTCACAATAGCCAAAAAATGGGAAGCAATCCAGCTGCCCATTGACAAATAAATGTGTAAACAAAATGTGGCATGTACATATAATGGAATATTATTTGCCTTAAAAAGGAAGAAAATTCTGACACATGCTACAACACGGATAAACCTGAAAGACATTATCCTAAATAGAATAAGCCAGTCACAAAAAGACAAATACTGTATTATTCTCCTCATTATGAAGTACTTCGAGTAGTCAAGTTCACAGAGACAGAAAGTAGAGTGGCAGTTTCCTGGAGCGGAGGGAGAGGAAAATGGGAGTTACTGTTTAGTGGATATGGAGTTTGGGAAGATGAAAAGTGTTCTGGAGATGGATGGTGGTGATGGTTGCACAATCATCTGAATGTACTTAGTGCCATTGAACTGTCCACTTACAAATGGTTAAAATCATAAATGTTATGATATGTACATTTTACTGCAATTTAAAAAATAAACTTAGAAATTATTAACCCTAAAATAAAAGATTAATAAATTAAAATCACACAGTTATTGTTCATCAAAAGCCACCATAAAACAATCAACAAAGTAAAAAGATAACTCACAGAATGAGAGAAAATATTTGCAAATTATTCATCTGACAAGGGGTTAATAACCAGAATATATAAGGAGCTTGAACAACTCTATAGAAAAATATCTACTAATCCAATTTTTAAATGGGCAAAAGATCTGAAGAGACAGTTCTTAAAAGAAGACATACAAATGGCAAACAGGTACATGAAAAGGTGCTCAACATTGCTGATCGTCAGAAAAGTGCAAATAAAAGCTACAATGAGATATCATCTCACCCCTGTTAAAATGGCTTTTATCCAAAAGACAGACAGTAACAAATGCTGATGAGGATGTAGAGAAAACGAAACCCTCATACACGGTTGGTGGGAATGTAAATTAGTGCAACCACTTGGAGAGCAGTTTGGAGATTCCCCAAAACACTAAAAACAGAGCTATCATATGATCCAGCAATCGCACTGCTAGATAAATACCCAAAAGAAAGGAAATCAGTATATTGAAGAGATACCTACACTCCCATATTTATTGCAGCACTATTCATAATAGCCAAGATTTGGAAGCGACTTACTGTCCCTCAACAGACAATGGATAAAGAAAATGTGGTACATGTAGACAATGGAGTACTATTCAGCCATTAAAAAATAAGATCCAGCTAGGCACAGTGACTCACACCTGTAATCCTAGGGCTTTCTGAGGCTGAGACAGGCGATTGCTTGAGCCCAGGAGTTTGAGACCATCCTGGGCAACATAGCAAGATCCCGTCTCTACAAAAACAAGCAAAAAAGTTACCCAGGCATGGTGGTGTATGCCTGTAGTCCCAGTTACCCAGGAGGCTGAGGCAGAAGGATCACCTGAGCCTGAGAGGTCAAGGCTGCAGTAAGCCATGATTGCGCTACTGCACTCCAGCCTGGAAGACAGAGTGAGACCCTGTCTCAAAGAGAGAGAGGTCTTGTCATTTGCAAGAACATGTATGGATCTGAAGTCATTACATTAAGTGAAATAAGCCAGGCACATAAAGACAAACTTTGCATGCTCTCCCTTATTCGTGAGAGCTAAAAATTTAAACAACTGAACTCATGGAGATAGAGAGTAGAATGACAGTTACTAGAGTCTGGGAAGGATAGTGGAGGTGGGGGATGTGGGAATGGTTAATGGGTACAAAAACAGTTAGATAGAATAAATAAAATCTGGTATTTGATAGCCCAGCAGGGATACTATGGTGAATAATAACTTAATTGTACATTTTAAAATAACTAAAAGAGTATAATCGGATTGTTTGTAACATAAAAGATAAATGCTTGAGGTGAGGATATCCCATTTACCCTGATATGATTATTAGACATTGTATCTCTGTATAAGAATATCCCATATATCTTATAAATATATATATATATATACCTACTATGTACCCACAAAAAATAAAAATTGAAAACAAATTTTTAATTATCTTTAAAAAGCCTCCATAAACGTGAAAACAAAAAACCAAAGGAATATATTTGGAAAACCCATAACCAACAAAGGATTAGTATCAAAAAAAAATTCATACATATCAATTTTTTTAAAGGCAAACAAATCAAGAGAAAAATGAACAAAATACATGAACAGACATTTTATAGAATAGGAAACATTAAAGGCCCAAAGACATATAAAATGTGCTTAACCTTATTAGTGGTTAGGAAAATGAAATTAAGACCATGAGTTACCACTTTATACTTTCCAGTTTGGCAAAAATTCAAAGTCTAATAAGATTATGTATTTTCAATGATGTATGTAGCTCAAAGGGGACTCTTAAGTGCCGCTGATTGGAGTGTAAATTGATGTAATCATTTTGGAAGATAATTTAACATTTTTTAAAAAGTTAAACACTTATATGCCCTACGACCCAGCTGTTCTACTTTTAGGTATGAAACCCTTATATTTTTAGAAACTCTTGTAAACATATACCATGTACAAGAATTTTCATAGCAGAATCATCAAAGCAAAAGAACATAAAGCAATTTAAATGTCCACTGTCAACAGAAGAATGAATCATTTTAGTAGAATCATATGATATATTTTACAATGAAGACAAACAACAGCTATATGCTATATTACGTCTACTCTTATGAATATAATATTAAATGAGAGTATGTTTCAAAAGGCTACATATGATGTAATATTTCTACAAAGTTCTAAAGCAATATATTATTTAGAAGTACATGTAAATATAACTTTTTTTTAATGAAAGGGAATGCTAAACATAAAATTGGGAATGGTGGCTATCTCTGAATATGGGGAGACAGAGAATGGGATGGAAAAAATGCACACAGATAGATGTTACAGTGTTGGTAATAATATTGTTAATAAGTTGGGTGGGTGGGTTCATTCTGTTGTAATACTCCACTGCTTATATGTATGTTCCACATATCAAATATTACTAAAGTATTTTAAAAGATAATTATCTTTATACCATACATCTTATACTATATACCTCAATTTTAAGTGGGTTAAAAACCCAAATGTGAAGGGCACAACTAATTAGGAAACTACTGAAAATGATCTTTTTAAATGGACAAAAATTGTATATATTATCATATACAACATGCTGTTTTGAAATACACACACATTGTGGAATGGCTAGATTGATAGATTGAGCTAATTAACTTAAGCATTGCCTCACATACTTTCTTTTTCATGTTGTGAGAACACTTAAAATTTACTCTTAGCAATTTTCAAGAATATAACACATTGTTATTAACTATAGTCATCATAGTATACAATAGATCTCTTGAAATTGTTCTTTGGATCTCACTGAAATTTTGTATCCTGTGACCAACATCTCCCCAAACTGTACCCCAGCCCACAACCACAGACCCTGGTAACCATCATTCTATTCTGTTTCTATGAGTTTAACTTTTTTATACTCTGCATATAAGTGATGTCATGTGGTATTTTCTTTCTGTGCCTCTTATTTCACTTAACATATTGTCTTCCAAGTTTATCCATGTTGTTGCACATAATAGGGTTTCCTTCTTTTTTAAGGCTGAATAGTATTTCATTGTGTACATATACCACATTTTCTTTAGCCACTCATCTGTTTATGGACACTTAGGTTGATTCCGTGTCTTGGCAATTGTGAATAATACTGCAGTGAACATAGGACTGCAGATGTCTCTTCTGCATACTGATTACTAATTTCATTTCCCAGTAGTGGAATGGTTGGACCAAAAAATATCTTTATGACCTCAAAATAGGAATGGATTTCTTAAGCAAGACACACACACATACACATAGTGCACAAACCATAAATAAGTAGATTGATTAAAAAAATTACTATATTAAGATTTAAAACATCTGTATCCAAAGATACACTAGACAAAGTAAAAAAAAAAAAAAAAAAAAAAAGATAGCCAGGCACTGTGGCTCTCGCCTGTAATCCCAGCACTTTGGGAGGCCAAGGCAGGCAGATCACCTGGGAGTTTGAGACCAGCCTGGCCACCATGGAGAAACCCCATCTCTACTAAAAAACACAAAAATGAGCCGGGCGTGGTGGCAGGCGCCTGTAATCCTAGCTACTCGGGAGGCTGAGGCAGGAGAATTGCTTGAGCCCAGGAGGCAGAGGTTGCAGTGAGCCAAGATCACGCCACCACGATAGAGGTGAGACTCCAGCCTGGGCGATAGAGTGAGACTCCATCTCAAAAAAAAAAAAAAAAAAAGAAAAAGAAAAGAAAAAAGACAAGTTACAAACTAGAAGAGATTTGCAGTGCATTCAATGGACAAAAAGGATATATTAAGAACTCCCTAAAATCAATTTAAAAGCAAAAAATAGAAATCAAAAATGGACAAAGGATAGGACAGGCAAGTTACAGAAAATAAAATAAATAAATGGCAAATATATGTATGTAAAGATATTTAACTTCACCAGCAATCAAAAAATGTGAATAAAAACCACAATGAAATGTAATTTAACATCTCACAGGCTGGCAAAAATATTAAAGTCTGATAATATCAACTGTTGATGACAATATGGAGCCTGGGCAATTCTCACACATTGCTAGGGGAGGAGAAATTTGTTCAACCACTTTGGGGGCAACCTGGCAATATCCAGGAGAGCTGAAAATGTACATATCCCTCTGTAACCCAGAGACCCAGTACTAGGATTCACCTTCTCACACATGTGCACAGGGAGATGTGTACAAGAAGGTTTCCTGTAACATTGTCTATAATAATGAAAAATAATAAATATCCTAAATATCCATCAATAGGAGGCTAAATAAAATATTTAATATTCATAAATGGAATTTTGTAGCAGTAAAGTGAATAAACTATCTGTAGTTTATGGATAACTTAAAAATTGGTTTAATAAAGTGAACCACAAAATGATATAAATATCATTTTGCACAGTTAAAAATATGCAAGGTAGGTCTCCATATTGTGTGTGGACACATCCATATGTATGTGTGCATACCTGGTGGTGAACCCCGAGGAAGGAGCCACAGAATTGCATTAGAAAGAGATGGGGCTTCGATTGTATCTCAACGTTTTCTTTCTTAACCTGGGTAGTCTTGCACTTGGGTTATTATTGTATTATTCTATATTTTAATCATACACAAAGAGAAGATGATTCTATGACAAAAGATTTCTCCCTTTAAAACAGGAAAGCGAGCTTTTCATGGCATCAGGAGAAACGGTGAGTAGGAAGATGTTGTGGTGTTCTTGTTTCCCTTCTCAGTGGTTCTGAGTCTGCAATTACTATTTTCACAGTTGGAGACAGTCACCTGGATAATTCCCTTTCTTACCAATAAACCTTACTAGCAAGGCTGTGGGCTTAGATACTCACTGTGTATGGTTTTTGTCATTTCTCTCTTTTCTCGGATGAGCTGTTTACGTCTCTCTCTCCATTCTTTGTTAAGTTTTTGCTGCTTGGAATTTTCCTCCTGGAGCTCATGGATTCGTTCTTGCAGCCGTCTCAAGGCATGGTTAGAGAAGACCAAAGTACCAGAAAGATCGCTAGGTATTTCTCCAAATACCACATACTCTATCTACAAGCATAAAACAAATCAAAAGAAAATAGACAAAAACACAGATTTTGTATGGCAACAGAAAGCATAAGAGGTGCACTTCCTTCTTTGCCCCTTGTTTAGCTCCTTGCCTTTGGGCTTCTACGTCTTCCTTACTGAGTAACAGTAGCCAGGCAAACACAGAAAGATGCTGTCAGACAGAAAGCCACATCACGTCTCTGTGGGGATAGCAAATCCTCCCACACAGATCATGCCTATTATCTACTGCATAATGATGTGACAAACATTTCAGGGCTGGCATACTAGGCAAACCGCTCCATTTAGCTCATCCAGTTTGGGTCAGGTTACACAAAACATATATAAGGCTGATCTTGTTGTTGTTGTTTTCCTAAAATACAGCTTTTTCTCTTAACCTGACAAAGGAGAATACAATAAGCCTTTTCTCTTAATGATATGTATTCCTGCAATTTAATATAAGTTGCAATTCAAATAGAAATGAACAAGAAAAGTAAAAAAGAGAAAATATTTTCCTTTTGTCCTGACCTCCCTCACCAATGAGTAGAGACTAAGCAAAGGTCATTTTAGCATGATTAGTCCATGTATAGATAAAGATGGTGTGAAAAGTGGCATGGGTATAAGAGCCAAGATTTCACCCTCTGAGCCATTGCATTCTTAAATCATAGGCTCCTCATTTCTCTAGACTTGAAATGACTGATTTCCAAAGTGCTAATGGGCCACAGGGAAATATCCATGTTTTGATGTTACTCTTTTATAACAATCTGACAGTGGATAAGACAAGTGTAGGTGTCATTCTACAGGTGGAATTCTCAACAAAGAACCACGATTCTCCCCATTAGTGAACTATGAATCTTTCTCTGAAAAGCTTGGGTGTGATGACTCTTCTCGGACAGGATGGAGCAGCCTCCCCAGACGCATCACCTGGTGGAGCTTGAGCGGAATCACAACTAGCAGTTCATTCAGCCGCTGCTGCTTCTCTCGCTGATAAGCCTCCAGGGCCTCCTCTGCTGCATTCAGATTAGTTGCCACAATTTTCACCTGTAGAAAGCCCCGTGTTGTGAAATGGTGACAAGACTCAATAAACATACATCTAAAGATGGTGAATGAAGGCATCTTGGGAGGAAGTAAAGCATGAGCAGAATCTGCTTTGTTGGGCTGTGATTAAGTGCATGATCCCAGTTTGCAACTCAGGAATGCATATTATTTTCTTTCTGCCAAGTTATGATCCACATCACTCTTCAGTCATTTCTATGACTCCAGAGTTATAAAGTTTTGTGAATAAGAGCCCAGAAGACATGTCCTCATCTCCCTTTTATTTTCTGCATGAAAAGCAGCCCATCAGCATGGAATGTCTTTGACAGAATGGTGGGAGTCTTTTTTGGTCATGACTTCAACAAATTAAAGAAAGTTTCAGTGCTTTAAAGCAATGAAACTGCTAACTATAGTATTTCTAAAGCACATTCTCCATGTCCTAGAAAACCTGAAAGTTTTCCAAATCATTTCCTGTTTGCAAGAGGAGAAATAATACATCAAAAATATTTCTGAACATGAATGAAGTTAAGTGATGTTGCTCTAGACAAGAGTACCTAAGAGGGAAAGTGAGCAGATTAAGGCAGAAATTGGTGGTCTCCAACATGGGATGCATGCACCCCAGATGATCAACAAAATCATCTATTGGGGTATAAATTGAAAATGTCAGAGTTTCTATTTCTATTTATTTTTATCTCATTCTATTTAATTTCTGTTTTTGTGGATGTTTCCTATTGTACAAGATACATAATAGTTCATAAATACAATTTATAAATACATATACATTTATTGTATGGGGAGGGGCTCCATTTTCATTTTTTTTACTTATACAGTCATCAGAAAAGTCTGGAGACCAATGACTGACATAAAGTAAGTCCAATGATCAAAAAAGCAATGTCCCCCACCACAATTTAGGGAGAAAAAAACCTGCCCTTAACATTTGAAATGTTTCTTTTCTGAGAAGTCCTAATATTGTCATTGCTATAAAAAGGCAATATTATAGCTAGGAGGATGTGTAGCATTTTGAGAGGATAAATAAGTAAACAGATCACCATACTTTTTTTGACAATGTATCATATTCCTTTTTGAGGTTATCAACAATTTTCTTTTCTTCAACTAAAGCCTCCTCAATGTCCAGCCTTTTCTCTCGAAGGTGAAGGGCCAGCTCAAAAAGAGCCACATCACAATCTGCCAAGAGAATTAAAATAAAAACCAGCCTCATTTGTTATGGAATGTGGTAGTACTAAAATTGTGAACTTTGGAGATTCAGAATCAATAATGTCTATTTATGGATCCACTCTAGCCAGCTTTTAAGACACTTATGGCTTAATTGTTCCAGGTTGAAATTATTAGTATTACTAATAACCATAAAATAATAATAGTATTGATGTTGTGAGCAGTACTCTGAAGCAGGCTTTGTGCTAAGCCCTTTATGTATGTTATCTCACTCAAGGCTCATAGACCCTGCAAGGCAGAAACTATTATTCCCATATATAGGTGAATACCTTAAGTCTCAGAGAGGTGACATAACCAGTACATAACAGAATGGGATTCAAGTGCATTATCTCTCTATTATTTCCACAATATCACACTAAGAGCCACCTTTATCCACCAAGTAATAGAGAATGTAGAAATGGAATACTAAAATAGAATTCAGGAAGCTTAGATCTAGCCCTAGTGCTATCACCATACTAACTGTGAGTCATTCTTCAAGCCATTTAATTATCCTGCTAAAAAATAATGAGTTGGCATTAGGTTTGTGTGCTCTATTTCACTCATAAATATTATGATTTTTAAAGACCATTGTATTCAAAAGTAAAACAAGATAAAAACTTTATCTGAAATTAAACTTTTAAAATTTAATTAAAACTTTATTTGAAATGTCTAGAAAAACAAATTACAGATCCCAAAACTTGTTTTTTCTCTACTGAACCGTTCATCTATTGAGACTGCAAGAAATTGGTCTGGCTGCTCCAGACTGGTTTCACCAGTGAAAACAGTGAATGTAAATTGTCAAGCATTTCCAGGAAACTAGTCAAAATGCCCTTACAAAACAGATCTGCAACACAAAAATTTGAATAGGTTTGTCAAAAAGGGAGATTCCTGTAAAATATATATGTAAATTACAGTCTGGCATTTCTCTATAAAATTAAACTTGCTACATAACTTATAACTCTGAATCAACTGTCAATTGTCTGCATATTATTTGTCACTCATAAATGGCTGCCTAAGAGAACAGATAATAAATCACCCAGAGAGCCCCCAAAAGTATTCATTAATGTTTTCCCTGACCATACTATTGGAAATAGCAATGTGCCTCTCCATCCCCACTCCTGCACTCCCTTCATTTCTTTTCCCATAGTATGTACCACCTTCTAAGATTCTGTTTAATTGACTTCTTATATTTATTGTCTTTCTCCACTAGACTATAAGCTCCATGAGGATGAAGGAGTTTGTTTTATACTTTGATGTATCCTTAGCATCAGATAAGTGCCTGGCACATAGTAGAAGTTGAATATTATTGAATAAAGAAATAAATATCCTAGCTAGGCACGATGGCTCACGCCTGTAATCCTAGCACTTTGGGAGGCTGAGGCAGGTGGATCATGAGGTCAGGAGATCAAGACCATCCTGGCTAACACGGTGAAACCCTGAAACCCCGTCTCTACTAAAAAAAATACAAAAAATTAGGTGGGCGTGATGGCATGCGCCTGTAGTCCCAACTACTCGGGAGGCTGATGCAGGAGAATAGCTTGAACCCGGGAGGTGGAGGTTGCAGTGAGCCGAGATCGTACCACTGTACTCCACCCTGGGTGACACAGCTAAACTCTGTCTCAAAAAAATAAATAAATATCCTTACACTTAAAAAAAGGTATTCATTAGACTCTATAACATACATTTTGAACTATCCTTTTTTTGAATTATCAGAGCACAGAGAAACCAAAAAGGGTCTTCCCAGTATTGCCAATCAATATTCACACTTCACAGAGAACACGTGGTTTTATCTAACTTACTTGTTGGGCAAATAGAATCATCAAAAACCTCATCTTCTGATTCAGACTCATCTTCATCACTCTCCAAGCTAGATTCTTCTTCACTTGATTCCTCACTCTCCTCATCTTCATCTATGGAAAGAGGAGGGCATTGTTAACAAAGAAGCTTCTATATTAAACTAAATACTAGATTTTTAAAGTAAACTATTTTTCAATGAGTTAGTCACTAGAAAAATAACTCAATATAAGAGTTTAAAATGGTTAAGGACACAAAGAACACAAACCCAAATGCCTGCAGAGGGTTGTGCAGTTACTATCAATGCAAGTCAGAGGCTGAGACCAAGTTCCCAAGCTGCAGATGTTGTAGTCCACCTAAAACACAGTTAGTGAAACAGACCCACAATTCCTAACTCATAAGATGCTCTAAAATCAGACAAAAATTTTTTTTTCTTTTTTTTTTCTTTTTTCTTTTGAGACAGGATCTGGCTTTGTTGCCCAGGCTGTAGTGCAGTGATGCAATCTTGGCTGACTGCAACCTTCACTTCCTGGGCTCAAGCAATCCTCCCACCTCAGCCTTCTGAGTAGCTGGAATTACAGGCACACACCATTATGCCCAGCTAATTTTTGGTTTTTGTTTGTTTGTTTGTTTTGTAGAGACAGGGTTTCGCCATGTTGCCCAGGCCGATCTTGAACTCCTGGGCTCAAGGGATCTGCACAACTGGGCCCCACAAAGTGCTGGGATTACAGGCTTGAGCCACTGTGCCTGGCCCTGAAAAGATTTTCATAAGTTATCTGAAATAAAGTAATGACATTTCTAGTCTTTATTTAACTTGGTATGAATATTCATGTTTTGCTGCAGAAGTACTAAGATGTTTGATTTTGGGATTCTGTACCAGAACTTGCTAGTGGTATCATGTTGACAAAGACTCTCTCCTTTGACCCCACTTGAGTCAGGCTTCTCTGAGTCCTTTTTCTGACTAGTTCCTGACCTTGAGCTGTGTCCTTAACCTATTTAGTCCAATTCTAGCAAGAATCCTGCAAGTTAATTTAGAAAAAATTTCCCACTTCTCCCAATGGAGAGAACTTGATATCTGATCAAATTCCTCATCACTCCACCTGTATTATCTTATTACCTGGCTTGCCCTCAGCAAAAGTCCTGTTAAAACAGTCTAGAGAAGAATTACCCTACTTCTTAGTAATTTTCTGTCCACTGACGCCCACTCTGTTCCTTGGCTATAAATCTCCACTTGTCCTTGTTGTATTCAGAGTTCAGCCCCATCTCTCTTCCCTGCTACAAAACCCCATTATAGTAGCCCCCCTGAATAAAGTCTGCCTTATTGTTTTTAATAAGTGTCAGGAATGATTTATTTATAATATCATATCATATATAATATCTTCAGAAATATTTCTGAACACAAAAATACATCTGTCCCTAAGGGTTTTGGATAAGGGGTTGTAGACCTTTCCACTCCAACCTGCCCCACTTTCTTTCAAAACACCCTGAGGTCATCTATGAACTACAGATCACCAATTTACAATTTATAAATACAACTAAACATTATATGCAAAACAAACATAAGAAGACTCTGAAAAAATGGAGAGAAGAAAGTAGAGCAACTATGCACCTTAGAACCTGAGGAACAACACTGTGGCGAGTTCCTTGGATATTCTTTTAGCCTCATCTACCTCAGACTTGGAGAAGAATAAGTTGGCAGCCTAGAAACACCAACAGATCTATAGACACAGAAAGCCTCAACAAAAGCTTGCTCTCTCTAGCCAAAGGACCAGGGAAGGGGCAGCCTAGCAGGAGAGAAAACTTTTAGACAGTAACTCTTCTATTCCAACCAAACACCACAGAAAAACTCTGGTACAATCCCCAACTAAATCAGCAAAGGTTAAGTGGAGAGGCTAGACATCCACCCTCACAGGGCTGTAACGAGGTGTCCCAACACTCCCACTGGATGGTGTTAGAGAAGGGCAAGCAGGGAGCCAGTACATTTATTCATGCTGGCTGGTAACCAGCCTCACCCCCACCCTCACCACCAAGATGCCTGTGGAGGCCATGTGATAGCCTGGACTTCCACTCCCAAGGTCAGTAATAAGGTACTCTCCCCTCTCCCCTCAGGGGTGGTATCAGAAGAACATTAATAGAGAATCAGGACTTTCATCATTATCCATAAGTACTTGCCATCCCCACGATGTTGATCACAGAAACTACATGTGGAGCTGGAACCCACACCCATACATAGCAGTATCAAAGAGGCCCCCTATCCCTTGGGTGACAATGAAGTCTGAATGGGGAATATAGACTTCTACCTCCACCAACAGTAAGGAGACTCCCATCCCTTTCCTTGTCAGATTAGTGTTTGAGAAATTTGAGTAAAACAGAAAATTTAAATAAGATACAAAGTCTCATAATACAACATGAAAGTTTTTAGGATTCAATTAAAAGTCACTCATACCACAAACCAGGAAGATATCTGATATGGTTTGGATCTGTGTTCCCACCAAATCTCATGTTGAACTGTAATCCCCAGTGTTGGAGGAGGGGCCTGTTGGGAGGTGATTGGATCATCAGGGAGGAATCCCTCGAATAGTTTAGCACCATCCCCTCAGTGCTGTTCTCATGATAGTGAGTGAGGGAGTCATCATGAGAGCTGGTTGTTTTAAAAGTGTGGTGTGTAGTGCCTTCTCTCTCACTCTCTTGGTCCTGCACCTGCATTATAAGATGCCTGCTCCTGTTTTGGCTTCTGATGTGAGTTAAAGCTCCCTAAGGCCTCCCCAGAAGCAGGTGCTGCCATGCCTCCTTTATAGCCTGTGGAACCATGAGCCAATTAAACGTCTTTTCTTATAACTTACCCAATATCAGGTATTTCTTTATAGCAATGCAAGAATGGACTAATGCAATCTCCAACTGAGTGAAAAAAGAAAACCAATAGCTGTCAACACTAAGATGACAGAGATATTAGAATTATCTGATAAAGTATTTAAAACAGCCATGATAAAAATGCTTCCATTAGCAAAATTTGAACATACTTGAAGGAAATGAAAAAATGCAAAGCCTCAGCAAATAAATAGAAATTATAAAGAACTAAGTGAAAATTTAAGAACTGAAAAATACAATAACCAAGTGATATGGTTTGGCTCTGTGTCCCTACTGAAATCTCATCTTGAATTGTACTCCAATAATGCCCACATGTTGTGGGAGGGACCTGGTGGGAAATAATTTGAATCATGGGGGCAGTTTCCCCCATACTGTTCTCATGGTAGTGAATAAGTCTCATGAGCTCTAATGGTTTTATCAGGGGTTTCTGCTTTTGCATCTTTCTCATTTTCTCTTGCTGCCACCATGTAAGAAGTGCCTTTCACCTCCTGCCATGTTTCTGAGGCATCCCCAGCCATGTGGAAGTGTAAGTCCAATTAAACCTCTTTTTCTTCCCAGTCTTGGTTATGTCTTTATCAGCAGTGTGAAAATGGACTAATACAGTAAATTGGAACCAGTAGAGTGGGGCGCTGTTGAACAGATATCCAAAAATATGGAAGCGACTTTGGAACTGGGTAACAGGCAGAGGTTGGAACAGTTTGGAGGGCTCAGAAGAAGACAGGAAAATGTAAGAGAGTTTGGGACTTCCTAAAGATTTGTTGAATGACTTTGACCAAAAGTCTGATAGTGATATGGACAATAAGGTCCAGGCTGAGGTGGTCTCAGATGGAGATGAGAAGCTTGTTGGGAACTGGAGCAAAGGAGACTTTTGTTAGTTTTAGCAAAGAGACTGGGGGCATTTTGCCCCTGCCCTAGAGATTTGTGGAACTTTGAACTTGAGAGAGATGATTTAAGGTGTCTGGCGGGAGAAAATTCTAAGCAACAAAACATTCAAGAAGTGACTTGGATACTGTTAAAGGCATTCAGTTTTGTGTGTGTCTGTGTGTGTGTGTGTTTTTTTTTTTTTTTTTTGAGACCAAGTCATGCTGTCACCCAGGCTGCAGTGCAGTGGCACCATTGCCACTCACTGCAAGCTCTGCCTCCTGGGTTCACATCATTCTCCTGCCTCAGCCTCCCAAGTAGCTGGGACTACAGGTGCCCGCCACCATGCCTGGCTAATTTTTTTTTTTTTTTTTTGTATTTTTAGGAGAGATGGGGTTTCACCGTGTTAGCCAGGATGGTCTCCATCACCTGACCTCATGATCCGCCCACCTCAGCCTCCCAAAGTGCTGGGATTACAGGTATGAGCCACCCCGCCCAGCCTAAAGGAATTCAGTTTTAAAACGGAAACAGAGCATAAAAGTTTGGAAAATTTGCAGCATGACAATGTGATAGAAAAGAAAAACGCATTTTCTGAGGAGAAATTCAAGCTGGCTGCAGAAATTTGCATAAGTAAATTGAGGAATGTTAATTCCCCATTGTTGTAGGGAATGTTAATCCCCAAGACAATGGGGAATATATCTCCAGGGCATGTCGGAGGCCTTCACACAGCCCCTCCCATCACAGGCCTGGAGGCCTAGAAGAAAATGGTTTCTTGGGGAGGGCCCAGGGTCCCCGTGCTGTGTGCAGCCTAGGGACTTGGTGCCCTGAATCCCAGTCACTCCAGCCATGGCTGAAAGGGAAAAACATAGAGGTGGGGCCATGGCTTCAGAGGGTGCAAGCCTCATGCCTTGGCAGTTTCCACATAGTGTTGAACCTGTGAGTGCACAGAAGTCAAGAATTCAGGTTTGGGAACCTCCGCCTAGATTTCAGAGGATGTATGGAAATGCCTGGATACCCAGGCAGAAGTTTGCTGCAGGGGTGGGGCACTCATGGAGAACCTCTGGGGCAGTGTGGATGGGAAATGTGGGGTCAGAGCCCCCACACAGAGTCCCTACTGGGGAACTGCCTAGTGGAACTGTGAGAAGAGGACCACTGTCCTCCAGACCCCAGAATGGTAGATCCACCAACAGCTTGCACCGTGCACCTGGAAAAGCCGCAGACGCTCAATGCCAGCCCGTGAAAGCAGCTGGGAGGGAGGCTGTATCCTGCAAAGCCACAGGGGTAGAGCTGCCCAAGACCATGGGAACCCACCTCTTGGATGTGAGACCTGGAGTCAAAGGAGATCATTTTGGAGCTTTAAAATGTGACTGCCCTGCTGGATTTCAGACTTGCATGGGCCCTGTAATCTCTTTGTTTTGGTCAATTTATCCCATTTGCAATGGCTTTACTTACCCAATACCTGTAGCCCCATATTATGTAGGAAGTAACTAGCTTGCTTTTGATTTTACAGGCTCATAGACAGAAGAGACTTGCCTTGCCTCAGATGAGACTTAGGACTGTGGACTTTTGGGTTAATGCTGAAATGAGTTAAGACTTTGAGGGACTGTTGGGAAGGCACGACTGGTTTTGAAATGTAAGGACATGAGATTTGGAGGGGCAAGGGGGCGGAATGATATGGTTTGGCTCTGTGTCCCCATTGAAATCTCATCTTGAATTGTACTCCCGTAATTCCCACATGTTGTGGGAGGGACCTGGTGGGAAATAATTTGAATCATGGGGGCGGTTTCCCCCATACTGTTCTCATGGCAGTGAATATGTCTCACAAGATCTAATGGTTTTATCAGGGGTTTCCACTTTTGCATCTTTCTCATTTTCTCTTGCCACCACCATGTAAGAAGTGCCTTTTGCCTCCCACCATGATTCTGAGGCATCCCCAGCCATGTGGAAGTGTAAGTCCAATTAAACCTCTTTTTCTTCCCAGTCTTGAGTATGTCTTTATCAGCAGTGTGAGAACAGACTAATACACCAAGATAAAAACTCAATGAATGAACTCAACAGCAGAATAGAAAGGAGACAGAAGAGAATCAATAAATGTAAAGACTGAACAATAGACATCATCCAATTTGAAAAACAGAAAGAAAAGAGCAAAAACAAAACAAAATAAAACCCCAGAGCCTCAGGGACCTTTTGGATTATAATGAAAGATCTAATATTTATGCCATCAGAGTACCAGAAGGAGTGAAGAAAGAGAATGAGGATGAAAACTTCCCTAATTTGACAAAAGACAGGCTAAGGAATTTGAATTCCAAACAGGAGACACCCAAATAAATTTATGCCAAAACTCATCACAATCAAACTTCTGAAAACTAAAGACAAAGAAAAAGTCTTGAAAGCATCAACAGAAAAGTGACACATTAACTATAGGGGATACACAACTTGTATAGCAATGGATTTCTCATTAGAAACCATGGAAGCCGAAAGGAAATGACACAATGATTTTTCAAGTGCTGAAAGAAAAGTAGTGTCAACCTAGGATTCTATACCAAGTGAAAATGTCTTTCAAAAAGGGAAAAATTAAGACATTATCTGATTTTTTAAAAAAATAAGAACATTTGTCACCAGCATGCCTATCCTAAAATAATGGATAAAGAAAATTCTCTAAACAGAAAGCAAACAATAAAAGAAGGAAAACTTGGAACATCAGAAAAGAAGAACATGATAAGCAAAAATATGGGTAAATACAACAGGCTTTTCTCCTCTCTTCGAGTGTTTAAATTATGTTTGATGACTGAAGCAAAAATATAACATTACTTAATGTGGTTCTAGATGTATGGAGAGGAAATATTTATACAAGTATATTATAAATGGGGGAGGGTAAAGGGATGTAATGGTAAGTAAGGTTTTTGTACTTCACTTAAACTGGTAAAATGATGTAAAATGATGGCAAAATGATGACATTGCTAGACTGGGATAAATGATGACATTGGTAGACTGGGATAAATTATGTATATATAATGAAATATAAAGAGCAACAACTTAAACAGTTATACGAAGAGATGTATTCAAAAACACTACAAAAAATTAAAATAGAATCCCCAAAAATATTCAAGTAACCCACAGGAAAGCAGGAAAAATTTTATAAAAGAAAACAGAGAACATAAACAGAAAATAAAAATTAAATAACAGACAAGCTCTAAAATACCAACAATTGTATTAAATGTAAATGGTTTAAATACACCAAAGAAAAGACAGAGATTGCCAGGGTGAATGAAAAACATTATCCAATCATACGCTGACTACCAGAAATTTACTCCAAATCTAATGACAAGCAAATTCAAAGTAAATAGATGGAAAAAGAAATATTATACAAATTTTAATCAAAGCAAAGCAGGAGCAGCTATATTAATGTCAGACAAATAGACTTTAGAGCAAAGAAAATTACCAGAAACAGAAAGAAACCTTACATAATGACAAAAATGTCAATTTACCAAGACGACATGACACTCCTAAATTTGTATGCATAAAACAACAGAGCTGTAAAATATTTGAAGCAAAAACTGATAGAAATAAAAGAAGAAATGAAATAACCCACAATTGTATTTAGATACCTTAACACCCCTCTCTAAACATTTGATAGAACAACTACATAGAAAAGCAGCAAGAATGTAAGAGACCTCAACAGCATCAACAACCAACAGGATTTAAATGACAGTAATTAAAACACTCCACCCAAAACAGCAGAATATACAGACAGTTTCTGACTTAAAACGTTTTGACTTATGATTTTTCAGCTTTATGATGGTGTGAAAGCAATATGCATTTGGTAGAAACCAGACTTCAAGTACTCATACAGCCATTCTGTTTCATTTTCAGTACTATGTTCAATAAATTATATGAGATATTCAATAGCTGATTATAAAATAGGTTTTGTTTTAGATGATCTTGCCCAACTCCAGGCTAACATAAGTGTTCTGAGCATTCTGAAGCCAAGCTAAGCTAAGCTACTATGTTTGGTAGGTTAGGTGTATTAAATGCATGTTTGACTTGTGATATTTTCAATTTAAGATAGGTTTATCAGGACATACCCCATGGTAAATCAAGGAGCATCTATATATTCTTTGCAAGTGCCCAGAGAACAAATACCAAGATAGATCATATGTTAGACCATAAAACAAACCTCAACAATTACAAAAGAATTGAAATAATACAGAATATGTTCTCCGACCACAATGAAATCAAACTAGAAATCAATAACAGAAAGATAACAGAAAAATTCCAAAACACTTTAAACTAAACAACACATTTCTATACAATTCATGGGATACAGAGCAGGTCTCAATAAAAATTTTAAAAACTACATTGACCAGAGTGAAAATTAAAAATCCAACTTAAAATCTGTGAGATGCAGCCAAAGCAGAGTTAAGAGGGAATTTATAGCACTAAATTAGAAAAGAAGAAAAATATCATCAATAATCTAAACTCCCACAACAAAACCTAAACATGGAAGTATAAAATAAACCAAAAGCAAGCAGGAAAAAATGTAATCATAAAGATAAGAGCAGAAATCAATGAAATTAAAAGGAGAAAAACAATAAAGAAAATCCCTTATAACACAAGCTGATTTGTTCTTGAAAAGATCAGTTGAATTGACAAACCTCTAGCCAGACTGAAAAAAAAAGACACAAGTTACCAATATGAAGAATACAGCTGGCTGTAGTGGCTCACGCCTGTAATCCTAGCACTTTGAGAGACCGAGGTGGGTGGATCACTTGAGGTCAGGACTTTGAGACCATCCTGGCCAACACTGTGAAACCCCATCTCTACTAAAAATATAAAAATTAGCTGGGTGTGGTGGTGGGTGTCTGTAATCCTGGCTACTCAGGAGGCTGAGGCACAAGAATTGCTTGAATCTGGGAGGCGGAGGTTGCAGTGAGCCAAGATCACGCCACTGCACTCCAGCCTGGGCAACAGAGCGAGACTCCATCTCAAAAAAAAAAAAAAAGCAACAGGACAAACAGACAAGATGGCCAACTAGAAACAGCCAGGAAGTGCCACTCCCACTGAGAGAGCCTAAATTATGGAGTAAACCACCATAATTTAAAAATGTCTCCAGAGAGAAAATGCCAAGAGTGAATTGAGAGGCAACAGCGAAGGTGAGGCTGAAGAGGAAAGAAGCTGGGAACCCTGAACGGGGTAACCAAACACCAAGGCTCTCCCCAAACAGCTACTGGGAAAGGGATGAGTAAGAGAACTGAGGGATGGCTCACTCTTACCACAGACCTCTGGAATCCTGGCTATAGGGGACCCCATGACTCCCATGGATGTGTGACCTGGCAGGGGGATCTCCCCAGGGAGCAGGCAGAGACTGGCCTTCAGATGACATGGATCCCGAGTGCCTTTGTGCATTGGGCAGCTCTGACAGAGAGCGGCCATAGACACTCATCCCCCAGAGTTCCTCGTCCCTCTCTGGGAGGCATGGGCTCCAGCTGACCTCCAAGCCAGGAGAGAGCAGGGCCGGCTTCCCTTTGGGACTGGGGCACATCTTCTCTGCAAGCCCTCCTGCCTGCCAGTCACTGCCGGGGCCCATGCCTCACCGCCCTGCAGGAGCAGCTATACAACACAGCCTTTGCAGCCCAGCCTGAGTGCATTGCTGCACCTGAGTAGTTTCCTGGCAACCACGAAGCAAATTGGATCCCCCAGTGCAGCTGGAACCTGACCCTGACCCTGAATCTCAAGATATCCCAGTGTCTCCAGGGCCGTGGTGCACAGCTCAAGAGCATGGAGCCAAGATCTATGGCCAGCACTTGAGCTGGGGAGGAGCCCTCACTCTCAGAGAGTATTGAGAGGGGTGAGATGCATGAGTTCCTGGGCTGGGGTGAGAATGGGGCTTTCTTCCTTTGCAGGGCCAGTCCAGAAAAGATGTTGCATATCTCCCTGCTACAGTCTTTTTGCAAGGGGGCCCCATGGCCTGGAACACCCAACAACAACAAAAACACAGGCACAGTGCCAGTGATTGGAGGGGGCTCCCCCAAGGCCCAGGAGTGGACCTGGTGAGTGGCCATCTCTCCCACTCCCTCACCCCTACTTCAGAACACACCTGCAAACACTAGGAAATACTAAAGAGCTGTGCAGCTGGGTATTAATGCAGCTACTGGCCACTACTGGTTTTTTTTTTTAACAGTCTAAAATGACTGAAATGACAAACATAAAATTCAGAATCTGGATGTCAAGGAAGCTCATCAAGATTCAGGAGATAGTTGAAACCCAATCCAAGAAATTCAGTAAAATGATCCAAGAGCCGAAAGATGAAATAAGAAAGAAGAAAACCAAATTTTTAAAGTTTTTAAACATTTTCAGAAAAAAGAAAACCGAACTCCTAGAGCTAAAAAACTCACTACAAGAATTTCATAATATGATTGGAATATTAACAGCAGAATAGACTAAGATGAGGAAAGAATCTCAGTTCGAGGAATGCTTCTTTGAATCAACTCAGACAAAAGTAAAGAAAAAAATTAAATGAACCAAATCTCTGAAACATATGAGATTCTACAAAGAGAACAAATCTATGACTCATTGGTACTCCTGAGAAAGAAGGAGAATAAGCAACTTGGAAAATATATTTGAGAATGTAGTCCACAAAAATTTCCCTAATCTTATTAGAGAGTTTGAAATACAAACTCAAGAAATACAAAGAGCCCCAGCTAGATATGATACAAGATGACCACCCCAAGGCACACAGTCATCAGATTCACCAAGGACAATGCAAAAGAAAAAAATCTTAAAGGCAGCTAAAGAGAAGGGTCAAGTCACATACAGAGAGAAACCCATCAGGCTAGCAGCAGACCTCTGAGCAGAAATCTTACAAGCAAGAAGAGACTGGGGGCCTATTTTCAGTGTCCTTATAAAGAAAATAAATTCGAACCAAGAATTTCACATCCTGCCATACTGTTTCATAAGTGAAGGAGAAATAAAATCCTTCTCAGTAAAGCAAATGCTGAGGGAATAAGTTTCAACTAGACCAGTCTTACAAGAGGTCCTTAAGGGAGTGTTAAACATGGACTCAAAAATAAAAAAACAAAAAAAAACAAAAAAAAAACAATACCCTTTAGCACACAGCTGGCAGGCACTATAAAGCAACTACAAAATCAAGTCTACATAACAACCAGCTAACATCATGATGACAGGATCAAAAATCACACGTATCAATACTAACCTTGAATGTAAATGGGCTAAACACCCCACTTAAAAGCTAGAGTGCCAAACTGGATAAAAAGACAAGAACCAACCATCTGTTGTCTTCAAGAGGCCCATCTCAGATATAATTATACCCATTGGCTCAAAGTGAAAGGATGGAGAAAGATCTACCATGTAAATGGAAAACAAAAAAAGAGCAGGAGTTGCTATTCTTATATCAGATAAAACAGACTTTAAACCAATAAAAATTAAGAAGGATAATGAAGAGCATCACATAATGATAAAGAGTGCAATCCAACAGGAAGACTTAACTATCCGAAATATATATGCACCCAACATTGGAGCACCCAGATTCATAAAACAAGTTCTTCCTGGCCTACAAAAAGACTTAGACAACCACACAATAATAGTGTGAGACCTCAACATCCCACTGACAGCATTAGACAGCTCATCAAGGCAGAAAACTAACAAAAAAACTCTGGACTTAAACTCAACACTTGACCAATTGGACCTAATACGCATCTACAGAACACTCAATCCAACAACTTAGAATATACATTCTTCTCATCTGCACACAGAATATAGTCTAAGATTGACCACATGCTTGGTCATAAAGCAAGAAGAAAAGAAATAACTATAATTAGAGAAGAACTTAATGAAGTTGAGATACAAAAATCCATACAAAAGATTCATGAAACCAAGAGGTTTTTTTCAAAAAAATAAACAAGATTGCTATATCACTAGTTAGATTAACAAAGAAAAGAAAATGAGAAGATCCAAATAAGTACAATTAGAAATGACAAAGATGGCATTACAACTCATCCCACAGAAACACAAAAGATAATCAGAGACTAATTATGAACACTTCTGAGACTATTATGAACACTTCTATGCACACAAACCAGAAAATCTAGAGGAAATGGATAAATTCCTGGAAATACATAATCTCCCAAGATTGAATAAGGAAGAGATTAAAACAGTGAATAGAACAATATTGAATTCTGAAATTGAATCAGTCATAAAAAATAGATAACAATGAAAAAAAGCCCTGCATCAGATGAATTCACAGCTGAATTCTACCAGACATACAAAGAAGAATTGGTACCAATTCTACTGAAACTATTCCAGAAAATTGAGGAGGTATATTAGTCTCTCTCTCTCTCTCTCTCTCTCTCTCTCAATATATATAGATCTATATTTGTTCTGGCAACTGCAAAGCAAATCAGATCCCCCAGTGCAGCTGGAACCTGACCCTGACCCTGACCCTGAATCTCAAGATATCCCAGTGTCTCCAGGGCTGTGGTGCACAGCTCAAGAACATGGAGCAGATATATACATGATATATATATGATATATATTGATATATATGATATATATTACATCTATATATCATATATGATATATATGATATATAGATGTAATATATATCTAGATATACAGTACTTAATGAAGTTATATATGTATATATATAATGAAGTTATATATATGTATATATAATGAAGTTATATATATCTAGATGTATATTATTAAGTATTAAGGAGTTTATTAAGTGTTAAGTCACATGATCACAAGGTCCTAAAATAGACTGTCTGCAAGCTGAGGAGCAAGAAAAGCCAGTCCAAGCCCCAAAACTGAAGAACTTGGAGTTCAATGTTCGAGGGCAGGAAGGGTCTAGCATGGGAGAAAGATGTAGGCTGGGAGGCTAGGCCAGTCTAGTTTTTTCACATTTTTCTGCCAGCTTTATATTCTAGCCACACTGTCAGCTAATTAGAGGTGCCCACCCAGATTAAGGGTGGGTCTACCTTTCCCAGCCCACTGACTCAAAAGTTAATCTCCTTTGGCAGCACCCTCACAGACACACCCAGGATCAATACTTTGCATCCTTCAATCCAATCATGTTGACACTCACCATCACAGGAGGGATTCCTCCCTAAAACATTCTATGAAACCAGCATCAGCCTAATATCAAAATTTTTTGGCAGAGATATGATGAAGAAAGAAAACTTCAGGCTAATATCTCTGATGAGCATAGACGCAAAAATATTCAAAACATACTAGCAAACCAAATCCAGCAGCACATCAAAAAGTTAATTCCCCATGATCAAACAGGCTTTATTCCTGGGATGCAAGATTGGTTCAACATACGTAAATCAGTAAATGTGATTCACCACATAAACAGAATTAAAAGCAAAAACCATGTGATCATCGTAATAGACGCAGAAAAAGTTTTCAAGAAAATCAAACATATCTTCATAATAAAAATCCTTGACAGACTAGGCATTGAGGAAACATACCTCAAAATAATAAGAGCGCTATGTCAAATCCACATAGCCAACATCATACTGAATAGGCAAAAGCTGGAACCATTCTTCTTGAGAAGTGGAACAAGGCAAGAATGCCCACTCTCACCATTCTATTCAACAAAGTACTGTAAGTCTTAGCCAGAGCAATCTGGCAACAAACAGAAATAAAAGGCATCTAAATAGGAAAAGAAGTCAAAATAACTATCTTTGCTGGTGATATGATTCTATACTTAGAAGACCCCAAAGATTGCCAAGAGGCTACTACAACTGGTAAATATTTTTAGCAAGGTTTTGGAATACAAAATCAATATACAAAAATCAGTAGCATTTCTATACATCAATAATGTACAGTCTGAAAATCAAATCAAGAATATAATCCCACTTACAATAGTGACAATAAAAATGAAATACCTGGGAACATAGCTAATCAAAGAGGTGAAAGATCTCTACAAGGAGAATTACAAAACAATGCTGAGAGAAATCAGAGATGACAAAAATAAATGGAAAAACATCCCATGCTCATAGATTAGAAGAATCAATATCATTAAAATGGCATATCCTCCAAAGCAATATACAGATTCAATGCTACTCCTATCAAATTACCAACATCAGTTTTCACACAACTAGAAAAAACTAAAAACTATTCTAAAATTCATATGGAACCAAAAAGGAGCCCAAATAGCCAATGCAATCCTAAAGATAATCCACAAAGCTGGAGGCATCACACTACCTAACTTCAGCTATAAAGCTGTAGTAACCAAAACAGCACAGTACTGGTACAAAAACAGACAGACACATAGACCGCAAGATCAGAATAGAAAACTCAGAAATAAGGTTGTGCACCTACAACCATCTTATCTTCAACAAGGTTGACAAAAACATGCAATGGAGAAAGAAGTTCCTATTTGATAAATGGTGTTGGGATAACTGGCTAGCCATAGACAACCTACAGAATGGAAGAAAATATTCACAAGCTATGCATCCAACAAAAGACCAATATCCAGAATCTATAGCAAAAAACAAATAACTCTATTAAACAATGGGCAAAGGACATGAACATACACTTCTCAAAAGATTACCTACAAGCAGGCAACAAACATGAAAAAAATACTCATAATCACTAATCATCAGAGAAGTGCAAATCAAAACCACAATGAGACACCATCTCACACCAGTCAGAATAACTATTATTAAAAAGTCAAAAAAGAGGCTGGTGAGGCTATGGAGAAATGGGAGCACTTATACACCATTAGTGGGAATGTAAATTAGTTCAGCCACTGTGGAAAGCAGTTTGGAGATTTCTCAAAGAACTTAAAAATGAGCCACCATTTGACCCAGCAATCCTATTAGTGGGTATATACACAAAGGAAAATAGATCATTATACCAAAAAGACATATGCACTCATGTTCATTGCCATGTGTATTAGTCCATTCTCACACTGCTAATAAAAACATATGCAAGACTGGGTAATTTATAAATGAAAGAGGTTTAATTGACTCACAGCTCAGCATGGCTGGGGACGCCTCAGGAAACTTAAAATCACAGTAGAAAGGGAAGCAAACATGTCCTCCTCCACATGGCAGCAGGAAGGAGAAGTGCAGAGTGAAGTTGGCGGCGGGGAAGCCCCTTATAAAGCCATCAGATCTCATGAGAACTCACTCATCATGAGAATAGCAGCATGAGGGTAACCACTCCCATGATTCAATTACCTCCAACCAGATCCCTCCCATACATGTGGGGATTATGGGGACCAAAATTCAAGATGAGATTTCGGTAGGGACACAGCCAAACCATAACACTGTGCTATACACAACAGCAAAGACATGGAATCAACCTAGGTGCCTATCAATGGTGGGTTGGACAAAGAAAATCTACATATACACCATTGAATACTACACAGCCATAAAAAAAGAATGAAATCATGACCTTTGCAGCAACATGGATGGAGCTGGAGGTGATAATCCTAAGCGAATTCACACAGGAACAGAAAACCAAATACTACATATTTTCATTTGTAAATGAGAGCTAAAAACATTGAGCACACATGGACATAAGCACGGGAACAACAGACACTGCAGACTATTAGAGTGGTGAGGGAAGGAGGGGGGCATTGGCTGAAAAACTACCTATTTGGTACTATGCTCACTACCTGGGTGCAATATACCAATGTAACAATCCTGCACATATACCGCCTGTATCTAAAATAAAAGCTGAATTTTTTTTTAGAAAAAAAGAATGCAACAGGTGATATTACTACAGACCCTGTAGACACTAAAAAGATAAGGATATTCATGTATTAATTTGGCATCTTAGATGAAATATACCAATTCCTCAAAAAACCACAAACTACCATGACTCACCCAATATGAAATAGATCATTTGGGCTGGGTGCAGTGGCTCACGCCTGTAATCCCAGCACTTTGGGAGGCCAAGGCCGGTGGAACACAAGGTCAGGAGATCAAGACCATCCTGGCCAACATGGTGAAATCCCGTCTCTACTAAAAACACAAAAAAATTAGCTGGGCATGGTGGCACGTGCCTATAGTCCCAGCTACTTGGGAGGCTGAGGCAGGAGAATCGCTTGAACCTAGGAGGTGGAGGTTGCAGTGAGCACAGATCGCGCCACCGCACTCCAGCCTGGTGACAGAGCAAGACTCCGTCTCAAAAAAAAAAAAAAAAAGAGAGAAATAGATCATTTGAACAACCCTATAACTATTAAGAAAGTTGAATTTGTAATTTAAAAACTCCCCCAAAAGAAATGTTCAAATCCAAAAGCTTTCACTGGTGAATTCTACTAAGTGTTTAAAGAATAATTACCACCAATTCCATGCAAGATCTTCCAGAAAATCAAATGGAAAAGAAAATTTTCTGATTCATATTAAGAAGCTAGTTTTTATTACCCTGATACTAAAACCAGACAAAGACAGTACCAAAAATGAAAACTACAGAAAAATGATCTTCATGAATATAGACAAAAAATTTCTTAATGAAATATTAGCAAATAGAATTAATCAATATATAAAAAGAATTTTGCACTATGCCAAGGAAGGTTTATTTCAGAAATGCAATTCTGATTTAATAATCCATAATTAGCCAATGTAATCTACCATATTAATAGGCTAAAAAGAAAATTACATGATCATGAATCAATGTAGACAGGCATCTGACAAATTTTCACCCCCATTCACGAAAAAAATTCATGAAAAAGAGGAACAGAGGTGAACTTCCTTAACTTAATAGAGTATCTATAAAACACCTACAGGTAATATTATACTTAATATTGAAAATAAAGCAAGAATGTCAGCTTTCAGCACTCACATAGTACTGGATGTTCTAGCCATGCAATAAGGCCAGAAAATGAAATAGGCATCCTGATCAGAAATAAATAAATAAAACTGCCTATATTTGCAGACGAAATTATTAGGTGAAATTATTTTCCCATTATTAATAGCAAAACCCACAATTACTTTTGCACCAACCTAATCATCTACATAGAAATCCCCAAGGAATCTATCAAAACCTCTTAGAACTAATAAGTAAGGTTACGGGATATCAGCTAAACATGTAAAAATCTATTAGTAGCAATGAACATGAGGACACTGAGATTAAAAATACAGTATCATTTAAAATCACTAAAAAAGGGGCCGGGCACAGTGGCTCATGCCTGTAATCCCAGCACTTTGGGAGGCTGAAGTGGGCAGATCACAAGGTCAAGAGATTGAGATCATCCTGGCTAACACAGTGAAACCCTGTCTCTACTAAAAATAGAAAAATTAGCCAGGCGTGGTGGTGGGAGCCTATAATCCCAGCTACTTGGGAGGCTGAGTCAGGAGAGTGGTGTGAACCCGAGGGCGGAGCTTGCAGTGAGCCGAGATCACGCCACTGCACTCCAGCCTGGGTGACAGAGCCAGACTCCGTCTCAAAAAAAAAAAAAAAAATCACTAAAAAAGGAAATAGGTGTAAATCTAACAAAACATGAACATGAATTATATACTGAATACTAGTATACAATTTTGATCAAAGAAACCGAGGTTCTAAATAAATAGAGATATATTGTGCCTTTTTTATTTTTTATTTTTTTTGGAGACAGGGTCTTGCTCTGTCGCCCAGACTGGAGTGCAGTGGCATGATCTCAGCTCACTGCCAGCTCCGCCTCCTGGGTTCACGCCATTCTCCTGTCTCAGCCTCCCTAGTAGCTCGGACTACGGCATATTGTGCTTTCCATTGGAAAACTCAATGTAGTAAAGATACCAGTTGTCTCCAAGTTAATATACAGTTTTAACACAATTACTATCAAATTTCCAACAAGATTTTTTGTAGATATAAAGAAGATTATTCTAAAATACGGAAATATCAAGGAACTAGAATAGCTACAACAATTTTACAAAAGAAGAATAAAGTAGGAGGAGTTAGTCTACCTGATTTAAGGGCTCAATATGTAGCTACAATAATCAAGACTGTAGTATTGGTGAAAATATTGACACATAGATCAATGTAACAGAACCTAGAAATACATCCACACAAAGATGCCCAAATGATCTTGACAAAGATCAAAGCAATTCAGTCGAAGAGAGACAACCTTTTCAACAAATGATACTACAGTAAATGAAAAGGCAAGCTACGCACTAGGAAAAAATATTTGCAAACCACATATCTGACACAAGACTAGTATACAGAATATATAAAGAACTCTCCAAACTCAACAGTAAAAAAAGCAAATGATCCTATTCAAACATGGGCAAAAGGAGACATTTCACCAAATAAGATATACATATGGCAAATAAACACATAAAAAGATGTGCTTATTAACTTAAACTACACTATGCTCACTCATACCAGATACACATAAACATGTGCACACATGTGCAAACAAACATGCACACAGATTAACTCGAGGTGTTGGAAGACCCTAAGGTTTATGTCTTCTCCTCTTTAGCCCCCACAGTGTCTCTACATTGTCCATGTTATAGTGAAAAAAATAAGGTATCTAATAGGTCCCTTAGTTACCTCTCTATTTCATGTTAATGAGAGAAAATAAGATCATATGCAAGAAAGAAATACAAACCAGCATCTCCTTCAACTTCTTTTTTCTTTACCCGTTTAATCTTCTTCTTTAGGACCTTCATGAGGAAGTTTGCAAATTTATTGTTTTCTCCAATGGCTGCTTGAAAACCAGCATAGAGTGCCTTTTCTTGCTCCTGGAGTTTGGTGATTTCATTCTTTTTCTCTTCCATCTCTTTAAGAGTTTCATTTATTTTCCACTAAATGAATAAAAACAAGGACAAATGATAAATATTTCTGATAAACCAAGTTCAGAGAGCAATGTACTTTACAATACAAGGTTACAGTTTACAAATATATTTTTTAAAACTTCTTAAAAGAAGGTTACATTTCTGATGTTTGCAGAGCCATCCATTTATTGGTTAAAATTTTATAATTCCTTTGTAAAAATCAGTCATGTTTAGAATTAGAAAATCAGCTTTTTAGTGCTAAGCATCCCCCCAAAATCTAAATTAAATTGAAACTTTTCCTTGAAATTCCTTAAATTGAATATGTGGATGTCAGCTAATATTTTTGCATGTGTAGTCTCAAAAACCAATGAATTTTTTGTATTGATATATAACTAAAACAAAGAGACATATAATTTCTAGTGAAGCTAATATACCTAAAAATGAATGTTACTATTTAGCATATACTATCTGTTTAATAGAATCTTTCTTATTTTAAAACAAAGCTAGTATAATTTATTTTCTGAAATTTAATATACAAATATAACAAATAAAGGAACCTCATTTCTTATGATATTCAATCATATATTACACTGAAGCTGTCATACTTAAGAAACTCACCAGCTTCTTTTTCAGTTGTTTTCATAAGGATAACATATAATCAAAACTCAATTTTATATCATAGCTTACTTTTTTGTTTTTTAGGGAACCCAACTCACCAGACTGGTGTAGAGTGGCACAATCAAAGGCTAACTTGTGAAAATTTTATTCTTCTACCTTACAGAATATCAGACCAAATTTACTAAAAAATCTGAATCATTTCTCTTTGACCATGAATACTAAAGATGGAGACTAGGTAGGAATAACAGGAAAAAGGAGGAGGGGGAAAGAAGACAAGAAAGAGATAAGGGCTAGAACAAGTGGGAGATTTGAGTTAAGAAGAAAAAGAAATCAAGTTTCTCCATAACTAAGGGACCAGCCAGCTAGGATTCTTCTGCCCACTCATACTTGCATGTACTGTTCCTCTTTGTCTAAGGAATTAACACGTTCTTGAAGTATGTTCTCCTGTTTTTCAAAATTCTTCAGGAGAAGTATTTCTTGAAATAAGGTGACATGGTGCAGGTCAGATAATTTCATCTGAGTATCTAGTTTTAGTTTCTGATGTCTAAGGAGACGGAGTTCTGCATCGAAAGTGACAACCAGTTCTTTGATCTGAGATGGAAAAAATATTTGCGGATACGTTAGAAGACTAGATAAATGCATTTTTAAACTATCTAACAGTACTAATTTGTATGAAGTCATTTTTTATTATGCCCTTATGGATGGAGAATTGTGTGTGTGTGTATAGTCACAAAAATAAATTCATTAATGGCATTAAGTTTACATAAATTAATTTATTAAGTGGTAGGAATTGTGTAACTAGAAGTCCTTCCACCTATTTCTTCACCATTAACTAAGCCATCAATCAAGAATGCCCTTCTTGCTTTACTGTGTAGCTTATGAGCTCTCTGAGTGGGTAGTGTTTCTATCTGTCTCCTCTTTATTCTCCATAGTATCTCTACAATCCCTTTTATATAGTAAGCACAAATAAATACGTTTCCCAACTTCTTATGTTGAAAATTTTCAAAACCACAGAATGGTAAATATTTTTAAATAGATAAAATAATCATGGAGCCACAAAAAACCTGTTCAATCTCTTTCTAAGATTGAAGAAATTAAGGTCAAAGTTACTTTTCCTGATAAGAGCCGAAGTATCCCAAGTCCTGGTCCAGACTTTAATCCATTATGGTCCTACTAATTTTAAGTCCTCAGTTTTGTTCTGATTTTGGTACAGCTTTCCCCCAGCTTTCCCCCCCAGTATCACAAAGGAGATGAAGAGGTCAAGAGAGAGCCCCAAGGGCTGATTCTCCTGAGGAAACTGGAACAATAGGAAGAGACAAACCATTCTATGTTTTTAATTAGTTTGTACATGATAGGTGGCCTCAACTGTCAAAAGCCTATAGTAAGTGAGGACCCAGACTGGGGCTGAGGAGAGAAAGAGATCTGTGGGTTTGGAGCAGTGAAACTACCAGAGAAATTTAGAGAGCTTAAAAAAAAAAAAAAAAAAAAAAAAAAAAAAAACAGAGAGAGAAGAAAAAATTAAACTTTTAAGTAACCATCTCTATAGACTATATGTTTGGGCTCCCCTTTAAAGCTTGTTTAACAAACTTGAATTATTCCTGCATTTATTTGGAGGACCACATAGGTCTCCAAGTCTGTAAGGATTACACTTGTTTTATTCTCTCCAATCCCAATAGCCTATAAGCTTTGTGAAGATAGAGAACATGTCTTTCTTAAGAATTGTTGTATCCCTAATCCTATCTATCAGTGTCCCTGCATACAGAACATCCAATAAATATTTGCTAAATTAATAAATTAGTTACAATTAAATCAATCAAAACTTTTGACTGAATATCTATTATATGTTTGACATTGTCCTAGACTATGTGGAGGAATCAGAAGTATATGTGGCCCTTTGCTCAAGAATTGTGTAATTTAATTTTCAAGACAATACTAATACCCATGAAACAGCAAGGAAAATTAGTGTAAAACATGAGATGCTTATTACAGGTGCAACTGGAGTTTAGAAACAAGGACAGCATAAGTAATGTGGGCGGAAAATGCTGGAGAGGGTTTGGAACTGAGCCATGCTTTGAATGATAACTCAACTCTGGAAGGAAGTCATTACTGGTGGAAGGAAGTCATTACTGGTAGAAGGAAACAGCAAAGGAAAAAGCACAGATGCAAAACTCAGAATGGTGTGGGAGGAAAAGGTGGAGTGGAGAGAGGCAAGAACAGTGAGAAAACAGGGCTGGACAAAGAAGAGATAATGGTGAAGAATAAGGCTGGGAAGCTACTGAGGGCATCACCACAGGGTGAAGCTGGAAAGACACACTGAGGAAAGGGAATCTACATGGCTGACAGCAGAGAGTTATCTATCCAAGAAAGGTTATTCTTTCATATTCAAAGAACATCCTGCCCAACAGGCCCTAGTCTGGTCCTGAATTTCCTAGAAATAAGAATAGTCGCCATTCCAGCTCCAGAACAATCTCAAACCCAGTAATCACCATAAACACTTCTACTAATGGAACAAACCACATATTAGAGAAAAAGGATGGTGTGAAAAGCAGAGGGTGCCCTGTTTCTCTGGAAAATTCTTAGCTATGTTCCATCCATTATCTATGTTCCATCCATCATCTAAAAGCTGCTCCTCCACTTCCCCTTTACGATGACTTCAGTTAGATGCCAAGTAACTGAAACATGGGCTTCCCCTTCATTCTTTGTCAGCTTTCCAAAACAAAAAAAAAAGTTTAAAAGCTCTGTAGTTCTGGGAAGAGCACAGTGATTTCCAGAAGGCCAAGGATGGGGAGGAAGCCAAGCCATCACTGAGTGGTAAGCTGGTCAGGGTTTGGGAAAGGTTCATGCAGAGAAATTTTAAATAAATAAACAAAAAACCCGACCCAATTTTTTCCCTTCTCTTCTCTCTTTCAGCTTTAACTAGGAACAGGTTCACCCCTTACCCTGTTGACCAAATACTGTTGCATGTACACGTGTTTAATCTCGTCTCTCTTCATAATTTCCAGCTCCACATCCGTTGGCTCTGCTTTTTCAAATTCCAAACACTTTGGTATATCTAGGCTGAATGTTGATGCCTTTGATGATCTAGATATTGAATCACGGGTTGTCAAATCCCCATCCTTTCTAGAAGAGAGTTTGAGGAATCCTCCAACTGGGCCTCCAGACCCTGTCTGTTCCACTCCGGGGGACTTTTCATCTTTACTTTTCATTTGCTGTTGCTTAAAATTTAGGAGAGTTTCTTCATCATACTGAAATCTCTTTTCTGGAACTTCTTCTGGGTGTATCTGAGGAATTTTGGGAATGGGTATGTGCTTGGATATGTGAAGAGTCGACTGAATGTTCTTCAGTTCTTGTACCAGGCACTGTATTTCCTCAACAACAGCCACTTTAAGGTCTCTAAGAGAGAGAATGCACTTGTTCATGTGCCTTTTATTTCCATGGACCTGAAAAAAAGAAGAGGAAGGAAACAACAGTACAACCCTCTGACAAATAACTGTATGGAATATGATCTGCTCTTTTCTGTTGCTGAAAGGCCTAGAAAAAATTCAAGATAAAAATTCATCTGATCATACCTTTTTACCACCAAGTTTCCCTTTTCTTTAATATTGAGGATTTTTTCCATTTAGGCCCTCCAAGATGGAAGGACAGACTACATATGACCTCTGGTATCTCTTGGCTTCCCACGATTTGTTCCCTCCAGCTGGCTCGTGTGGCTGAGTTCCCCTGTCCTCCTTTATCACTCCATGGAAGTCCTTCCAGGAGCCTTGTTCAAGCTGGATACTCTCTCCAGGGAGGAAGGGAAAGGCAATTAATTCATTTTCCTCCTGGAACTTTGAATCCCTTTGACTTAGACTCACTTAGGGCTGCCCACCTAGGCCCAAACTACAGGTTAGCCTATTTTCATTCTGTATTTTGGCCACATGATTATTGTTAGTCCTTGTGTAGGCAAGGCCATGATTCTGAATTTCAGTAGCATGTCACACCAAGAGACTGCAGGATCCTTCCTTCATTCCTTCTCCATTTATCAAAGCCAAGCTGTGCCTCTGCTTCCAGGCACAGGGGCTATACAATCTCATTGCTCTTTCATTACCAGCTGTCTCCCTGGTCTGTGTTTTCTAAATGCCATTCTGAGAGCCTGAGAGCACATGCAACCCTACTGTACTTCCTGTGTGCAGTTAGGCTACTAGATTGTCCAAAGGCCATTAAGAGTTACTTTGCATAAACATACAGTTTTTTAAAGATCAAAAGTCACTCCCTCAAGCAGTCTTACAAAAGCTACATATATATTTACTATCTGCAACACAGAAAACTGTATCAAGATAGAGGAAATGTTCTGCAACTTGAAAATAAACCTTTAAATCACTAAGGTTTAAACTCAAAAGCCAGCAGTTGGGTGAATGGACAACCACCTGTGAAGTGTCTGAAGGACTGCAGATTAGGCCACCAAGAACAAACCCATATCACTGATGGCTGTAAGGCCTACCTTTTTAAGGAGACTCTTCACACATCAACTCTTTCTTTCTAGTTTTTCAAATACCACACAAACCTAAATACTGGCTGAGAAAAAAGACAAATAATACACTATTTTAAAAATATTTAATACTTTTCAATGATTTTCAATTTGACCATGACAATAAAGACCATTTATGGATTTTGACCATTAAATTAACCCTATGAGGTATACCAGACATGTCTTATTGTTAATTGGTATTAATACTCTTTTTACAGATGAAATAAAAGGCTTAGGGAGATTTATATGACTTAGCAAAGTTCACATGGCTATTAAGTGGCAGAGATGGAAACAGAACTCCAGTCTTCTGACTTGTAGAAAAAGGTGTTCTATGTGATTTTATTTTAATAAAGCAAATTTCAGTGTAATGCAATTAAGTTGAAGATATCATACCTGCCCATCTCCTCTAGCTAGAGTATGAAATTTCAGATTGGATAAATTGTGGTCATAAGAACATTTCTCTACAATGATGTATGTAACATGATGAATAAATAAAAATTACCTTAGAAGAACAACTAGGAAAACAATCCAAATGGTCATTACTAAAATGTCCAAATTGTCCATTTTGATGAGAAACACACAGTTATGAGTTATGAAAATGGATTTGTGAATATGAATTGCCAAGCCAGGACCCTTGTGCTGCTGGGATGCATCTCTTTGGTGAAACAGAAAAAGACACCCCTTCCTCAGGACATTTCATTTTCATTTGTCAGAAAATTACAAAATATTCAAAAATACTATTAATATAACCATGATGTGATTGGCACCCTCTCCAAAGTGATGCCTTGAAATGTGCAACCTCCACAACCACATTAGGTTACGATGTATCGAGTTCTCCTAAAAGTAGTAGCTCAGATGACCTTTAAGCCTTTAAGTATAAAAAGTCACTTGTCATTTCAAATGGTGATTAAGGAATTAATATAGCAGGAAGAGGAACTTTCATAAGAAAATGGGCATCAGAATGATCAGGATGATTGAAAGTGGTTTGGAAGAATGCAGAGAAAAGAACAAAGAAATATATTAGTTTGTGAGCATTGAGTTGCCTAGAAAAGTTTGGAAGTCCTACAAAAAAAGGTTAAACAATGGCCTTTTAAATCTAAGTCTTTGGTGGTCCATGGCAACGAAAAACTACATCCAATGAGGATTTGTTTGAATTTCAGAGGTTCAAAGTCCACAAAATATAAGCTTACCCATGAAACTGGTACTAAAACATGGTATTTTAAGGAAAGCTCAAAGACAGAAGGAGTCTTCTGAGAAATGCTAACTCAACAAAGATGTATTAATACTTCTAATAAGGCCACAGCAAAAAAAGAGATAGAGACATTCATCAGAGAGTCAAACTCCGACCTAGATTACCAGATATCCTTGATGACCCTGCCATACCTGTCAGGCAATACCCATCTATAACCCCCAGATATACTGTAAGTATTTGCAGCTGGTTCTTCCATATTAGCTGACTAACCATGGACAAATCTCGTGTCCTCTCTGGGCCTCAGTTTCCTTATTTGTAAAAAGAGGACATTCTAGATAATCATGGAAGTCTTTTCCAGTTCTAAATTTCTATGGTTATATATTCTTATTGACCAGATAGGGAAATGAGTGGTTTTAGCAGAATTTAATTAAGAACCCAGGGTGCCTTCTCCATTGTCATAAAATCTGTAGATAAGTACCAAAGAATCTAGGTGTCCTAGTTCCTCTTCCTTCTTGGCAGCATTTATTCTCATGTGCTCAGGTATCTTGTAGTCTGGGGCTGTCTTCAGATTGAAATCTCCCATATACACCTGGGCTTCTTTGATGGCTTGAAGATCTTTGGGATCTTCATAGTCATCACCAGGTTTACTCTTGTATCTATTAGAAAAACAGACAACCCCCCCACACACAAATATGACAATAAACTCTAATTTGTCTACTTTAATATAGGCATATATTCAAATTTAATCATGAAACAAAAGTATGATTTCAAATCTGTGATGCCACTTTTGTCACAGAGCCCAAGCATTTTTTAAAAGTCAATTACTATTTTTAAAGTATCCCAAGCAAAATAATATACAATTATATAAACAGGAACCAATCACTAGATTGTACTGAAATAATCTGAATTACTGGTAGGCTTTGGTTCACTTCTAAGTAATTCATATTAACATTGTTATTTATTCTCTTGATATAAATTAAGCCTTGGAAATTAGGTGGGTTTTTTAATGACTAAAAAGTCAATTAAACTTTTTTTTTTTTTTTTGAGACGGAGTCTCACTGTGTTGCCTGGCTGGAGTGAATTGTGTGATCTTGGCTCACTACAACCTCCACCTCCCAGGTTCAAGCGATTCTCCTGCCTCAGCCTCCCAAGCAGCTGGGACTACAGGCATGCGCCACCACACCCAGCTAATTTTTGTATTTTTAGTAGAGACGGGGTTTCATCATGTTGGCCAGGATGGTCTCCATCTCCTGACTTCATGATCCGCCCACCTCAGCCTCCCAATGTGCTGGGATTATAGGTGTGAGCCATCATGCCCAGAAAATTAAACTTTGTAATTGCATAAGTGCTTGCTGTAAAATTTTCAGAAAAGGTATCTAGTTTAAGATGATAGCATGAGCATACATATTTGCCTCTCCCTCTGTCCCCAGATTCCCTGAAAATGACAATATAGAAGTACAAAACATTGTAAATTATCAGAAAAGCTAAGAATGGAATAGAAAGCCATGAGCAAACCAGTGACACTGATCCATTTCTGGAAGACAAAAAGAAGATGAAATTACATTAATGAATAAACCAGACCAAACTATAGCCCAGAATACCCACAAGATAAGGCCACAAAAAGGATTGAATATTATCTTCTTGGTGAAGTCCCTAGAATGCTCCAAGCACAAAGAGGACAGGTATAGAGAGTGGAATGGAATGCTAGATATATTTAGCAAAATTAATTAAAGGATTGAAAAAAAAATGCTTAAACCAGTTGGGCCCTCCCAAACTTTCCCACCTACACACATACGAAACAGTGGCAATCTTTATATCCAGACTAAAATTGAAGAATTACTCTCTACAGAAACTGAACTCTTGCTTTGGAAGCACTCAGGTATCTAAAGGTATGGGCTATCATAGTACCTTGGTACTAATAAAAGGCCCTTCATTGGGAGATCACAACATTCCTGTCTAATTTTTTAAAGTAAAGTCTACTAGCCAACATGAGCGTGTACACATAGCTCTCACAGGAAACCCATACCATCTATTGTATTAACTGATAATCATTTATTTGTGTAAAACTGCACTAAAATGAAGGATTACTATTTTTAAAGAAAAGGAAAGGAGAAAGGGAGAAAGGAAAGGAAAGAAAGAAAAAGGAAGGAAAGAAAAAGGGAGGGAAGGGAAGAGAAGAGCTACTTCTGCCTCTGGCCATGTGAGAGTAACAGGGCCCATTATTATCCTCATAATATAAACAACCAGAAAACTGAACAAAAAATATGTGAAACAACTATGTTCAGACACTGAAAATAAGCAGCATAAAACTGTAATTCTTGAGAAAAGTAAAAAGACATGATCCTTATTATCTCCTGGCTGCCGCAGAGAGGAAATTACCAGCCTGTGGAGTAGGATCAGGATCCCAAATACAGCCCAGTGAACTCACTGACTGAAGAGACAGAGATCAGAGTACAGGGAGGCCAAATTTGGTGCTAAGAATTTGTGGAAAAGAATATCAGAGGTACACAAAGAAATGCTTCTGGAAATCTACATAGCGCCTTAACATTTTGGCTGAGTATTAATCTGTACATGTGTAATGTGAACCACCATGAAGCTGGGCAAAGAACAATTCCTAGGAAAAGTACAATTACTGGGAAACTGTAGAACAAATAATTCTCATAGTTTACACATAGCTGGGAATCACTCATGTTCCCATCAACTGGAGAGACCTTGTTGAGTACAGAGGACATTCAAGAATAATCATAAAAAATCATGCTTCAAAGAGAGAAAGGCATAGAAGATATGAAAAACATTATCAATCCTCTTGTCCTAATTGACATTTATAGAACACTATGCCAAGCAATGCAAGAAAGCATACTCTTTTCAAGCACATATTGAATTTTTACGTAGATAGACTGTATATGCGTGGCCATAACACAGTTCTCCATAAATCTTTAATAACTTAAATTATACAGACTATTTTCTATTACCACAAACAACTAAATTAGAAATTTAATAGGAAGATATTTTTTAAACCCCAAATCTTTGGAAACTAAACTACAAGTCAAGGAAGAAATCACAAGGGATATTAGAAATACTTTGGACTAAGTGATAATAAATGTCTACCATATGAAAATGTGTAATGCAGCTAACTCAATGCTTAGGAGGAAATTTATAGTTTAAATGTTTATATTACAAAAGAAGAAGGGCATAGAATCAAAGCTTATACACAAGTTTACACATTAAGAAGCAAGAAACTAAAAGCTAATTAAACCTAAGTTAACTAGAAGGGAAGAAATTATAAAAATAATAGTAAATCAATGACAGAGAAAGCAGACCAAACAATATTTTAAAATCTATGACCAAAAGCTAGTTCTTTGAAAAGATCTATAACATGGGTAAATCACTAGCTGGAATGATCAAGAAAAAGAGAGAATATGAAAATTAACAATATAAATAAAACAGAGGGCATCAAAACAGATACTACAGAAATTAAAATAAATATAAGGGAGTAATATAAACTACCTTATGCCAATAAAATTGACAACTTAGATGAAATGCACAAATTTCTTCAAAGACACAAATTATAAAAACTAACTCAAGAAGAAATAGAACATCTGGATAGCACTATAACAACAAAAATTTTAAATTTGTATTTAAAACTATCCCTCAAAGAATACTTACAGATGAATTCATTGACAAATTCCTTAGTAAAGCAGAAGAAAGAAAACAGAAATCCAAAAAATAGAACAAACAGAAAACAAAATATAGAATAGCAGATGTAAGCCCTAAATATAAATAAGTACATTAAACATAAATGGTCTAAATATACCATTGAATGACAGAAATGGGCAGCATGGATTTAAAAACATGACCCAATTTTATGTTGCCTAGTGAAGTTAGTAAAGACACTAACTTCAAATATAAAAGTATAGGTAGATTGAGGTAAAGGATGGAAGCAGTTATATTATTTAACCACTGAATGCTTCCTAAGATAAGGAACAAAGTGTGGATGCTAGTTCTTCCCACTGTATTTCAATATAGTACTGGAAGTTCTAGCCAGTGCAATAAGAAAAGGAAATAAGATGCAAACAGATTAGAAATAAAACTGTTCCTGTTTACAAATGACATGGTTGTCTACACTTAAAATACCAAGAAACCTACCAAAAAAATCTTACAACTGAGACAGTTCAGAAAGGTCACAGGATACTAGATAAACAAACAAAAATCAATTATATTTCTATGCTAGCAGTGAATGTGAACACATAGACACCAATATTAAAAACACAATACCATTTAAAATTGCTCAAAAAAGAAATGCATATGTGCAAATCTAACAAAACATGTATAGAACTTTTTATGCTGAAAACAGCAAAACACTGATGAAAGAAATCAAAAATCTAAATAAATGGAAAGTCATACCATGTCCATGGATTAGAAGACTCAACACAATAAAGATACAAATTCTCCCCAAAGTAATACACTGCTTTAACATAATTCTTATTGAAATTATGGCAAGATTTTGTATACATATAGACAAGATTTTTCTGAAATTTATATGGAAAGACAAAGTAATTATAATGTCTAAAATAATTTTGAAAAATAAAATGAGAGGAATCACTCTACTGGATTTCAAGATCTATTATATAAATATATGAATCAAGACAATGTAGTGTTGGTAAGAGGATAGATATGTAGATCAACAGACTTGAAAGTAAACCCAGAAATAGACCCACACAAATATGTCCAAATGATTTCTGACAAAGGTGCAAAAGGAATTCAAAGGAGGAAATGTCTTTTCAACAAAAATGCTAGAGTAATTGGACATCCGTAAGAAAAAAACAAACAAATCTCAACCTAAGTCTGATAACTTATTTAAAAATTAGCTTAAATATAAAATGAAAAACTATAAAATGTTTAAACAAAAATAGGATAAAATATTTAGGACCTAGGGCAAGGCAGAGTTCTTAGACTTGACACCAAAATCAAGATTTATATAAGGAAAATTGGTAAGTTGGACATCAACTAAATTAAAAACTGTTGCTCTGTGACAAAACTCTCTAATAAGGGAGGCCAAGTGCAGTGGTTCACACCTGTATTCCCAGCACTTTGGGAGGCCAGGGCAGGTAGATCACTTGAGGTCAGGGGTTCCAAACCAGCCTGGCCAACATGATGAAACCCTGTCTCTACTAAAAAAAAAATGCAAAAGTGGTGGCACATGTTTGTAATCCCAGCTACTTGGGAGGCTGAGGTGGGAGGATCATTTGAACCCAGGAGGCGGAGTTTGCAGTGAGCTGAGATTGCACCACTGCATGCCAGCCTGGACAACACACGAGACAATGTCTCAAAAAAAAAAAAAAAAAAAAAAAAAAAAAGAACAAACTCTGTTAAGGGAATGAAAAGACAAGCTACAGACTAACAGAAAATATTTGTAAACTATATATCCAACTAGCATATAGTATATATCCAGGACTAGTATCTAGAATATATAAAGAAGTCTAAAATCTCAACAGTAAAAGAGCGAACAATCCTATTCAAATGTGAGAAAAAGACACGAAGAGTCATGTCACTAAAAATATATAGATGGCAAATAAACCAATGAAAATATGTGCTTGTCACGTGAAACTACCTCATACCAGATTTTTTTTTTAATCCCCAAATCTCTCTGCTGCTTGCAGAGCAGACTGCTTCTCAGTGTCTGTCAGGGTCTGATTGAAAAGTAACATAACATCTCTCCAGGAACGTTCAAACATTTGGGTGAAATTCTGGAAAGTCTCACAGGGTCATCTGAAAAGTTGCCAAGATTTCTCTTCATTTGCTGTAAGTCCTGTAGGGAGAAGGGGACCTTGGCCTTACTGGGCCCAAATTCACTGGGCATCTGTTGGAGGGGCAAGAGTGAGACTGGGGCTTGTTTAGGGTGAGGATTTCTAAGAGGGGGCAAGTGAGGGGCTGAAGCTGGATAAGGAGGTCAAGGTGGATCCGGAGGAGCAAGGCTGGAGAGAGCTGACTCCTCTGCTGGGGGTGCCTCTGAGACTCATATCTTTAATTCCCTGGGTTTACCCCTTGCAACCTGAGATGGCCAACAGGAGGGCTGAATCAATCAATCCTACACTGTTGGCAAAAGTCTGGATTGCCTTGCAAGCTATACAAAGCCTGCACATATGGGGCTTCAGACCATCTGTCCTCACATCCACAGAAAAATTCCAACTGCTGAATGGTATCAAAAATGAATGGTTCCTTCCTGAGGCCAAGCCATCCTTCCTGTAAATCATAATTTGGCCAAACCCTTGTGCAGAGGGCTATGAGAGGTTTTTCCTCCAGATTCTGAGGGTCAAACAGTCCCAGTGGTTCAGGATACACTCCAGCTGGGGGTGGTGAAGAGAACTGGTTGCCCATTCTGAAAGACAGGGAATAGAGGCAGCCCTCATTCCTTTCCTTCTTTCAGTGAAAACTCAGAGTGTGATGGAGACAGAAAGCTAGCATCCTCCTTTCACTTTCCACCCCTTATCCCTGAGCTGGCCATAGGTACCACTGCGGTATGTACCAATGAAGTAGGGGAAACCTGGAGAATAGGAATTAACCACCCTCACCTATGCCTCCATTTCTCCCTGCTGTCGGAAAACTGAGTACCTTGGGCCTGTTTATGCCATGAAGCATGGTCTCCTTCCATGGGGTGAGAGGTTTACTCCGCAGGAATTGGTCCTGCTTTACATTGTGCCTGTTGCCTGGCTTTGGATCCCTCAGACCGGGATTTTCTTTCTAGGGCCTCAACCTGAAGCTTGGAATCGAGGTTGGGACTGAAAAAGTATTTTAGAGGCTGTTTGTATCTATTTAGAGTGTCTCAAATGTGCCCTGCCAAATTTGCAGTTCTCAGCCAGCAGGGGCCATTCCTGTTAACTTTCATATCAGAAACAGAGCTAGGGGGAGCCCTCTCACTTAGAAAAGGAAAAAAAGAAAAACAGTTTAGGGGGCAAAAAGAGGAGAGAGTCTGGGGGAAGAACCCCTTGCTTAGTGCAACTGAGCCTTTCTAATCCTTGTATCTGTCCCCCAGTTCAGACTAGATTGAATTCCTTGGCCAGGGGAGGAGAGGGTCAATTGGCGTGGTGGGCGAGAAGCACATGTCCATTGGCCCTGTGGGGTTGCGGCTACCATCATGGCTTTCTCCCGCCCTGCTCGTGACTGTTGGGCTCGACCCTTGCCTGCTGCGGGCATGCCCAGGTGCCCAATCTGGGAGGAAAAAGGGTAAGGAGAGGTGCCCTGAGCCATGCATGCCTGCAGCTGTCAAAGTGGAGGCATACATGGCATCTCTAGGAACAGTTGGTCTGATTTTCACCTTCGGAGGCTGAGCCTAATGCTCATTTAGCTTAGTAACATTTCCACAGCCTGTAACAAAACTCAGAACATTATAAAAAAAGAGATAAGAACCATTTCAAAGACAGAAAAGAGACAAAGTCTGGGGGTTTCGACCTCCCAGTTAGGGTGGAGTTTTTAAAACTCAGTGAAGAGAAACAGAGCCTCTTACCCACAGGAAAGAGAAAGGTGGCAGGGTTTCGAAAGAGAGGCAGACCCAAAAGTTTGGCATTCACTCACACTCACCTTCCGCAATCCCCAGTTTAAATGGGAAAGGTTCCCTTGTCCCCCTCGCAGGGTGTGCGATGGGGGTGTGGCTCGCTTCTTCAGTACCCCATTGCTCAAACCTCTAGGGGAGCATACAGGCGGGCAGGCTGTGGGGCTCCGACCCCATGGCAGTGTCTAGGGGTGAATGTTTGCAGCTGAAGCCCCAATGGGCGTGTCTTACAGGATGCTCTCTTAGCTTGCTGTCTATAGGCAGCCTGTGTTAACCAGCTCAATTAGACCCCCTTCCTTATCACAAGGACAGAGGGATTTCTGTATCCCGGGGTTTCTTGCCTTGGTGTACTGGAAGAATCGGATCACATGTGGGCTTGGAGAATGAGTACAAATTTTTATAGAGTGGAAGTAGCTCTCCACCAATGGGAGAACCAGAAGGGAGATGGTTTTTCCCTGGAGTTGGGCCACTCGGCAGCCCCAGCCCGACTGTCCCGCCAAACTCTGCCTCGTCCCACTGGTCAATGGCCTGCCGGCGTGCTGGCATCTGTTGATGCCTGTCAGCGTGCTCTTGATGACCAGTTACTTGTGTCTTCTTCTGCCAATGTGTCCCTCATGATGTCCAGCCACTTCTGTGTCTGCCTGCTATGGTCTCAGGTTTTAATAGGCCCAGGATAGGGGCATGGCAAGCCAGGGTGGTCTTGGGAAATGCAACACTTGGGCAGGAAATGCCTGTCCTCACCTAGGTCCGTGGGGATGGAGCCCCAGCCCGGGACCACGCCTTTCGCTACCCAGCACTTCCCTTCCTCCCTTCCATATCATTTAAAGGGACCACTCCTTTCCCTTCCCAGCACTCCCATATCAATACTGGATTTTTTTTTTTAAAAGAAAGCAATTAACTTCAGATGGTTAAAGATAAAGGTACGAGCCAAAACTATAAGATGTTAGAAGAACATACAGGAGAATATGTTTATAATTTTGAGATAGAAAAGCATTTCTTAATTCTTAAAAATCATTCTGACTATACAGTATTATTAGCAAAATGGAATTCCTGGACCGGAAACTCTAAGAATTACAGAAGTTCTACCAAAGTATCACCACCCTAAAAGATCCAGCTGACCTGTTTATAATATCTCCTTCTTTGTTTTTATTGTTTTCACTTTTGATTTTAAATGATAACAATGTCAATAAATATAAAGATTTTTAAGATATATTATTTTGGGGCTCACATATTAAAAAGATAAGAGTTTAGGTAAAAAAAAACTCACAGTTCCTCCCATTCTTTTTTTCGCTGTTGAATCTTTAGTTGTGCCCTTTCAGCTTTTAATATAAGTTTTCTCGTTTTCTCAATTTGATTTTCCACGATGATTTCACTTAGGGTTTTAGGCCGAAATTTCTTCCCTTTTTCTATTATTGATTCTTCTTGTATGGTAACACTCCCACCTACATAGAGAATCAACATTTTTCAGCCTTTTTGAGACATAAAAACAAAACTCTCAGATATTGTTTTTAACCTGCTGCATTAGAAAAAACACAGAGAATATATTGAATTTGTAAATCAAAGTATTTATTGAGCACTAGTTGTGGTGGCTCTTGCCTGTAATCCCAGCACTTTGGGAGGCTGAAGCGGGTGGATCACTTGAGGTCAAGAGTTTGAGACCAGCCTGGGCAACGTGGTGAAACCCCATCTCTACTAAAAATACAAAAATTAGCCAGCCGTGGTGGTGCATTCCTGTAATCTCAGCTACTTGGGAGGCTGAGGCAGGAGAATTGCTTGAAACCAGGAGGCAGAGGTTGCAGTAAGCTGAAATCTTGCCACTGCACTCCAGCCTGGGGAACAGAGTGAGACTCTGTCTCAAACAAAACAAAACAAAACAAAAACAAAAATGTATTTATTGACCAACTACTATGAATTCAACCCCATAATAAGTACTGTGGAATGTCAAAATAAAAAGATCTAAGCCACATTTTTTGCTTTTAAAACCCTTATTAAAAAGTTGGCAAGATAAGATATATAATAAACAATTAGAGAACATGATAAATGATGGTGGACCACTAACATGTTGGGAAAGAGTGTTTGTGAGATGATGGTGGGGAAAAGGAGAAAAATCGAGTAAGTCCAATTCGATACATACAATTTGAGGTTGCACATACCAACTGAAGTGCTCTGAAGCCAACTAAAAAACTCATCAGAAACACAATCAAATAAATAATTTAAAAATTATTGGCTTTATGGCCAGGCTTGGTGGCTCACTCCCATAATCTTATCACTTTGTAAGGCCAAGGTAGGCAGATTGCCTGAGCTCAGGAGTTCAAGACCAGCCTGGGCATGGTGAAACCCCCGTCTCTGCTAAAAATACATAAAAAAAAAAAAATTAGCCGGGTGTAATCCCAGTTACTCAGGAGGCTGAAGTACCAGAATTGCTTGAACCTGAGAGGTGGAGGTTGCAGTGAGCCTAGATTGGACCACTTCACTCCAACGTGGGGAACAGAGAGAGACTCTGTATCAAAAATAAATAAATAAATAAAAAATTAAAAAAAAATGGCTGTATCAACTAACAAGTTTCTTTTCTTTCTTTCTTTCTTTTTTTTTTTTTTTTTTTTGAGACAGAGTCTCACTTTGTCACCTAGGCTAGAGTGCAATGATGCAATGTTGGCTCACTGCAACCTCCACCTCTGGGGTTCAAGTGATTCTCCCGCCACAGCCTCCTGGGTAGCTGGGACTACAGGAATGTGCCACCGTGCTTAGCTAATTATTGTATTTTTTAGTAGAGATGGGGTTTCACCATGTTGGCCAGGCTGGCCTCGGACTCCTGACCTCAAGTGATTCACCTGCCTTGGCCTCCCAAAGTGCTGGGATTACAAGTGTGAGCCACCACACCTGGTCTACTAACAAGTTCCTATTGGGGAATTACTCTATTCGTGTTCAAGCTTTAGAGACATGAAAAATTAAATAATATGAGATATTTATATAGTTATAAATAACCATTTCATCATATTTCATATTTCAAATTTCAAATATATAGCGGTATAGAGAAAGAAGAGTTTATGTGGCCTGTGTGGTCATGGGAAGGCCTTATAAACAAAAGTGTAATTTAAGCTACATCCCCAAGAATTGGTAGAATTCAGACAGGAGAGAAGTGAAGAGGTCACTCTGGCAGGAGCCTGGGTGAGGAAGTGTTAGACATAATCAGGGAGCAGCAGGCAGGACAAAAGACTAAACAGACAAGCTGAACAGTATGAGAAAGCACTACTGGAAACGTAGAACAGGGATAGATTGTGGAAGGATTAAGTATCAGGACAGCGGTTTCAGAATTTATCCTAGAAGCAAAAAGGAGACATTAAAGAGTTCCCAATGAAGAAGATAAACCAATATTAATGTTCGTATTATATCACTGTCAATAGCCTAGATCTAGCCAGGCTGCAGCAGCACCTTTTATTTATTATTGAATGGCTCTCCAAGCCATTTCCAGAATTCTTGTTCTTTTACTAATCTGCAGTCACCTTGTGGGCAGCCAGAAGAAACAGGTTGCAGGGATTAGAGGTACTATTTTCATACCTCTATTCTCTGATCATTCTATTTAAAGCATATGTTCTTGGAAAATAGTCTGAAATGCAGTGTTTTAGCCCTACACTTTGGAATAGGGCCCAGGAATCTAAAACGAACCACTGCCTAGAACCTAGCATCTGGGGAAATCCTAGATTTAAGAATAGCTAGATGTGGCAAGTAAGAAAACAGCAGCATCCAGTCCTCTCACCCACTCTCAGTCACATGACCAGGGTAGGTTTTCTTACAAACTACATTAAAGAGGAAAGTGGACATGGAGCATTTCTTGGGAAAATGTGGCCTCTCATTCTCAGCTATACCATACACTTTTGTCTCTCTTGATTATTTACTCCAAAGAAAACCATCATGGAAGGAAGAGGGGCAAGAGATTGAGCTCAAGCCACCAAAGAAGGTTCAATGGTTCTGTCCACAGACAATTCACTTTTGAAGTCTTAGTAAATAAGAATTTAAAAGCCTTCTTGTCATAGGCTACCTGCATCTCTCTGGCTGTCCTTTCTTCCAGGTCCCTCTTTTTCAAACCTGTCCAATTTGCTTGGTTTTCTCTCTGATTGACTAGCTCGTTTGAATTTGGAGTACTTAGAGGGCTGCACCAGCCTGTAAGAGGATATCTTGTGGTCACTCAGTATGGCATGAACCACAATAGTATCACTTTCCAGTGGATCTCGAAATCTGAAAAAATAAAACAAGTATTTGCAGTAGTCACCATTTTGATCATTCTGCATAATTACTAAGTAATAAAATAAAACTACAATACACTATTCTTATTATATCATTATATTGTGCTAGACTCAAATTTTAACATATATATACCAACCAGGATGTCATGAAAGTTGGATTGGACTTGATTAAAGAGCAAATATAGTCTTTCTAATGAAAATACTAAACAACTCATTATTAATCACTATAATACCAGTGTTTTCATAATATGTGGAAAAATGAAAATTTTGCAGGTAAACTGCAGTTTAATGGTAAATAGATCATATCAAATTCTGAGGAAATAGAATCCATCTCCCTACATATTATATATAATAGACTATATATTATATATTATGTATATATATCTATACATATACATATATAATAGATTATTATATAAAATGTATAATAGATATTATAATAGATATATAGTTTGTGTATGTGTTTTGATGCATAGATATACAAATAAATATAAACATGTAAATTATATAAACAAATATGTTAATATCTGTGTGTGAGTGAAGGTCTCTAAATCAAAAAGTGGAAAAATAATTTTTAACTCTCATTCCCCAGAGACTAAAAAATGTTCATTCTTCACCTCACAAAATGTTTTAAAAATACATTTTGTTTTCTTAAATTACATGGTATGTGTGGTGTATATATATGTGTGTGTTTCCATACATGTGGCAATGCAATTTATTTGCACATAGTAACTATAAAAAGAGCAGACCTTGAGCAGTTGAATAAAAGTGCAAACCTCTTCATTTCTACTCTTTGCCCCTCAATTTTCCATGTTTAATGACATTTAATGAAAGTCCCAATCTATCAGATTCCCCTATTTGCCTCTGTAAAAAACATTAAGCTCAGGAAATCATACTAATCTCTAGTTCATCTTTCTCTCATAGCCCACAGAGTCTTATTTTTAAAAGCTCTTCATCTATCAACTAAAAAAATTAATTAACAAATTTTTTTCATCAATTGCCTTGTTATTTGGGGGCATTGGTTCATAATTATCACACACACACAAACAAGCACTTCTTAGAATTTAATTTATTTTTGTATAGATTGATTATTCCTAGCTTGTTTGCCTTTCTTACTATTTTTCTAACTTAATCTTTTAAACTCTATGTCTGCTTTTAAAATGATTTACTATTTCTTTTTAATTTTCCCTTTTCTTTCATACATACTATCTTTCTCATCTCTTTAAGACTTATTTCCTTTATGTATTTGCCCACTGGAACTTTTAAATTTTAGCCTTTCCATGAGACCCAGATTAACATTGAGAAGTGAACCCAGCTGGACTTCCTGGGTTGAGTGGGGACTTGGAGAACTTTTCTGTCTAGCTAGAGGATTGTAAACACACCAATCAGTGCTCCGTGTCTAGCTAAAGGATTGTAAATGCACCAATCAACACTCTGTAAAAACGCACCAATCAGCGCTCTGTGTCTAGCTAAAGGATTGTAAGTTCACCAATCAGCACTTTGTAAAAACACACCAATCAGCACTCTGTGTCTAGCTAAAGGATTGTAAATGCACTAATCAGCACTCTGTAAAAATGCACCAATCAGCGCTCTGTGTCTAGCTAAAGGACTGTAAGTGCACCAATCAGCACTCTGTAAAAACGCACCAATCAGCGCTCCGTGCCTAGCTAAAGGATTGTAAGTGCCCCAATCAGCACTCTGTAAAAAAGCACCAATCAGCACTCTGTGTCTAGCTAAAGGATTGTAAGCACACCAATCAGCACTCTGTAAAAATGCACCAATCAGTGCTCTGTATCTAGCTAAAGGATTTTAAGTGCACCAATCAGCACTCTGTAAAAACGCACCAATCAGCACTCTGGGTCTAGCTACAGGATTGTAAATGCACCAATCAACACTCTGTAAAAACACACCAATCAGCGCTCTGTGTCTAGCTAAAGGATTGTAAGTGCACCAATCAGCACTCTGTGTCTAGCTAAAGGATTGTAAAGGCACCAATCCGCACTCTGTAAAATGGACCAATCAGCACTCTGTAAAATGGACCAATCAGCAGGAAATGGGCAGGGACAAATAAGGGAATAAAAGCTGGCCACCCCAGCCAGCAGCGGCAAACCACTCGGGTCCCCTTCCATGCTGTGGAAGCTTTGTTTTTTTGCTCTTCACAATAAATCTTGCTGCTGCTCACTCTTTGGGTCCACACCACCTTTATGAGCTATAACACTCACCGCGAAGGCCCGTGGCTTCATTCTTGAAGTCAGCGAGACCAAGAACCCACTGGAAGGAACCAACTCTGGACACATCTTGGCGACCCAGATGGGACATCGCCATGCAGTGAGTACCATCAGACCCCTTTAGCTTGCTCTTCTGCCCTATTTTTCCTTAGAATTCGGGGGCTAAATACTGGACACCTGTCAGCCAGTTAAAAGTGACTAGCGTGGCCGCCGGACTAAAGACATGGGTGTCAGGCTTTCTGGGAAAGGGCTCTCTAACAACCCCCGACTCTGGAGTTGGGAGCGTTGGTTTGCCTGGAAACAGCTTCCGCTTTTGGGCTGAGCCAACGGTCAAGAGAGAGGAAAATCATTCAGTTCTGGGGTTCTGACAAAAAGTTGGTTGACCCTGTAGCCATGAGTGGAACTCTCAAAGTCACGTCGCCCAAGCAAGGCTCACCTGTCTATCCTATCTATCCTGACACTTGCCTCCTGGGTCTTAATGCCTGTCAGACAAACTTCCTCCTGCCTCTCTTCTCTGAGGCTAATCCCGCTTCTAAAAACTACCCCGTCTCTGGTGCTTTTCTAGTTTCTCCTATAATGATTTCTAGTATAAACTTCAGGACTCTGTTCCCTTCTTTAGGCACCTGGGCTCACCAATCAGAAAGATATAATTTTTGCCCAAAGCCCCATTGGGTGGGGAGACCAACTATCCTTTTAGGATCCTTCCTCAGACAAGCGGGCCTAACAAAAGCTATTCCTGAAGCTAGGATGTGGGGAGCTTCAGAAATGATATCCTTCCTATTCAAGTGAGGACAAAAGGCGTCACTCTTCCAACCCCAGAGATCCCTTCCCTCCCTCAGGGTATGGTCCTCTACTTCATTTTGGGGGCATAACATCTTTATAGGACAGGGGTAAAGTCCCGATACTAACAGGAGAATGCCTAGGACTCTAACAGGTTTTTGAGTATGCATCAGTAAGGGCCACTAAATCCGATTTTTCTCGGTCCTCATTGTGGTCTAAGAGGACAGGCAAGAGTGCAGGTTTTCAAGAATGCATTGGTAAGGGCCACTAAATCCAACCTTCCTCTGTCCTCCTTGTGGTCTAAGAGGAAAACTAGTGTTTTTGCTGCTGCATTGGTGAGCACAACTATTCCAATCAGCAGGGTCCAGGGACCATTGCAGGTTCTTGGGCAAGAGGGGTTTCTGCTGCTGCATTGGTGAGTGCAACTATTCTGATCAGCAGGGTCCAGGGACCATTGCAGGTTCTTGGGTCGGGGGGAAGTAAACAAATCAAAACCGCGGGCGGTTTTTCCTTTCACATGGGAAACACTCAGGCATCAACAGGCTCACCCTTGAAATGCATCCTAAGCAACTGGGACCAATTTGACCCACAAACCCTGAAAAAGAGGTGGCTCATTTTTTTCTGCACTACAGCCTGGCCCCAATATTCTCTCTCTGATGGGGAAAAATGGCCACCTGAGGGAAGTATAAATTACAATACTATCCTGCAGCTTGACCTTTTCTGTAAGAGGGAAGGCAAATAGAGTGAAATACCTTATCTCCAAGCTTTCTTTTCATTGAAGGAGAATACACAGCTATGCAAAGCTTGCAATTTACATCCCACAGGAGGATCTCTCAGCTTACCTCCATATCCTAGCCTCCCTATAGCCCCCCTTCCTATTAATGATAAGCCTCCTCTAATCTCCCCTGCCCAGAAGGAAATAAGCAAAGAAATCTCCAAGGGACCACAAAAACTCCCAGGCTATTGGTTATGTCCCCTTCAAGCTGTAGGGGGAGGGGAATTTGGCCCAACCCGGGTACATGTCCCCTTCTTCCTCTCTGATTTAAAGCAGATCAAGGCAGACCTGGGGAAGTTTTCAGATGATCCCGATAGGTACACAGATGTCCTACAGGGTCTAGGACAAACCTTTGACCTCACTTGGAGAGATGTCATGCTATTGTTAGATCAAACCCTGGCCTTTAATGAAAAGAATGCAGCTTTAGCTACAACCTGAGAGTTGGAGATACCTGGTATCTTAGTCAAGTAAATGATAGAATGACAGCCGAAGAAAGGGACAAATTCCCTACCAGTCAGCAAGCCGTCACCAGTATGGATCACCACTGGGACCTCGACTCAGATCATGGGGACTGGAGTTGCAAATATCTGTTGACCTGTGTTCTAGAAGGACTAAGGACAATTAAGAAAAAGCCCATGAATTATTCAATGATGTCCACCATAACTCAGGGAAAGGAAGAAAATCCTTCTGCCTTCCTCAAGCTGCTATGGGAGGCCTTAAGAAAATATACTCCCCTGTCAGCCGACTCCCTCGAGGGTCAATTTATCCTAAAAGATAAGTTTATTCCCAGTCAGCCACAGGTATCAGGAGAAAGCTCCAAAAGCTAGCCCTGGGCCCTGAACAAAATCTGGAGGCATTATTAAACCTGGCAACCTCAGTGTTCTATAATAGGTACCAAGAGGAACATGCCGAAAAGGAAAAGCGAGATCAGAGAAAGGCCGCAGGCTTAGTCATGGCCCTCAGACAAACCTCGGTGGTTAGAGAGGACAGAAAATGGAGCAGGCCAATCACCTGGTAGGGCTTGTTATCTGTGTGGTTTGCAAGGACACTTTAAAAAAGATTGTCCAATGAGAAACAAGCTGCTCCCTTGCCCATGTCCACTATCCCGAGGCAATTACTGGAAGGTGCACTGCCGCAGAGGACAAAGGTTCTCTGGGCCAGAAGCCCCTAAACAGATGATCCAACAACAGTACTGAGGGCTCCCGGGGCAAGTGCCAGCTCATGTCATCACCCTCACTGAGCCCCAGGTATGTTTAACCATTGAGGACCAGGAAATTGACTTCCTCCTGGACACTGGTGCAGCTTTCTCAGTGTTAATCTCCTGTCCCAGACAGCTATCCTCAAGGTCTGTTACCATCCGAGGAATCCTGGGACAGCCTGTAGCCAGGTATTTCTCCCACCTCCTCAGTTGTAATTGGGAGACTTTGTTACAGATAGTAAGTATGCTTATCTAATCCTACATGCCCATTCTGCAATATGGAAAGAAAGGGAGTTCCTAACCTCTGGAGGCACCCCCATTAAATATCACAAGGAAACCATGGAGTTATTGCACACAGTGCAAAAACCCAACGAGGTGGCAGTCTTACACTGCCGAAGCCATGAAAAGGGGAAGGAGAGGGGAGAACAGCAGCATAAGCGGCTGGCAGAGGCAGAGAAAGACCAGCAGAGAGGAAAGAGAGAGAGAGAGAGGAAGAGACAGAGAGACAAAGACAGAGAGAAAGAGAAAGACAGGAAGTCAAAAAGAAAGAGAAGGAAAGAGAGGAAGAGACAGACAAAGAAGGAGTCAGAGAGGAAGAAAGAAAGAGACAGAAAGTCAGAGAGAGAGAAAGAGACAGAGAGACAAAGAGAGAGTCAGAGAGAGAGAGAGAGACAGAAAGTCAAAGAGAGAGAGGAAGAGACAGACAAAGAGGGAGTCAGAAAGAGAGAAAGAGACAAAGAAGCCGAAGAGAAAGAAAGAGAGATGGAAGTAGTAAAGAAAAGAGTGTACCCTATTCCTTTAAAAGCCAGGGTAAATTTAAAACCTATAATTGATAATTGACAGTCTTCTCCATGACCTTATAACACTCCAATACCACCTTGTTGTCAGTGTAAACAAGGGTGTAGCCCGAAAGCACTGAGGCCACTGACAACCCGTAGCCTTCCTATCAGAGATCCTTGGCCCAGTGGCCCACAGATGGCCCAGGTGCATTCAATCTGTGGCGGTGGCTGCTTTGCTAGCAGAAGAAAGTGGGAAAATAACTTTTAGAGGTAACCTCATTGTGAGCACACCTCACCAGGTCAGAAATATCCTAAGTCAAAAAAAGAGGAAAGGCAAAGGGGTAGCTTACTGGCTCAAATCTTGAAGTGTGGGGCTGGTTCTGTTGGAAAAAGATGATTTGACCCAGCAGATTTACTAACAGGGGATCTAGGTCTTGATTGGTTGCCATACAGGGGTCTGACCAGACCTAGGAGGAACTCCCTTCAGGACAGGACAATAGATGGTTCCTCCTGGGCGATTGAGGGAAAAAGACTCAATGGGTATTCAGTAAGTTATAAGGAAACTCTTGTAGAGGCAGGGTTAGGAAAATTGCCTAATAATGGGTCCGCTCAAATGTGTGAGCTGTCTGCACTCAGCCAAACATTAAAGTACTTACAGAATCAGGAAGGAGCCATCTATACAAATTCTAAGTTAATATGGACTGAACGAGATCTTATTAATAGCAAAGAATAACTGAAATCCCAAACTTACAAGGTTTTCAACAAAAGTAAAGTTTGCTAAAAGTTAACAGTGTAACATGTATTATTCTAACTCTAATCTTGAGGAAATCAGACCCTATCAGTACCCCTCAAAGCTTAAGTCCATCAGCACAGAGCCATACAACTAATACCCCTAATTATAGGGTTAGGAATGGCTACTGCTACAGGAACTGGAATAGCCAGTTTATCTACTTCATTATCCTACTACCACACACTCTCAAAGGATTTCTCAGTTTGCAAGAAATAATGAAATCTATCCTTACTCTACAATCCCAAATAGACTCTTTGGCAGCAGTGACTCTCCAAAACCGCCAAGACCTAGATCTCCTCACTGCTGAGAAAGGAGGACTCTGAACCTTCTTAGGGGAAGAGTGTTGTTTTTACACTAACCAGTCAGGGATAGTACGAGATGCCAACCGGCATTTACAGGAAAAGGCTTCTGAAATCAGACAACGCCTTTCAAACTCTCATACCAACCTCTGGAGTTGGGCGACATGGCTTCTCCCCTTTCTGGTCCCGTGACAGCCATCTTGCTATTACTCACCTTCGGGCCCTGTGTTTTTAACCTCCCTGTCAAATTTGTTTCCTCCAGAATCGATGCCATCAAGCTACAGATGGTCTTACAAATAGAACCTAATGAGTTCAACTACCAACTTCTACCAAGGACTCCTGGATTGACCCACTGGCCCTTCGGCTGACCTAGAGAGTTACCCTCTGGAGGACACTACAACTACAGGGCCCCTTCTTCACCCCTACCCAGCAGGAAGTAGCTGGAGCAGTCATTGCCCAATTCCCAACAGCAGTTGGGGTGTCCTGTTTAGAGGGGGGATTGAGAGGTGAAGCCAGCTGGACTTCCTGGGTCAAGTGGGGACTTGGAGAACTTTTCTGTCTAGCTAGAGGATTGTAAATGCACCAATCAGCGCTCTGTGTCTAGCTAAAAGATTGTAAATGCACAATCAGCACTCTGTAAAATGGACCAATCAGCGCTCTGTAAAATGGACCAATCAGCAGCATGTGGGCAGGGACAAATAAGGGAATAAAAGCTGGCCACCCCAGCCAGCAGCAGCAACCTGCTCAGGTCCCCTTCCATGCTGTGGAAGCTTTGTTCTTTCGCTCTTCACAATAAATCTTGCTGCTGCTCACTCTTTGGGTCTGCACCACCTTTAAGAGCTGTAAACACTTGCTGCAAAAGTCTGCGGCTTCATTCTTGAAGTCAGCAAGACCAAGAACCCACTGGAAGGAACCAACTCCAAACACAACATGAAGGAAAATATAGCTGGTTTTGATCACATAAAAATTAAAAATTCTGCACAGTTAGAAAAATATGAACAAAGTTTAAGGCAAATGGCAGAGCAGGAGAAACCATTTACAATATGTAGAATAAAAGGCAAATATCTGTAATATAGATAAAGAGGCTAAAATTAAAAATAATGTGGGAAATAAACAGAACCCAAAGAAAAATGAACAAGAAATCTAAACAGAGAATTCTCAGAAGAATACATGTAAATGAACCACAGGCATATGAAAGGAAATGCTGAACCCCACCAATAATAAAAAGGATGCAGATTATTCAACCAAGAGTTATTATATTTTGCCTATTAGATTGGTAAAGATGAAAACATTGGTAATACCCAGTGTTATTTGGTACAACTTTATCCTCTCCCCACATTCCAGTCAGATAGCTAGCTAGGTTCTTGTTATCTCCTTCCATATGTTCCCTGAAAACATGATGCTATGGTGGATGGAGGGTCCCCAGATCAGGGACGGAAAGCAGGAGTTAAGGAAAAGAGGATTTAATAACAAGGACGGTAGGGAGGCAGAGGTGAACCCTGACTCAAAGGAGGATGGGCAAGTGGGTCCCAGAGCTGTGGGCACTTGATCCCTGCATCTGGAAGTATCTGGGGAGATGGTAAGGCCTTAAGAGTGATGTCTGTATGTGTGTTTGATCTATGGCACAGGTGGCTCCTGGTCTCACAAAACGTTGCCTGCTCCAGCAGAGCACAAAAACCACAGAATGAAAGGACTAAAAGAATCAGGCATTCTGGGAAAATGAGACAATGAGCTTCAGCTGTACTAAGACTGACTTTCCTATCTTCTTGATAGAATAGAAGCCCAGAGTCAAAGTCAGATTTAAGTTAGTTTAAATAAAATAAAGAACAGCCATGTACTTACATACCTAAGTTTGCGAGTTAGGATTCATATATATGTATGAATACACACACACACACACACACACACACACACACACACACACACACAAAACTTATATATACTGTGAATACTTATTAAAGCCAAACATAGGCTGCTATGTTGAGAGTTCTTCCTGAGAGGAACTTCTTCACCACTTTCATCTTTTAGCAGGTAGCAATCTGGTTATAATTCAGGGATTCAAATACTGAAATATTATCTAGGAATTCAACTATTCAGGGATTTAATACCTGGTAAGAAGTGCTATAACTTTCAGAGTGAAGTACCAGAGAGGAGACAGCTGCACGATAGAGACAGAGGGAGAGAGAGAACCAGAGTCAGAGAGAGAGAACCAGAGTCAGAGAGAGAGAGCTCTGAAGATCTGCAGAGGGCTCCCTTCCACTCTGCAGTTAAGCACTAATCAGCACTGCATAAGAAGGAGTCTATCTGAGGCTGGGAAAAGAAACACCTGAAAGGAACAGACAGAATAATCCACAGATCTCACACAGTTGAAATAGCTTGTGTTCCCATAAACCTGATAATACATGGGACATAGGATATTCTGCTCAGAAGAGTGTTGTCTTAGTAGCTGGAAAAAAATTAGCCCTAGACTAAAGGCTGCTCTGATCTCACCTAACAAAGATTAAAGGCAAGCCTCAAAAAAAAAAAAAAAATCTTTTTCCATGTAACTTAAATGAATTCCAGAACAAAGCTCAAGAATAGTTAAAAGTATACAGAGATTAAGATGGCAGATAGGAGGCAGGATTAGCTTGCGGATGGGGACAGAGCATCATGTGGAGACTCACATCATGAACTTTTGCTCCAAGAACTATCACAGGAACATACCCAGGAAAGCTGAGAGAATCCACAGACCCTTTGAAGGAACTGGATCACCCATGCAGGTTCCCTGAGATGCCAAAAAACTGAATCTGCCTGCTTTCTCAATGGGGAGGCTCCTGGTCTGGGGCAGTTCTCAGCCCTGCTCAGCAGCTGCCTGGAAATAGACTTAGTGCTGTTGGGAGGGTATGGTAGGAGTGAGACCAGCCTTTAGGACTGTGGGTTGCATGGGAGCAAGGTCAGGCCTATGACTACCAGCTTTCCCCAACTTCCCTGTATGACTCAGCAGAGGCAGCCATAATCCCCCTGGGAATATAACTCTATTGGACTGGGATCCACACCTCCATCCCCCACAGCAGCCACAGCAAGTCCCGCCCAAGGAGAGGGTGAGCTCAGACACACCTATCCCTGCCCCCACCTGGTGGTCTTTCTCTACCTACCCTGGTAGCTGAAGACAAAGGTCATAATATCTTGGGAGCTCTATACGGCCCTGCCCACTGCCTGAGAAACCTGAATACTTAACTAGGTGTCTCTAGGGCAAGTTTGCATCCTCCCTACAGGACCACAGCTGATGGGCTCTTGAAAGCACCACCTCCTGGCTGGAGGCCAACCAACACAAAACGAGCACACTAAACAAAAACACAACCAAGGACCCTCACAGAGTCCACTTCACTCCCCTGCTACCTCCACTGGAGCAGGTTCTGGTATCCATGGCTTCAAGACCTGAAGACGGATCACATCACAAGACTCTTTGCAGACATTCCCCAGTACCAACCTGGAGCCCGGTAGCTCTGCTGGGACCCAGGGGAAAGGGTGGGGGATGGTGAAGGATTAAAGACTACACATTGGGTACAGAGTACACTGCTCAGGTGATGGGTGCACCAAAATCTCAGAAATCACCACTAAAGAACTTTTCATGTAACCAAACACTACCTGTTCCCCCAAAAACCTATTGAAATTGAAAAAAAAAATTTAAGCCAGGCGTGGTGGCTCACGCTTGTAATCCCAGCACTTTGGGAGGCCTAGGCGGGTGGATCACGAGGTCAAGAGTTCAATATCAACCTGGCCAAGATGGTGAAACCCTGTCTCTACTAAAAATACAAAAAAATTCGCCGGGCATGGTGGCAGGTGCCTGCAATCCCAGCTATTCAGGAGGCTGAGGCAGAGAATTGCTTGAACCCAAGAGGCAGAGGTTGCAGTGAGCCGTGATCACGCCACTACACTCCAGCCTGGGCGACAGAGTGAGACTCCATCCATGGAATACTATGCAGCCATAAAAAAGGATGAGTTCATGTCCTTTGCAGGAACATGGATGAAGCTGGAAACCATCATTCTCAGCAAACTATCACAAGGACAGAAAACCAAACACCACATGTTCTCACTCACATTAGGAGAAATACCTAATGTAAATGATGAGTTGATGGGTGCAGCAAACCAACATGGCACATGTATACCTATGTACCAAACCTGCAGGTTGTGCACCTGTACCCTAGAATTTAAAGTATTAAAAAAAAAAAGTTACAAAAAAAATTTAAGTATATACAGAAATATCTAGCACCTACAATGTAAAATTTACAATCAAAATTTACCAGGCAGATAGGCAAAAAGCATAAAAATGTAATCCAAAATGAAGAGAAATATATCAGTCAATAGAAACATGCACAGAAATGATGCAGATAATATAACTAGCAGACAAGGACATTAAAGCAATTATTATAATGTATTCTTCATTTATATATAATTATGTGGAATTACATATTATATATAAAATGTATATAATTATTATAATATATTCTACATTTTCAAGAAGGTAGAGGAAAGCGTACATTAAAGTGAGGAAAATCCTTAGCTACCACACTAGGAAGTCAATAAAAATGACTAATAATAAATACATATAAATATATTATTTAGATATATGGTTGTAACCACTGTAAAAATATTAAAACTGCTTCTTTTTAAGATATATCATGTTTATGTAAGATAATATTTATTATTTAATTATTATTTAAATGTCTATTATTCCTAAATAGGAATTTATTTCTTAATGACTATTATTTCTATAGATTCCATGTAATTCCAATACAAATTTTAGCAGGCTTTTTGTAAAAATTGACAAGTTGATTCTATGCAAAGAACCTAACCAATCTTGGAGATGAAGAACAAAGCTGGAGGATTTACAATATTAGATGTCAAGATTTAATTAAGACAGAATGATACTGGCACCTGGATAGACAGATAGGCCAATGAGATAGAATAAAGAGTTCAGAAACAGACCCACACATGTACAGTTACCTGACTTATGACAAAAGCATCACTACAATCTAGTAAGGAACAGATGGTCTTTTCAACAAAAAATACTAGGTCAATCGGATATCAATATAAAAACAAATGACATGATCTCACACCACCCATAAAAATTATTCAAGATGTAAAAACAATAGAGCTTCTAGAAGAAAACAGAATTATTTTATGAATTGGGAGTAGGCAAAAGTTCTTTAAGTATAACACAAAAGCATTAATCTTTAAAAAAAGACTAATAAGTTGAACTTCAGTAAAAGAAAAAACTTCTATTCAACAAACAACTCTATTAAGAGACTAAAGCCACATACTACAGCAAGGTATTTTATATGTGTAAACACACACACACATACACACACATATACACATACATACATGTCATATACGTAGTCACTCATATATATAAATAACCAAAAATAACTCATGTATATAAATAACCAAAGCTCATATCCAGAAGATATACATAATTCCTGCAACCCAGTTTTAAAAATGGACAAAAGACTGGAACAAACACCTAACAACAGAAAATATACAAATGATTGGTACATATATGAAAAGGGACTGAAAATCACTCATCAGGGAGATGCCAATTTAAACCATACTGAGATGCTACTACAGAATAGCTGGAATTTAAAGGGCTGACAATCCCAAGCATGAGTATTATGGATTTGTGTCCCCCCAAAAAGCTATGTTGAGGCCCTAACCCCCAGCACCTCAGAGTGTGACCTTATTTGAAAATAGGGTCTTGATAGAGGTAATCAAGTTGAAATGAGATAATGACAGCAGGCCTTAATGAAACATGACTGGTGTTCTTATAAAAAGGGAAAATTTGGACACAGAGATGGACATACACAGGGAAACCTATATGAAGAGACACAGGGAGAACACTGAGTGAAAGCAGAGGATTTGGAGAGATGGATTCATCAGCCAAGAAAACCAAAGGTTGCTGGCAAACCACTAGAAGCTTGGAGACAGGTATGGAACAGATTCTCCCCACCAAGTCCTCAGAAAGAACCAACTTGCCTGACACTTTGATTTTGGACTTCTAGCCTCCAGAACTGCGAGACAGTAAATAACCAGTTTTAAGCCAATCAGTTTGTAGTACTTTTTTACAGTAGCCCTAAGACACTAACACAGTGGGGATCAATTGGGATTCTCATACATTGATGGTAAGTGTGTAAACTGAAGAGTGTAAATTTTCAAACCGTTTTGAAAAACTGACAGGATCTAACAAAACTAAACATGCATATAACCTATGGCCCAGCAGTTCCACAACTGAGTATATAACCAACAGAAATAAGCACTTATATCCATCAAAAAACGTACACAATGTTCATAGTAGCATTATTTATGGTAGCCAAAAATAGAAACAACTCAAATATCTATTAACAGTAGAAGGGATAAACTGTGGTATAATCATTTTAAAGAAAGATTAAAAAGCAATGGAAAAGAATGAACTACTGATACATGTAACAACACTGATAATCTTAGACATCATATGAGTTTTAAAAAAAGGCCAGATGCAAAAGAATCCATACTGTAACACTCTATTTATATGGAATTCACAAACAAAACTAATACATGGCAATAAAGATTCAACTTTGAAGAGTATTTCCTGAAGTGAGGGGGACATGGGGAAACTTTGTGGAGTGCTATAAATGTTCTCTATCTTAATCTGAGTAGTAGATATATTTATACATCTGTAAAAAATTTTCAAGATGTTAAGATTTACGTATTTTATGTAAATTATATCTCAGTAAATGGCAAAAAAAAACATTCCCCTGGAAGTCAAATTGGTGCATGAGAGGGATAAAACCAGAGCCACCTCTGGTTGTCTTTTGTTTAAAGTCCTTTGGTTCCATTTGATTTTTTATTTCTTAATACATACATGTTCATTAATTAATTTGATATAAAATAAATAATTCATCAAAACAAAGTAAATATGTATTATATAATTTTTAAAATGTAAGTGTTAAACAAATTTCCCACACTTAAACTAGAAAGGAGTGCACAGAAAGCTCAGGAAAATATCAGTAGCAGTGACAAGAGGATTCCTTGAGATTTCAAGTCAGTGGGTACTTCCAGAGCCCTCTTAACTGGCCACTTCACTGACACTACTATAAACTATGTTATTCACACATGTGCTCTCAAACATCTTAGCTTGTAGAGAATATGGATCCTACCGATTCTTTAGCTTCATTAGGCCGAGTTCATGTTTCTCTTTTTCCCAAGCTAATTCCTTTTCCACTTGTTGAATTTTGAAAGCTGTTTTTCTGTGCATCTCAGCACGGATTTGGGAATCTACATCAAAATCCTGCAGATAAGAAGATCTGTTCATCAAAATGGGTACTGTATCAACTCTGTTTCATATATTTCAGTTTTGTCCCCAGTTTCATGCTGCATCATAACTCTTCCCCAAATATCATAAACTCTGTCCATTACAAAAGAAAAACAGCTTATTTTAACTTTACTTCCACAATATAAGGAGAAATGTTCTTCGCAATTAACAATAATACAAATAAAGCTACACAGTTTAAGATTTTTTCCCACAATAAAAATAATGAATGCTATCAATATTTGGAGAGTATACAGTTTTAAAGACGCTATCTCAAAGAAACTACTATTACATAAAAATTGGACATGAGGTAGATGCTTATGGCAACTGATCATTATCTGAACATCCCCCCTGGTGTGACCCCACCCAGGAAAGATAGCAGTATCTGGTGTCTTCTTGACATCACCAAGTTTTTGTTGAATCTCCTTCACAAAGGGCTCCACTTTCTCCCATAAGGATACTTAGAGGTCTCATGTTTCTTACCCTCATCCCTGGAAAAATATCAGAGCCAATATTTGTGATAAATTGTGAGTAGTAATTATTCTTTTCAGAGGTGTTTGTGTGTCATTTAAGTAATGATGTGTACAAAGTGCTTAGTCACAGCACTTGCCTCAGTTGTTTTTTATCTTAAATTTTATTACCCATGCTCTGGAAGTTTCAACATTTTTCTTAGAAAAATAGCATAAAGGTCTTTTAACTATTTTGACCTGGTTTTTTTAACCAACATGATTAAATCATGATTTCACCAAAGCATTTTTTATATGAAATTGGCAAAGTGCTTCTAGAATTACAGGACTGGGTAACCCATGAATATATTAAGAATTATGGGTTTTTACTTGATCAGATGGTTAATTAACTCCATTTAGGAAGAGGTACAAAATGAAAAAAAGCTAACCACTAGCAGGTACATGGGGCTTTGCAATAAGTCACAAAAGAAAAAAAGGTAGAATACAAAATTGGCTTAAACAATTTTGTGATTGCCCCCATAGCTACAACTAAATTAAATCATTTTTAAAAATTTTGTAGATCAACCGGGTACTGTCTTTTCAACAGATCTGATAAATTATAGAAATAGAAGCACAGACAATCAAATTATACATGCATCTACCCATTGTATTTTGGCTAAGTACAATAAGAGTTGATAACCAGATTCAAACCTATACTTATGTCTTATCTTGTTACCAAAAAAAAAAAAAAGTGTGGTAGGTAAATCCAATAGTAAACTTTGTATTACGTAAAGAGGTTCATCTGCTTCCAAACCAAGCAGTGTGTCAAGTTCTAGAGTAGTTTATTTGCTGCAAACATACTGACTGGCCAGATAAAAAGAAGCTTAAAGATGATTTTGGCTCTTCACTCTTAGACATGGCCATGTTATTATCAAGTGAGATACACCAGACACCTTATTATTGTAGAAACATGTAGATTGTATCACATCCTATGGCTCAAAGAAAGATGATTATGAATACTATATGTCTGAGTATTTGAGAATGAGTGGTGTCTATTGGGGTTTGACAGTATTGGATCTCATGGGACAACTTCACTGCATGAATAGTGAAGAAATTCTGACATTTATTAAGTCTTGCCAACATGAGTTTGGTAGAATAAGTGCTAATATCAGACATGATCCTCATCTTTTATACACTGTTAGTGCTGTCCAGATTCTTACTCTGTATGATAGTATTAATGTTATCGATGTAAAAAAGTTGTGGAATATGTTCCAAGTCTATGGAAAGAAGATGTTTCTCTTGCTGGAGACTTTTGGGGTCCCACTGAGCAGCTGCTCTAACTGGAGCTAATGGTCTGCTGGAAGTTCCAGCGTGCACTGTGGTAGTTTTATCAGCATACAGAATTACTGGACCAGAGGGGGCCAGCCTGAAAGATAAGGGATGAACACAGTGCAGGGCAGAGAGACCAACTGTTTCATAGGATGGGAAAAATCTACTTTTATAAAGTAGGGGGAAATTGATACAAGATTCTCTTTTTGTGTGGTGGAAACTGGCTCTCTTGGGGAAGCTTGATGCTACTAATATAAAAAAAAAAAAGGCAGTTGAATTTGTTTTATCTGTGTATGAATTTTGATGGTGGATTTGGTTGCAGACCAGGTTCTGAATTCCATGCTGGGCACATTTATTGTTGCACAGGATTCCTGGCTATTACCAAGTCAGTTGCATCAAGTAAATTATGATTTACTTGGTTAGTGGTTTTGTGAATGAGTTACCCTTGGGTGGATTTAATGGAAGGCCAGGGAAGTTAGCAGGTGTATGCTATTCATGGTGGGTGTTGGCTTTCCTAAAGATCACTGGAAGCCTTCACTGGATTGAGAGAGATAAACCGCGTATGTAATTTCATCTGTCAGTCCTACTTTTGGCATGCCTGAAGAAGTGCTTCAGAGGGTGAATATTCAGCCTGAGCTAGTAAGCTAGATTCACTGAGGCAAAAGTTGCGTACTATAGTATAATTTTGCCAACTCAACATGTCTGTATTTGAAATGCTTATGAAATCAAAAAATGACTACTATTATTTTGTGTATTGTGTTAAAGTAATTTTATAATTTATAAGAAATTATATAATTATACATATTGTAGAATAAAGACCTGTTTTGTTTTTTTTTTTTTTGAGATGGAGTCTCACTCTGTCCCCCAGGCTGGAGTGCAGTGACGTGATCTCGGCTCACTGCACACTCCACCTCCCAGGTTTCACGCCATTCTCCTGCCTCAGCCTCCTGAGTAGCTGGGACTACAGGCACCCACCACCACACCTGGCTAATTTTTTTTGTATTTTTTAGTGGAGACAGGGTTTCACCATGTTAGCCAGGATGCTCTCGAACTCCTGACCTCATGATCCGCCCGCCTCGGCCTCCCAAAGTGCTGGGATTACAGGCATGAGCCACCGCGCCCAGCCTAAAGACCTGTATTTTATTTTCTGCTTTATATTTTGAAGACCTGCTATTCTGACCACAATTTTTTTTTACCAGAAAACAAACACCAATTTTATTAATATAATAGCAACAGAAAGGGTTTCTAATTTCTCAGAAGGCATGAAACCAGCACAAGTGTTATAAGATTAAATGCCTACATTTCTTGTTCTGATAGCTTCCCACCACACACTGAAGGTTCCTCAAGGATAACTGCCACCAGAGCTGCTGCAAGAATATGTTTTTCACTAGGCATAGCTTCACAGTCAAATCCTCAAGCAGAAGACTAAAATATTATTTCTTTTTAGAAGATCTTGGTTGAGGGAGAACATATCAATATGGAGAACAGGGCTTTGCTTCTCAAATTCAAGAAAAACCATTAGCTAATCTATCAATTTTTGTCTGATACAGTGTACCGGAGTGCTCTGTGAAGAATCCTTTTCCATCCCTTCCATGTGTCTGGGTGAAGGGACAGGAGGGGGTGGCAAGGTGACAGTACACTAGAAGGCACTCCTCGTGATGCTCTGGGCTCCACTCCCTTTCTGCTGGTAGTAGCAGGCATCTTTTCTGGCAGCTGCAGCAGCTTGATGTGGAGGGGAGGAAGGGGCCACCACCAATCACCTCTTCTTGAAGCCGTATTTTTTGCATTCATAGAAAAGGTCTGTCTTAGAGTTACCCAAACTGACAATCTTTGGGCAGCCATCCCTATCCTTCTCCTGGATGGTGCACTTCCTTACAATAATAGGCATCAGAAACCCCAGGGCCTCCACAGATCACACAGCACCTCTGGTAAGATCCATAGTTAACGCTCATCACATATGTGCATCAGAGTGCAGGGATGCACATAGGAATCACAAATCACACACTTGCCATCACATTTTTCACACAGTCTTCCGATAGCAATACCAGTCTGCTTGCAGCAAAAGATCAAATCGGGATGACGTTTAGCCATAGTTCCCAACGAAGCCAGCCACCGGACGCTTCAGGCCAATTTTTGTTTATACTTCAGTGTATCTGTTATTCATGTCTCTATAAAAGAAAACTTAAAAGAACTCTTGGGTTCTACTTTATTTCTTCCCCATGTATTCCTTTCATGTGTTCTATAACAACAGTTGATGTAAAACAATTTGTGTCAACAAGAATCTTAACTGATTAAAAGGGATAAACCCCACATACAAATTAAAAGATGCCCAAAATAAATGGCTATTGAAATTTTGAAAGAAACAAACAAAAAAGAAAGATGATTTTAAGTGTTTCTACTTGTTGGGAAAATAGTCATCTCTATCCAGAAATAGCATATGTTAAAATAAAAATCAAGTTTATATTAGGCTTACTGTTCGTTTAAACTGCATATGCTTTGGTAATTTTTCATTCATTTCTAATAGATTACAAAATTCACTCCTCAAAGCTTTGATTTGCTCTCTCTTCCGTGCCTTTATTTCTCCCACTTCTTTCATTAACTTGTCATGTTCTCTTTTTCTCCTAGCATTCTCGATACTGAAAACAGAAATTTAAAACAATAACAGGTTGTGATACAGAAACAGCAGAGAAAGAGAAAATTAGTATTCAATAATTTGAAAATTCATTAAGCTTGGTCAACTTCTGCACTGTTGATTTGTTTTGCAAAATCTCAGGCCTAGTCAGTATTTATCAAAAATTCCCATACCTGTAGGCTTTGGGATCTTCAATGTCTTCTGGAATTGGCTCTGTTTCAATTCCAAACTATAGGAAGGGAAGTAAAAGGTTAGCCCTTTAAAATTGCATAGCATTTTCCTTAAAATATCTAGGAAGAAGTAAATTAAAAACTCAAATTGGTTCGGTTTTCTTTTTCTGCCAATTTCTAATAATTATAGGTCTGAAAATCAGTTTCACAAAAATCCAAGGAAAAAAATGCAGTTTACTAAACTTACTTGTTTCTGCTTTATTTGAAGGAGTACATAGGAAAAGTCTTAACCTAATCATATGTTTGCAAAATGTTAATATCCCCATAATTTCCCCTCAAAATGTAAATTACTAATGTTCATATGCTATTAACACAGAATTCACAAAAGTCTAGATCATTTATTTCAAAATGCTGTTTTTCAGTATATACCTTTATCACATGAATCATTTGTCCAAATACCTCAGTGTGTCCTAGAAATATTTCAATATATATATTTTTACATTTTAAGTAAGCATTTTATATCACCTTCTCAAAGGAAGACATAAAGTGGAAAATGCAAAGAACAATATAATCCCCCTCCTTGAAAGAGAAAGATATGAAATCAGAAATACAAGTCTCCCTTCAGAAAGGAAATCAGTTTAAATTTGGGGGAACTAAAAAGTAAATCACTTAAAAGTACTCTGTTTATTCAGGTACTGTGCTGTAAAATGTCTTAGTCTGTGATATTAAGGAAGGAGAATTATAACCCAGTGAACAAAATAGTCTTAGTTTGCTAACTAGTCTGTTCATAAATAAAACTAAACTTTATTCCCTATTCTCTTTCACAGAAGATAGGTCTCTGTTTTGCTGTCATTTGTTGTAAGTAAATAAAGATTCTCTTTTGATAAAGTTGTTTTATTAGTCTTTATATGTATGAAATGTAAATCTACATATTTTTATGGAAGTCAAGGTTTATGACTTTAATAAAAGCAAAGTCATAAAACATGATCAATATAAGAGACAGTAATGGCTAATAAATTGTACTGACTATTAATCACTTAGGACAAAAATTTACTGAATTTTATTTATTTTTTATTCTTTTATTGGCCAGAGCTAAGTACCTTGGTTTTCTAATATCAGTGTAACTTCTAGGATTTGATGCTGATACTGGGGCAATTGTCTCCTGGTCACAGTTGTTTCCAATAAGGTTGAGTTAAACAAAAGTTCCAAAAATATGCCAATCAGTTCCAAAATATATGCCAATGGGTCTCAATCCTAGCTACACAGTAGAATCACATGAAGGATAGTGTATACAATACTGAAGACTGGGCATCACCTTCAGAGATTCTAATTTAATTGTTCTTGGGTGGGCTCTGGCATCTGTACTTCTAGGGCTCCCTAGCTGATTCTAAAGTACAGTAAGGTAAGAACCTCAGACCAGTGCTGAGCTTAGTTGTTTTCTGTTGTTTTTTTTAAAAAAAATCTTTCTCATTTTTTCTTTCTTAAAAGCTATGTCTGCTTCAGTGATTTCAGAAATATTGATTGCAGCCATAAATTTAAATGTGGAATAAATATTTTTCTATCCAATATGGGTTTCTGTAGGAGGGATATTGACTGCAGCTGTAAATAAAAGGACATGATTATTGAAATGTGGAATAAACATTTTTCTATCCAATATGGGTTTCTATAGAGAGGGTTGGCACCAGGTAGAAAGGCATTTTCTTCTTGTTCATATACTTTCCCTCCTGCAATTCCTTTTTCTGAGCTGGACCCTCTCTAACCAGCAGCCCATACTCCAAATTTTGCTATTAGAAGAAATGAAAATTGACCTACTCATATCTTCCCTACATTCTTTATGTGTACTTTGAAGTAGGCTACCTGCTAAATGGGAAGCCAATATGTTCAAAGGAATTTTAGCTATAATCTTTCTAATACAACTCCTTTCTCCTTAGGAGCAATTCTAATGGTTATTACCTACTGACTTTTTCCAAACAAATTGCTTGATAATATGAAATTCAAGTTCTATGACAGGAAAAAAGGACATAATTTGGGGATCTGAACCCTCAAACTTCATCATAAAGCCAAAAATCTAGTTCTGCTTTTAAAAAAATACTTTATACTGAATCTTTAATCATGACCCACATTGTCACATTCTAATACTAAAAACAACTATATTTTTGCAACCCCTATCAAAACCACACTTTATGGCATATGTCCTATATCAGCCCTTACAACGAGTGAATGAATAAATGAAAAGCAAAAGAAAATCTGAAAAAATTGCAAACTTTGAAAAAAAACCTTTGATTAAGAAAGTTTTTTTAATATACAAACTTTTAACTACATAGAAAAACTGACACATTCTTTTTTAATCTGGGGAATTCCAATCTTTAATAATAAGGGGAATGTAATACCTTTAATATTTGATATATAAGCACCAGAAAGTCAAATTATAATAGTAGCAGGAAGATTAGACCATAAGGTGAATGTGTCTAAATAACTTTTAATTTATAACGAATATGAACAATTTTAATATCACTATTTTTAAATACAGTTTGTTATTAATTAACTGGTTAATTAATTACATACCCTGGGAGATGGAACTTTGGCCTTCATGTCTTTCCTTAGCATAAATTCAGAAAAAATGTTGAAAACAAAGATATTGCCATCTGCTCCAGCAGTCACCAAGAAACGATCATCAAAGCTATTAGCAATACTTTTAATACATCCATAATTATTGTCATGCATATTGAAGTGCCAGTAGTCCACCAAACTGGTCAATGAAGGATCATTTTGATTTAGGACATAGACTCGAATTGCTCCATTTTTCATTCCACAAAACATCATAACTTTGTTAATGCTACGAAACAAAAAATGTAAATTGTTCTTCCCATTAATCTGAAAATAATGCTTAATTTCAACTTAATTGACAAGTGGCTAAATTAATAACAAAGTTGTTATGGACTGAATTGTACACCCCTAAAATTCCTATATTGAAGCCCTAACCCCTAATACTTCAGAATGTAACTGCATTGTGATAGGGCTTTTAAAGAGGTAATTAAGTTAAAATTAGAACATTAGGGTAGGTTCTAATCCAGTCTGCCTGGTGTACTCATAAGAAGAAGATATCAAAGGGGGTCACTTCCAAGATGGCCAAATAGGAACAGCTCCAGTCTGCAGCTCCCAGCAAGATCGACTCAGAAGATGGGTGATTTCTGCATTTCCAACTGAGGTATCTGATTCATCTCATTGGGACTGGTTGGACAGTGGGTGCAGCCGATGGAGGGCAAGCCGAAGCAAGGCAGGGTGTTGCCTCACCTGGGAAGCGCAAGGGGTCAGGAGATTTTCCTTTCCTAGCCAAGGGAAACTGTGACAGACTGTACCTGGAAAAATGGTACACTTCTGCCCAAATACTGCGCTTTTCAAAAGTCTTAGCAACTGGCAGACCAGGAGATTCCCTCCCATGCCTGGCTCAGCGGGTCCCACGCCCATGGAGCTTTGCTCACTGCTAGCACAGCAGTCTGAGATCAACCTGTGAGGCTGCAGCCCGGCGGGTGGAGGGGTGTCTGCCATTACTGAGGCTTGACTAAGTAAACAAAGCGGTTGGGAAGCTCTAACTGGGCAGAGCCCACCTCAGCTCAGCAAGGCCTACTGCCTCTATAGACTCCACCTCTGTGGGCAGGGCATAGCTGAACAAAAGGCAGCAGACAACTTCTGCAGACTTAAACGTTCTTGTCTGACAGCTCTGAAGAGAGCAGTGGTTCTCCCAGCACAGCGTTCAAGCTCTGAAAACGGACAGACTGCCTCCTCAAGTGGGTCCCTGACCCCCATGTAGCCTGAGAGACACCTCCTAGTAGGGGCCAACAGACACCTCATACAGGCGGGTGCCCTTCTGGGATGAAGCTTCTAGAGGAAGGATCAGGCAGCAATATTTGCTGTTCTGCAATATTTGCCATTCTGCAGCCTCCATTGGTGATACCCAGGCAAACAGGGCCTGGAGTGGACCTCCAGCAAACTCCAACAGACCTGCAGCTGAGGGCCCTGACTGCTAGAAGGAAAACTAACAAACAGAAAGGAATAGCATCAACATCAACAAAAAGGACATCCACACCAAAACACCATCTGTAGGTCACCAACATCAAAGACCAAAGGTAGATAAAACCACAAAGATGGGGAGAAACCAGAGCAGAAAAGCTGAAAATTCCAAAAACCAGAGCACCTCTTCTCCTCCAAAGGATCACAGCTCCTCACCAGCAATGGAACAAAGCTGAATGGAGAATGATTTTGATGAGTTAGTTGACAGAAGTAGGCTTCAGAAGGTTGGTAATAACAAACTTCTCCGAGCTAAAGGAGCATGTTCTAACCCATTGCAAAGAAGCTAAAAACCTTGAAAAAAAGGTTAGATGAATGGCTAACTAGAATGAACAGTGTAGAGAAGATCTTAAATGACCTCCTGGAGCTGAAAACCACAGGACGAGAACTTCGTGACGCATGCACAAGCTTCAATAGCTGATTCAATCAAGTGGAAGAAAGGATATCAGTGATTGAAGATCAAATTAATGAAATAAAGCAAGAAGACAAGATTAGAGAAAAAAGAGTAAAAAGAAATGAACAAAGTCTCCAAGAAATATGGGACTATGTGAAAAGACCAAATCTACATTTGATTGGTGTACCTGAAAGTGATGGGGAAAATGGAACCAAGTTAGAAAACACTCTTCAGGATATCATCCAGGAGAACTTCCCCAACCTAGCAAGGCAGGCCAACATTCAAGTTCAGGAAATACAGAGAACACCACAAAGATTCTCCTTGAAAAGAGCAACCCCAAGACACATAATTGTCAGATTCACCAAGGTTGCAATGAAGGAAAAAATTGTAAGAGCAGCCAGAGAGAAAGGTCGGGTTACCCACAAAGGGAAGACCGTCAGACTAACAGCAGATCTCTCGGCAGAAACCCTACAAGCCAGAAGAGAGTGTGGGCCAATATTCAATATTCTTAAAGAAAAGAATTTTCAACACAGAATTTCATATCCAGTCAAACTAAGCTTCATCAGTGAAGGAGAAATAAAATACTTTACAGACAAGCAAATGCTGAGAGATTTTGTCACCACCAGGCCTGCCTTACAAGAGCTCCTGAAGGAAGCACTAAACATGGAAAGGAACAACCGGTACCAGCCACTGCAAAAACATTCCAAATTGTAAAGAACATCAAGGCTAGGAAGAAACTGCATCAATTAACAGGCAAAATAACCAGCTAACATCCTAATGACAGGATCAAATTCACACATAACAATATTAACCTTAAATGTAAATGGGCTAAATGCTCCAATTAAAAGATACAAACTGGCAAATTGGATAAAAAGTCATGACCCATCAGTGTGCTGTATCCAGGAGACCCATCTCACTTACAGAGATACACATAGGCTCAAAATAAAGGGATGGAGGAAGATCTACCAAGCAAATGGAAAGCAAAAAAAGCAGAGGTTGCAATCCTAGTCTCTGATAAAACAGACTTTAACCCAACAAAGATCAAAAGAGACAAAGGCCATTACATAATGGTAAAGGGATCAATTCAACAAGAAGAGCTAACTATCCTAAATATATATGCACTCAATACAGGAGCACCCAGATTCATAAAGCAAATCCTTAGAAACCTACAAAGAGACTTAGACTCCCAAACAATAATAATGGGAGACTTTAATACCCCACTGTCATTATTAGATCAACGAGACAGAAGGTTAACAACGATATCCAGGATTTCAACTCAGCTCTGCACCAAGCAGATCTAATAGACATCTATAGAACTCTCCATCTCAAATCAACAGAATATACATTCTTCTCAGGACCACATCATATTTATTCTAAAACTGACCACATAATTGGAAGTAAAACACTCCTCAGCAAATGTAAAAGAATAGAAATCACAACAGTCTCTCAGACCACAGTGCAATCAAACTAGAACTCAGGTTAATAAACTCACTCAAAACTGCACAACTATGTGGAAACTGAACAACCTGCTCCTGAATGACTACTGGGTAAATAACAAAATGAAGGCAGAAATAAAGATGTTCTTTGAAACCAATGAGAACAAGGACACAACGTACCAGAATCTCTGGGACACATTTAAAGCAGTGTGTAGAGGGAAATTTATAGCACTAAATGCCCGCAAGAGAAAGCAGGAAAGACTTAAAATCAACACCCTAATATTGCAATTAAAAGAACTAGAGAAGCAAGAGCAAACAAATTCAAAAGCTAGCAGAAGGCAAGAAATAACTAAGATCAGAGCAGAACTGAAGGAGATAGAGACAAAAAAACCCTTCAAAAAATCAATGAATCCAGGAGCTGGTTTTCTGAAACAATCAAGAGAATTGATAGAGAGAGCACTGGCAAGACTAATAAAGAAGAAAAGAGAGGAATCAAATAGATGCAATAAAAAATGATATAGGGGATATCACCACTGATCCCACAGAAATACAAACTACCATCAGAGAATACTATAAACACCTCTATGCAAATAAACTAGAAAATCTAGAATAAGTGGATAAATTTCTGGACACATACACCCTCCCAAGACTAAACCAGGAAGAAGTTGAATCTCTGAATAGACCAATAACAGGTTCTGAAATTGAGGCAATAATTAATACCCTACCAACCAAAAAAAGTCCAGAACCAGACAGATTCAAAGCCGAATTCTATCAGAGGTACAAAGAGGAGCCAGTACCACTCCTTCTGAAACTATTCCAATCAATAGAAAAAGAGGAAATCCTCCCTAACTCATTTTATGAGGGCAGCATCATCCTGAAACCAAAGCATGGCAGAGACACAACAAAAAAAGAGAATTTTAGACCAATATCCCTGATGAACATAGACACAAAAATCTTCAATAAAATACTGGCAAACCAAATCCAGCAGCACATCAAAAAGCTTATCCACCACAATCCAGTGGGCTTCACCCCTGGGATGCAAGGCTGGTTCAACATACACAAATCAATAAACGTAATCCATCACATAAACAGAACCAACGACAAAAATCACATGATTATCTCAATAGACGCAGAAAAGGCCTTCAACAAAATTCAACAGCCCTTCATGCTAAAAACTCTCAATAAACTAGGTATTGAAGGAATGTACCTCAAAATGATAAGAGCTATTTATGACAAACTCACAGCCAATATCATACAGAATGGGCAAAGTGGAAGCATTTCCTTTTGAAAACTGGCACAAGACAAGGATGTGCTCTCTCACCATGCCTATTCAACATAGTGTTGGAAGTCCTGGCCAGGGCAAACAGGCAAGAGAAAGAGATAAAGGATATTCAATTAGGAAAAGAGGAAGTCAAATTGTCCCTGTTTGCAGATGACATGACTGTATATTTAGAAAACCCCACTGTCTCAGCCCCAAATCTCCTTAAGCTGATAAACAACTTCGGCAAAGTCTCAGGATACAAAATCAATGTACAAAAATCACAAGCATTCCTATACAGCAGTAACAGACAAAGAGAAAGCCAAATCATGAGTGAACTCCCATTCACAATTGGTACTAAGAGAATAAAATACCTAGGAATCCAACTTACAAGGGATGTGAAGGACCTCTTCAAGGAGAACTACAAACCACTGCTCAATGAAATAAAAGAGGACACAAACAAATGGAAGAACATTCCATGTTCATGGATAGGAAGAATCAATATCATGAACATGGCCATATTGTCCAAGGTAATTCATAGATTCAATGCCATCCCCATCAAGCTACCAATGACTTTCTTCACAGAATTGGAAAAAACTACTTTAAACTTCATATGGAGCCAAAAAAGAGCCTGCATAGCCAAGACAATCCTGAGCAAAAGAACAAAGCTGGAGGCATCACATTACCTGACTTCAAACTATACTACAAGGCTATAGTAACCAAAACAGCATGGTACTGGTACCAAAACAGATATACAGACCAATGGAACAGAACAGAAGCCTCAGAAATACCACCACACATCTACAAACATCTGATCTTTGACAAACCTGACAAAAACAAGAAATGGGGAAAGGATTCCCTATTTAATAAATGGTTCTGGGAAAACTGGCTAGCCATATGTAGAAAGCTGAAACTGGATCCCTTCCTTACACCATATACAAAAAGTAACTCAAGATAGATTAAAGACTTAAATGTAAGACCTAAAGCCATAAAAACTCTAGAAGAAAACCTAGGCAATACCATTCAGGACATAGGCATGGGCAAAGACTTCACGTCTAAAACACCAAAAGCAATGGCAAAAGCAAAAATAGACAAATGGGATCTAATTAAACTAAAGTGCTTCTGCACAGCAAAAGAAACTATCATCAGAGTGAACAGGCAACCTACAGAATGGGAGAAAATTTTTGCAATCTACCCATCTGACAAAGGGCTAATATCCAGAATCTACAAAGAACTTAAACAAATTTACAGGAAAAAAACAAATAATCCCATCAAAAAGTGGGCAAAGGATATGAACAGACACTTCTCAATAGAAGACATTTACGCAGCCAACAGACACAATGAAAAAATGCTCATCACCACTGATCATCAGAGAAATACAAATCAAAACCACAGTGAGATACCATCTCATACCAGTTAGAATGGCACTCATTAAAAAGTCAGGAAACAACAGATGCTGGAGAGGATGTGGAGAAATAGGAATGCTTTTACACTGCTGGTGGGAATGTAAATTAGTTCAACCATTGTGGAAGACAGTGTGGCGATTCCTCAAGGATCTACAACTAGAAATACCATTTGACCCAGCCATCCCATTACTGGGTATATACCCAAAGGATTATAAATCATGCTACTATAAGGACACATGCATACGTATGTTTATTGCAGCACCATTCACAATAGCAAAGACTTGGAACCAACCCAAATGTCCATCAATGATAGACTGGATTAAGAAAATGTGGCACATATACACCATGGAATACTATGCAGCCATAAAAAAGGATGAGTTCATGTCCTTTGCAGGGACATGGATGAAGCTGGAAACCATCATTCTCAGCAAACTATCACAAGGACAGAAAACCAAGCACCACATATTCTCACTCATAGGTGGGAATTGAACAATGAGAACACATGGACACAGGGTAGGGAACATCACACACCAGGGCCTGTTGGGGAGTGGGGGGCAGAGGGAGGGATAGCATTAGGAGAAATACCTAATTTAAATGATGAGTTGATAGGTGCAGCAAGCCAACATGGCATATGTATACCTACGTAACAAATGTGCACGTTGTGCACATGTACCCTAGAACTTAAAGTATAATAATAAAAAAAAAGAAGAAGAGGACATTAGGATACAGACAGAAGCATAAGGGATGACATGCACCCAGAGAAAAGATCATGCAAGAAGGCAAATATCTATAAGTTAAGGAGACAGGCCTCAGGAGAAACCAACCTGCTGACACCTTGATCTTGGAACTCTAGCCTCCAGAACTGTGAGAAAAAAAATTCTGCTGTATAAGCCACCTAGTCTGTGGTGTTTTATTGTGGCAGCCCTAGCAAACTAATACAAAAGAATAGAGAAAAAAGGCCAATTTGAAATTTGAAGCTATTATATTGGGTCGTCAGAAGAATAACTGGCATATTTGCCTAGTTCTCAATTATTAAAGGGCTAATGATTCATTTGTGATTTCTCCAGAATAACTGTAACCCTGAACCTTCATTTCTGACTATGTAAGTAGCATCCTCCTAGGTAGCAGAATGTAAATCCATACAATTCAATTGTGCGATAAACAAAAATACTGACAGAATATTTGGTGGGGGTATTTAAATATAATTTCAGTATTAGCTTTGATTTTATTTATTCATTTGATTTATTTAACCAAATATTTTTTGAGTACCCCTTCATTTGGATGGATCTTTAAAAATTGACAATATCCATGATGAACAAAAGCATAGACACTAACAGGATATGGTTTTTTTAAAGCTTTTTGAAATACTGCTCACTTGAAAGTGATAGTTTGGATGGGATTGTCCTCTGTATCCGCAAGATAACGGACATCAATAGGTTCATCTTTTTGTTCTTTGAAATCACTGCTTTCATCACAAGGGGGGAACTCACAGTGATATAGAAAACCAGAATCATAGCCACCCTAGAAAAGAGATAAGTAACATAGAAGGTGGTACTTGAATATAACACACATAAATGCATGAGAATTTTTTGATTATTTCAAATTTGAAAACATAAAATAGATGTTTTCAAACATCTACTTCTACATAATTTCTATGATTATAGATTTATTATTTCTATAAAGCATCTCCTTTATCCATTTATACACAACTATATAATTATAATAAAAACCTCATGATGATTTGTTTTCATTTAAAAGCCAATACAAGAGAGATATCACCTCTGACTCCCTACCTACAGAATTTCATTTTATTTCTTCAAGCATTATTCTGAATAAGCAGGAACAAATATTAGGGTTTTGCAGTTCCTCGTTTTTACAGCTAGTTTGCAGTTTAAGGTAACTGTAAACACTGTTAATTTTCCAGAAAGGGCTATTTCAGAAAAATTTATCCATGTAGTGAGAAGATGAATGATCAACTGGAAGAGCTATATTGCTCCAACTCTAATTTCCTTATTACTGAGATTCCTTATTATAGGAAACAAATTAAGGGTCAGAACAACTTTATGAACAATAAAAGAATAAATAAGAAAGAGAATGTAACATCATGATCACCTCTGAAAATCAAATTACTAAGTTTTCACTTTTGACAACAGCAGACTAGATTGTTTCAGCCAAACTCTCCCACTGAGAACAACCAGAACAAATTTTGTAAATGTGTTTGAAGGCATTGGCAAGCTACCAAAATAGCAAGATCCAAAAAAGAGGGAAAGCCAAAAGTGAGCCTGGCATTTGGCACTGCTTTACTCCCTGGAGCAACTGTCAATTTCTTTTATTTATTTATTTATTTATTTATTTATTTATTTATTATTATACTTTAAGTTCCAGGGTACATGTGCACACGTGCAGGTTTGTTACATATATGTGGCAGCTGAGAGGCTAAGAAGCTGGACAAAGCTATCTGCAGTCTCATAGACTTATGGAGAAAGAAATAATCATTTCCAGGGTTCAAGCAGGGTCTCAAAGAGATATTTGAACACCCACCTCATTCATAGCAGCATTATTCACAATAGCCAAAAGGTGGGAACAATCCAAGTGTCTATTTTTGTGTGTTTGTTTTGAGATGGGGTCTTACTCTGTCACCCAGGCTGGAATGCAGTGGTGCCATCTCGGCTCACTGCAACTTCCACCTCCCAAGTTCAAGCAATTCTCCTGCCTCGGCCTCCCGGGTAGCTAGGATTGCAGGTTTGAGCCACTCCGTCCACCTAATTTTTTCTATTTTTAGTAGAGATGCGGTTTTGCCATGTTGGCCAGGCTGGTCTGGAACTCCTGGCCTCAAGTGATCCACCCGCCTTGACCTCCTAAAGTGCTAGGATTACAGGCGTGAGCCACCGTGCCTGGCCCCAAATGTCTATTTATGACTGAGTATATAAGCAAAATACGGTACATACTTAAAGTGGAGTATTATTTGGCCTTGAAAGGAAATTCTGACATATGCTGCATCACGGATGAAACTTGGGGAAATTATCCCAAGTGAAACAAGCCAGTCATAAAGAGACAGATACTATATAATTTCACTTATTTGAGATACTTAGAGTAGTCAAAATCATAAGAAAGAAAGTATGGTTGCCAGGGGCTGAGAGAAGGGAAGAATCAGGAGTTATCATTTGATGAGTATGGGAGTTTCAGTGTTACAGGATGAGGAGGACGGTAGAACAGATGTTGGTGATGACGTCACAACATTGTGAATACGTTTACTACTACTGAGCTGTACACTTAAAAATGGTTAAGATGGTCAATTTTATGTTATATGTCTTTTACTTCAATAAAAAGCAATTGGAAAAACAAACTTTAAAATAAAAGTTACGAAGCTGGAACAGAGATCAGAAAAAATAGGCTAAAGCATGGAGAAAGACAAAAAGGATGGAAAATCTTCTTGAATGATGTAAGATACATACGGAACATGAGAAGGATGTAATACACATAAAGTTGGGGTCCCAGAACAAGAGAGTGAAAAGATAGGCCAGAAGCAACACTGTGGTAGATAATGGCTGAGAATTTTCTAAAACTGAAGAGATATGTTGAAATTTAGAGTGCTACGAACTGCAAACAAAATAAAAATGAAGAAACTAACACCTTTTAACCACGCGTGTTGGCACACACCTGTAATCTCAGCTACTCGGGAAGCTAAGGCAGGAGAATCACTTGAGCCTGGGAAGTAGAGGCTGTAGTGAGCTGAGACGGCACCATTGCACTCCAGCCTGGGCAACAGAGTGAGTGAGACTCTGTCTCAAAAATAAAAATAAATAAATAAATAAAATCACCTCTAAAAGAATAGTAAAAGAATGTATAACTAATAATCTAGTAGAGGAAGAAAACTGTGGAAAAAATTACCTAATCACTCAATAGAAGGTAAAAAAAAGGGAAAGAAAATAAATTTAGAATGAGTGCGACAAATAGAAATAATTAGTAAGATAGTAGATTTAAACTAAAATATATTAGTAATTACATTAAATATAAATGAACATAGTACTTTTTTAAAAGACAAATATAATCCTATAGGATTCTTTTAAGCCTAACCATATACTGTTTACAAGAGACCTACTTTCGATATAAGGGTATCAAATAGTAAAGGAAAGAGAAGAATCCTTAATAACGTCGAGGTTTTGGCATAGTAACTAAGTGGATGATTGTCTCATTTACTGAGATGGAGATGGAGCAGGTTTGTATGGGACATGTATGGTTTAAAAGTAATGTCTTGGACAGGTTAATTTTGAGGTGCCAAGGAGCATTGTCAAGTTGGATATACAAGTCTAAGTGGAGGGGAGAGGTCAGGACTAGAAATAAATATTTGAGATTCACTGGAAGATAAGTGATATTTAAAGCCATGAGACTGTGTAGTTACCTTAGCAAGAAAGAGGGGGCCCAAGGCCGCACTCTGGAGTATTTCAAACTTCAAAGCTTGTTCTGCACATGAGAAGCCAGCAAAAGAGGCTGAAATGGAATGGTCAGAAGAGTGTAATGTCTTAGAAGCCAAGAGAAGAAAGCATTTGAGAAGTATGAGGGGTCAACTCTGTTAAATGTTCCGAAAAGTCAAATGGACAGAGAATTGACCTCTGAGCTTATCATCATTAGTGAAGTGATGGAGATATCCCAACTGGAATGGGTTGAAGATCAAATAGGAGGTGAATAAGTTAAGCCAATGATTACAGATGATTCTTTCAATAACTTTTTATGTAACAGAGCAAGGGGGGAAAAGGAAAGAGAGGTTCAGGAAATAAAATTAAGATTAGTACTAGAGCATGTTTGTATGCTCATGATAATAACTGAATAGAAAAGACAGAAACTGATGATACAGGAGACCAAGTGGTTTATCTCAGGAGCAAAGTTTTTGAGAAAATGAGAAGGGATGGGATCAAGGAGCCATTGGGAACAGTGTCCTTGGAGAGTTGCAGGAGACTGTTCTCCAATTATAACAATAGGCAAAGCAGACAAAAGGAATATAGATCCCTATAGGGTGTTACATCTAATTGAGACAAGAAAAGGAAATTCCATCTGCTTTTATTTTTTTCTGTGAAATGTGAGATGAGGTTATCATTGAAGAGTAAGAGAAGGTACAAAATGCTTGAGGGGAGAAGAAAGACTTAATGTAATAATTTGGAAAGTGAATATGGCTGGGCAGTAGAATTGGCCTGCAGTGTGAGTATTGATTTGAGAACTGCAGTCAGTACTTCAAAATGAAACTGGTTTTTCTTCACCATTTGTTTGGCTGCAGGCACAGAGTTGTCATATTGTTGACTCAAGCTTTGCTACCTCTGTTAACTATGTTTTAACCTTGTTCACCAGTGTAGCTTAATGGTTGAGGGCATGAACTCTGGAGCCAGATTGCTTGAGTCCAGATTCTAGTTTCACTTCTCATTAGTTATATGGCCTCAGATAAAATGCCTAACATTTCCATGCCTTGGTTTCTTCATATATAAAATGCAAAAAAAACCAGCACTTATTTTATAGTTGGTTAAGTAAATTACTTAGAAAAATACCTGATACAGAATAAGTAAGTTGTCATATTCAGCAAATGAAAATAAAGGACATCTATTAAATTTAAATTTCAGACAAACAAAAACATATATATATTTTTTGAGACAGAGTCTTGCTCTGTCACCAGGCTGGAGTGTAGTGGCACAATCTCGGCTCACTGCAACCTTCACCTCCCGGGTTCAAGCAATTCCCCTGCCTTGGCCTCCCGAGTAGCTGGGACTACAGGCACCTGCTACCATGCCCGGCTAATGTTTTGTATTTTAGTAGACACAGGGTTTCACCATGTTGGCGAGAATGGTCTTGATCTTCTGACCTCGTGATCCACCCGCCTCGGCCTCCCAAAGTGCTGAGATTACAGGTGTGAGCCACTGCACCCAGCCAAAAATAATTTTTAGTGTAAGTATGTACTATGTAATTTTACTTGGAAACCCTAAGAGTAAGCACTAAATATGCGTGGAGTTTTCTGTTTGTGTTTTGTTGTTGTTGTTTGAGATGGGATCTCACTATATTACACAGGCTGGTCTCGAACTCTTGGGCTCAAGCAATCTTCCCAATCTTCCCAATTATGTTTGTTAAATAATGAGTAATTTTTGCATCTATATTTCCAGGACACTGGAAATTTATTGCATTGTATTACATTAATTGTTTCTGTACCTCTTTCCCTCAAATGAAGACTTCCTGAAGGCAGGAACCATGTTTTCTTTATCCCTTTATCCTTTGAACTCCATACAATAGTAGCCATTTACAATTGTTTTATAAAACACAGACGACAGGCAGAAAGGGTAGAGGAACTAATAAAGGATGTCCTATGATGTCTCCAATGCTATTTTCCATCCTTCTTTCTGCTTGCCTCCTTAGTAATACAAAAGTTACATTTCTAGGAAAAGTTGAGGAGGGAAAAAGTCAACACTCATCACTCCTTACAGCAATAGTCCTTGGCTAGTCAGTGTCCTGGCCTGGCTAAAGACCTAGGACCAGGGATGAATTAGTAATGATCTTCCACACACACTTTTATGAAATTATTTTTGGTGGAGGGAACTGAAAATTGTGACAAAATTATAATGAAGGAAATCTTGCTTTGCAGTAGATCAATAGAATATTTCAAGCAAATAGTAAAAAATGTATAATTGGAGGATATACTCCTACAGCCTTGTGATAGGCCCTGGTACTTTCTTCCTAATATCCATTTTTCCCTTCTTCCTTATGAGCCAAGTTCTGATTTTGTTCAGGGTGGCACTTAGACCATCTAAAAACACTTATCTTCCTAGACTTGCATATGACCCCACAGCATAGTTGTAGATAATGAGAAGTAAGAAAAGTCTACTGGATAGTACTGCCATGAAAGCTATTCTTTTCAAAATTAAAAAACAACAGTCTTGGTTGGAAAAACCCCTAGCCTTTTGCCTTTCTACGCTTGATCCTTCTCCTCTTTGACCTGCCTGGAACATGTATGATTGACAAGCAGATAATAGATAATCTATAATCTATAGATTTATCTGTACAATTATCTGCACAAGAAGACATATAAAAGAGATGTTAAGATTATTTAAAAACAACTATATCCCACATTCATTCATCAAAACTCACGACTTCAATAGTATTTAATAAATGAAATCTAAAAAAAAATAAATAGATAAATGAAATCTTAACATAAGAGTAAGAAAGAATGAAGTTACAATAACTATAAACTATATTGAAATATGATTGAGGTAAAAATTATTACATTGTTACTTACCAAAGAAACCCAGAACTTCCCTGGCTCTGAGTAAAATCCACAGAGGATGGGAGAGGGGGTTGACGGAATAAATATTTCAGGTAATGGCTCTTCTTCCTCCTCCTCCTCCTCTTTCTCCTCTTCCTCCTCCTGAAATTCTTTTTCTCCATCTTCTCCCATCTCTGCTGCTAGCTTGTTCCTCCTTTCTTCCCTTATTTTCTCCTTCAACTCCCTTTGTCTCTCCCTCTTTTCAATTTCTATTAATCTCTTTTAAAATAAACATTAAGTAGGTATAAAAACAATTATGACTCATTCGTTCATTTACACCATTAGGGATGACAATGAAAATAGAAAGAAGATACACAGCTCTGTAACAAATAATATTTAAAAATACTCACCAATGCGAGAATATATTTTTATCATTAAAACTTTTAAATCATTAGAATGACTCATTTTTGTTTTACCCCCATCAATCTTGGTTTTATAGAAATTATTTGGTCATTTTTTTCATAATAGAGAAGCTAAATATAACTTCTCTTAGAGCCTATCACTGTTAACCCAGGAATTAGGTAGACTGAAATAGTCCACAAGGAAAGTTGCTTCCAACTTCAGTAATACTGTGAGTTTGGCCTTCATCATCTATCAATTGTCCTTTGCAAAAGCCCTCTGACACTGGTATTTCCGCCTCCCATCTTTTACTACTTCATTCTGTTCACCCTTCAGAATAATCTTCCTAACTTATTTTTTTAAATTTTATTTATTATTATTATACTTTAAGTTTTAGGGTACATGTGCACAATGTGCAGGTTAGTTACATATGTATACATGTGTCATGCTGGTGCACTGCACCCACTAACTCGTCATCTAGCATTAGGTATATCTCCCAAACTTATATGATATCATCACATCAATCCCCTCCTCACAAACTCACAATGGATCCCAGTGGTCTAAAATGAAATGTCTTGGCTGGCATTTAAGGAGCTCCATGCATTGGTCACAGACTCTTGCAACATCCTTCAACAAATTGCCTCCCTATATTTTATTGATCTATTCCTCATTTCTTGAAAACACTCACAACTCTGCATTCTCTTGGGATGTTCTTCCAGCCTTTATTGCCATCGCCCTATTTTCACCTCTCAAAATTCCCCCTATTTTTTTTTTCTTGAGACAGGGTCTCACTCTGTCACCTGAGCTGGAGTGCATTGGTGCAATCACAGCTCACTGCAGCCATAAACTCCCGGGCTCAAGCGATCCTCCCACCTCAGCCTCCCAAAGTGCTGGGATGACAGGCATGAGCCAATGTGCCTGGCCCCTCCCATTCTTTAGGTACTAAATGTCACTTCCATGCAGTCATCTTTGACCTCCTCCCATCCCTCTATCAGGATCTTCTCTCTTTTCCTCTGCAGACCCCTAAAATTTCCTTCTTTGCATTTTGATTTCAGTATCTATTTACTACTGCCTTCTAATAGCTGCTTTCCTACCAGATTATAAACTCCTTAAGTTCAGGGCCTATGTTTTATTCTTTTGTGTATTCCATCAGCACTTAACATAGGATATTTTATATTCTAAGGAAAGGAAATTATTATAAGATAATGCTTCAGGAATATTCCATACCAGAATCTTAGATTTGACACTTGAAAAATGGAAACATTTTATGCACATGTCTTTGATTTCATAGGAGACTACATCATGATCATCCTCTTCTTGCTTTATGGTTGGAAGTGGAGCTTCAAGAATATAGCCATTTTCACAGATAATTAGTAAAGTACTTTCAGGCTAAAAAAGAAAAATTGAACATATTTACATTTAGGCAAATTTTTAAAAGCATAGTTTAAAGAGATTATAAATAAAAATATAATTACTATGTATATTAGCCATGTTTAAAACACACTTAATTCCTCACTGCAGTTATTGGTAAAAAGTCAAGTTTATTAATAATTATTATATTGTCATAGTACTAATTATTGTTATATCATTATTAAGTGATTAAAGATTAATAATTATTAAAATTAGATTTACATTTGGTTCCTTTATAGATGCTATAACATATGTGATTCATATATGTTTTCTGATTTTCTGATGAATATATGTGGTTGTGAAATCTGTTAGCCGAAAGGACCAGATATTAAAATTAGGACTGCCAAGGAAACTCTGCGTGTGTGGATGGCGTAGTCAGTCCCATCCTACTTTAATGGCTCATCCTCTATCTGTCTCAGTTTAACAAACGTGGATGTTCCCAAGGTTTTTGTCCTCTTCCCTCTTCTCTGCCTCCATAAGCATTTTCTGGGAAATCTTACAACCTTCATTACCACTTACATGCAATTAAATTTCAAATTAATCTCTCCAGCCCAGACCTGTCTCTTGACTTCAAAACCATGCATTTAATCATGAATGGGAAATCTCCATCTTGATATTTACAGATACTTTATTTGAAATGTTTATTCATTTGGTTATTTCATTCTACAATTATTTGTTGTGTACCTACTATGTACTCAGCATTTTCTTAAGTGGTAGGGATAAATTTATAATAAGAAAAACATATAATATCTGCCATTATGTAGCTTACCTCCAATGGAAGCTTGTCATTTAGCAAATCAGGTAAATAAATGTAAATTGTAATTGCAGAAGTCCTGCAGAGGTGTCATAAGAACAAGTAGGTTGTATAAAGCTTTCAGAGAAAGTGGTATCTGAGCTTCAAGGTAAAAAATGTATAAATTATAATTATATAATGAGTTAAGGGAGGGTTTGAGGGAGCAAGTCCTCAAGGGAAACACCATGTGCAAAAGTCCTGTGGAACATTTGCTTTTATAAGAAAATTGTGGCTTGGATGGCATCACCTAGGGCAAAAGAACAGAATGAGAGGAGAGATTGGGAGAGCCTTAGGGAAACTTAATACTCAATGACTGAGTGAAGGAGACTGAGAAAGAATGACAAGATGTGGGAGAGGGAACCAGCAAAGCATAGTATCACAAAAGTGAAAGCGAGATGGTATTTCAAAAAGTAAGGAAAGATTGACAGGATCAAATGATGCTAAGAGGTCAAGAAAGATAAGAACTAAATGTTAAATGGATATTATTGGTGCTTTTAGAAGAGCTGATTTGGTGGAATGATGAGACTAGAAGTCAGGTAAGAGCACATAAAGGAGAGAGTGATAGATAAGGAAATGGAATCTGAGAATAGTCAATCCTTCTGAGAAAGTTGGCTGATTAGAGAAATATGGTAGTAGCTAGAGGAGAATATAAGATCAAGGAAGTTATATTTTGTAAGTGGGAGAAACAGGAACATATTTAAATACTGAAGGAAACAATCCAATAAACAGGTATGATTAAATTTCTATGACAGAAAAGAGAAATAATGTAAAATATTGAAAAAAAACTGGGAGAAAGTAGAAACAAAAGGGCAAGAGGCAGAATTGGCCTTAAGTAGGAAGGGAGACAGCTTCTCTACTGCAAAAGAGGGACGAGGAGCAGGTGAATACAGAGGTAAATGGGATTTTCCATTTGGTAGTGGGAAATGAAAAAGTTCCTGCCTGAGGGCTCCTGGTTTTTCTATGATGTAAGTGATGCTGAGAGTGAATTGGGAGCAAAAGGCTTGAAGCTTTGTGGAGAAGAAAAGTTCTAAAATGGTCACCATGTGTGAAAGAGGGAGTTGATAAGAGCAATGTCATAGGATTGCTGAACGATTTCATGGATTATGTCCAGGCCATTTTAATCACTAAATTATAGAGGAGCTAATCTTCATTGACATATAACTATCTCCAGCAGCCTTTGGCTGATTACTATAGGCAAATATAAAGTAGTTGGGGAAATTCAGAGATGGACTTTTGCTAGATGGGTATGAAGAAAAGACAGAGGGATAAAGGAAATCAGGGCATTGGAAGAATGTTATTGATCCTTGTTTGTCTTAGTCAGTTCAGGCTTCTATAATAGAATACCATAAACTAAGTAGCTTAAATGACAGAAATTCATTTCTCAGAGTTCTAGGAGCTGGGAAGTCCAAGATCAAGGGACTGGCAGATCCAGTATCTGATAAGGGCATTTTTCCTGCTGCATCGATGGTGGTCTTGTATGCTCACAGGACAGAGAGAAGAAACTCTGGTCTCTTCATCCCCTAATAAGGAAACTAATCCCATTCACAAGGGCTCCACCCTCATGACCTAATTCCCTCAAAGGCCCCACCTCCAAATACTATCACATGGGGAATTTAGGCTTCAACATATAAATTGGAGTGTCAGGAGGAGCATAAACATTCAGTCCATAGTATTATTGAAATAAAGAATTATAAATTTTAAGCTGGATATGGAAGGAAATGAAGAAAAGAGTGAACTATTAAGTTAGGAAAAGCAAATGGTAAATGAAATACAGGTCTCTGTGTCGTGAAAGAACTACTTGGAGATAACAGTGGCAAATAAATTGTCTCAAAAAGACAAAGGGTGAACTCAGAGTAAAGGCTAGTTTAATAGCTGACCTTTTTTAAAAAATTATACTTTAAGTTCTAGGATACATGTGCAGAACGTGCAGGTTTGTTACATAGGTATACACGTGCCATGGTGGTTTGCTGCACCCATCGACCCATCATCTACATTAGGTATTTCTCCTAATGCTATCCCTCCCCTAGCCCCCAACCCCCTGCCAGGCCCCAGTGTGTGATGTTCCCCTCCCTGTGTCCATGTGTTCTCATTGTTCAACTTCCACTTATGAGTGAGAACATGTGGTGTTTGGTTTTCTGTTCCTGTGTTAGTTTGCTGAGAATGATGATTTCCAAATAGTTGACTTTTTTTTTTTTTTCTTCTGAGACGGAGTCTTGCTCTGTCACCCAGGCTGGAGTGCAGTGGCATGATCTCAGCTCACTGCAAGCTCTGACTCATGGGTTTACACCATTCTCCTGCCTCAGCCTCCCAAGTAGGTGGGACTGCAGGTGCCCGCCACCACGCCTGGGTAATTTTTTTGTATTTTTAGTAGAGACAGAGTTTCACCGTGTTAGCCAGGATGGTCTCGATCCCCTGACCTTGTGATCCACCCACCTTGACCTCCCAAAGTGCTGGGATTACAGGTGTGAGCCACCATAACTGGCCCCAAATAGTTGACTTTTAAGCTTGAGCTCTTATAGTTGTTATGTGCTGAATTGTGTCCCTTCAGAAAAAAATTCATATATTGAAGTCCTAACCCTCAATACTTCAGAATGTGACTGATAGATCTTTGGGGATAGATCTTTAAAAGAGATAAGTTAAAACAGGGTTGTTAGGGTGGGCCCTTAATCCAATATGATTGATGTCTTTATAAGAAAAGGGGATTAAGACACAGACAACACAAACATAGAGATGACCATGTGAGAACACAGCAAGAAACAGCTGTCTGCAAGCCAAGCAGTGGTCTCATAAGAAACTAAATCTACCAACACCTTGATTTGGGGCTTCTAGCCTCCAGAATTGTAAGGAAAGAAATTATGTTGTTTAAGCCATCCACTTTGTTGTATTTTGTTATGGTAGGTCTAGCAAACAAAAACACAGTAATAAGTATCCAGTGGGTAGCTGTGAAAGTGTGTGGGCAAACTATAAAAATCATGGAAGATGAGGGAGTCAAGAAGTTCAGAGTCTGATGCTGTTTGATCGATTATCCACATGGTTAATATCTAATATGGTTTGGCTGTGTCCCCACCCAAGTTTCATCTTGAATTGTAGCCCCCACAATTCCCACATGTCATGGGAGGGACCTGGTGGAAGGTAATCGGATCATTGGGGCAGGTCTTTCCTGTGCTGTTTTCATGACAGTGAATAAGTCTCACAAGATCTGACAGATTTATAAAGAGGAGTTCCCCTTCACAAGACTTCTTCTTGCCTGCCGCCATGTAAGACATCCCTTAGCTCTTCCTTTGTCTTCCACCATGATTGTGAGGCCTCCCCAGCCATGAGGAACTGTGAGTCCATTAAACCTCTTTTTATTTATAAATTACCCAGTCTTGGGTATGTCTTTATCAGTAGTGTGAAAACAGACTAATACAATTTCATTCAGAATACTTGTTTGCACTTTTACTAGAGAGAAAGACAACCATATTCTTAAAATTCAAATAAAGAAACAGGATCAACCAGGTAGTCAGAAGATGATAGCAATGTAGAAAGAAAAGATGTTATAGGTGAATGACAAGAGCCTCAAAGAAAGAGAGTTTATATTTTATGATTTTCTTTCTTTTTTAAAAAACTTCATTGTATGTGGTAAAAACAACATTTGATCTATCCCAGAGAAAGTTCCATATCACTTGAGAAGAATGTGTATTCTACAGCTGTCGGTGGACTGCTCTGAACACATCTGTTAGGGCTATTTGGCCTATGGTGTTATACAGGTCTTCTGGGGTTTTGTTTGTTTGTTTGTTTGTTTTGAGCTGGGGTCTTACTCTCACCCAGGCTGGAGGGTGGTGGTGTGACCTCAGCTCACTGAAACCTCTGCCTCCCGGGTTCAAGCGATTCTCCCACCTCAGCCTCCCCAGTAGCTGGGACTATAGGCATGCCACCACAAAGCTAATTTTTGTATTTTTTTTTTTTTGGTAGAGACAGGGTTTCACCATGTTGACCAGGCTTGTCTCAAACTCCTGACCTCAGGTGATCTGCCTGCCTCAGCCTCCCAGAGTGCTGAGATTATAGGCATGAGGCACTGCGCCCTGCCTCTGTTTCTTTATTGATTTTCGATCTATATGTTTTATCCATTATTAGAAGTGGGATACTGAAATCTGCTATCATTGTATTACTGTCTATTTCTCCCTTCATCTTTCTCAATGTTTGCTTTATATATTTAGGTGCTCTGAGGTGGGATGTATATATATTCATAATTGTTATATCTTTCTGGTGGACTTATCTTTTATTATTATAAGATGTTATTCTTTGTATCTTATGATAGTTTTTTATGTAAAGTCTATGTTGTCTCATATAAATAGAGCAATCCCTGCTCATGTTTGGTTACCATTTGCATGGAATGTCTTTTTTCATCTCTTCACTTTCAACCAAGTTGGGTCTTATTTTTTTTATTCATTCAGCTTCTCTATGTCTTTAGATTGTGGAGTTTAATCCATATACATTTAAAATAATTATTGATAGGGAAGGATTTACTATTGTTGTCTTGTTCATTATTTCCTATTAGTCTGTAGGTCTTTTGTCTGTCTTTTGTCTATTGCTGTCTTCTTTTGTGTTTGTCATTTAAGGCAAAGAAGATCAAGTTCAAAAGCATATTACATGAAACAGTGAAGAACAAAGAAGATACAGAGGAAGAGATGCCTAGGTTGTACAATCAATAAGTCTTCCTGAACTACTGAAGGGCAAGGTGGTTAGAGGCAGGGACAAGGCTAGAATAGGGAGGAGGCAGAGCAAGATGGCTGATTAGAAGCCTCCACCAATTGACCTCCCCACAGGAACACCAAATTTAACAACTATCTACACACACACAAAAACACCTTGCTAAGAATCAAAAATCAGGTGAGTGATGACAATACTTGGTTTTAACTTTACATCACTGAAAGAGGCACTGCAGAGGGTAGGAAAGACAGTCTTGAATTGCTGACACCACTCTGGTGGCTGTGTGGCATGAAGAGATAATCTGGGTACTTGGGGGAAGGACAGAGCAATAACTGTGAGACTGCATCAGAACACAGTGCTGCCTGTCACAACAGAAAGCAGCTTTGGGCACAACTCAGCCAGTGCCCACAGACAGAGTATTTAGACCAGCCCGAGTCAGAGGGGAATGGTTCAGCCCAGTAGTCAGAACCTGAGTTCTGGTAAGCCTCACCACCATAGCCTAAAGTGCTCTGCGATCCTAAATAAACTTGAAAGGCAGTCTAGGCCATAAGGACTGCAATTCCTAGACAAGTCCTGGTGCTGTACTGGGCTCAGAGCCAGTGGATTTTGGAGGGCATGCAATATAGTGAGACACCAGCCTGGGTGGCCAAGAGAGTGTCTGTGCCACCTCTTGCCCAACCCCAGGCAGCACAGCTCGCAGCTCTGGGAGATAATTCTCCCATCTGCTTAAGGAGAGGAGGGGGAAAAATAAAGAGGACTTGGTCTTGCAACTTGGATACCAGCTAAGCTACAGTAGGTAGGGCACCAGGAAGAGTTGTGAGGCCCCTATTCCAGGCCCTAGGTCCCAGATGATATCTCCAGACACACCCTGGGACAGCAGGGAACCCATCCCCTTGAAGAGAAGGACTCAATCCTGGCAGGATTCATCACCTGCTGACTAAAGAGCGCTTGGGCCCCGAATAATCAACAGTGATGGCCAGGTAGTACACACTGTGGGCCTTGGATGAGACTCTGGGACAAGCTGGTTTTAAGTATGACCCAGCACATTCCCAACTGTGGTGGCTATGAGGAAGGACTCCTTCTGCTTGAGAAGTACGGAGAGGGAAGAGTCAAGGGTATTTTGTCTTGCAGTTTAGGTACCAGCTTGGGCACAGTGGAATAGAGCACTAAGTGGGCACCTGGGGCTCCCAATTTCAAGCCTTAGCTCTTGGACACCATTTCTGGTCCTGGGCCAGAGGAAAGCCCACTGTCCTGAAGGGAAAGACTCAGGACTGCCAGCATTCGCCACAAGCTGACTGAAGAGCCCTTGGGCCTTGAGTGAGAATCAGCAATAGCCAGGGAGTACTTGCCACAGGTCTGGGGTAGTGGCAGCCTTGGGAAGAGACTTCTCTGCTTGTGGAAAAGGGAGGGAAGAATGGGAAGGACTGCATTTCATGGTTGGAGTGCCAGTTCAGCCACAGTAGAATAGAACACCAGGCAAATTCCTAAGGTTTCTGACTCCAGGCCCTGACTCCCAGACAGCATCCCTGGACCTGCCTGACGATCTCACCACCCTGAAGGGAATACAAGCCTGGCTGGCTTCACCACCTGCTGACTGTAGAGACCTAGGGACTTGAGCAAACATAGGCAGTAGCCAGGGAGTGGTTACCACAGGCCTTGGGCAAGACTCGGTGCTATTCTGGCTTCAGGACTGACCCAGCACAGTCCCAGTTGTGGGAACTTGCTTATTAGTTTGTTTATAAAATCAGTGTTAAGTTGTCATCAGTTAAAATAACAGGTTATAAGATATTATTTGCAATCCTGATAGTAACTTCAATGAAAAAAACATACAATGGATATACAAGAAATTTAAAACATACCACCAGAGAAAATCACCGTCACTAAAACGTAGATAAGAAGGAAGGAGAGAAGAAAGAGAAGACCACAAATCAACCAGAAAACAAATAACAAAATGGCAAAAGTAAGTCCTTACTTATCAACAATAGCATTGAAAGTAAATGGACTAAACTCTCTAAACAAAAGAAATGAGATGGCTGAATGGATTTAAAAAACAAGACTCAGTGATCTGTTGCCTACAAGAAACACACCTCATCTATAAAGACACATATAGACTGAAAGTAAAGGAACAGAAAGATGTTCCATGCAAACAGAAATCAAAATAGAGTAGAAATAATTACACTTACATCAGACAAAAATAGATTTTAAGACATAGAAGGTCATTATATAATGATAAAGAGGTCAATTCAGTAAAAGGATATAACAATTGTAAATATATATGCATCCAATGCTGGAGAACTCAGATATATAAGCCAAATATTATTAGAGCTAAAGAAAGAGATCAACCCCAATACAACAATAGCTGGAGATTCTAACACCCAACTGTCAACACTGGACAGATCATCCAGGCAGAAAATGAACAAGGAAACATTGGACTTAATCTGCACTATAGACCAAATTGACCTAATAGATATTTATAGAACTTTTTATCCAATGGCTGCAGAATACACATTATTCTCCTCAGCATATGGATAATTCTTAAGAACAGACCATATGTTAGTCCACAAAACAAGTCTTAAAACATTCCAAAAATTGAAATTATATCAAGTATCTTCTCTGACCACAATGGAATAAAATTAGAAATCAATAAAAAGGAATTTTGGAAACTACATGAACTCACAGGAATTAAACAATATGTTCCTGAATGACCAGTGGGTCAATGAAGAAATTAAGAAGAAAATTTAAAAATGTCTTGAAACAAATGACAGTAGAAACACAACATACCAAAACCTATGGTATACGGTGAAAGCAGTACTAAGAGAAAAGTTTATAGCTATAAGCAACTACATCAAAAAAGATAGAAAAACCTCAAATAACTAATGGCATATCTTAAAGAACTAAAAAAGCAAGTGCAAACCAAACTCAAAATTAGTAGAAGAAAATAAATGAAAAAGATCAGAACAAAATTAAATGAAATTGAAAGAAAACAAAAGATCAACAAATTAAAAAGTTGTTTTTTTCAAAAGATAAATTGACAAACCTTTAGCCAGACTAACAAAATAAGAGAGAGAAGCCTAAAATATATGAAATCAAAGATGAAAAAGGAGACATTACAACTGATACCACAGAAATTCAAAGGATCAGTAGAGGCTACTATGAGCAACTTTATGCAAGTAAATTTTAAAACCTTGAAGAAATAGTAAAATTCCTAGACACATACAACCTACCAAGACTGAACCATGAAGAAATTCAAAACGTGAACAGACCAATTATGAGTAATGAGATCAAAGCCATAATAAAAAAATTATCCTAGCAAAGAAAAGCCTGGGACCCAATGGCTTCACTGTTGAATTCTACCAAACATTTAAGAATACCAATCATGCTCAAACTATTATGAAAAATGAGGAGAAGGGAATACTTCCAAACTCATTCAACAAGGCCAGTACTACCCTAATACCAAAGCCAGACAAAGGCACATCATAAAAAGAAAACTATAGGCCACTATCACAGATGAATATTGATGCAAAACCTCAACAAAATACTAGCAAACTGAATTCAACAACACATTAAAAAGATCATTCATCATGGCCAAGTGGGAATTATCCCAGGGATGCAAGGATGGTTCAACATATGCAAATCAATCAATGTGGTACATCATATCAACAGAATGAAGGACAAAAATCACACCACCATTTCAATTGATGCTGAAAATGCACTTGATAAAATTCAACATCCCATCATGACAAAAATTCTCAAAAGACTGGGTAGAGAAGGAATATACCTCAACACAATAAAACCCATATATGACAGACCTATAGCTAGTATCATACTGAATGAAGAAATACAGAAAGCCTTTCCTCTAAGATCTGAAACACAACAAAGATGCCCACTGTTACTGCTGTTATTCAACATAGTACTGGAAGTTCTAGATAGAGTAATCAGATAAGAAAGAAATAAAGGGCATCCAAACTAGAAAGAAAGAAGTCAAATTATCCTTGTTTGCAGATTATATGATCTTATATTTGGTAAAATCTAAAGACGCCACCAAAAAACTATTAGAACTGGTAAACAAATTTGGTAAAGTTGCAGGATACAAAATCAACACACAAAAATCAATAGCATTTCTATACACCAACAGCAAACAATCTGAAAAAGAAATCAAAAAAGTAATCACACTTATAATAGCTACAAATAAAATAAAATACATAGAGATTAACTTAACCAAAGAAGTGAAAGATTTCTACAATGACAACTATAAAATATGGATGAAAGAAATTGAAGAGGAACAAAAAAAGGAAAGATATTCCATATTCATATATTGGAAGAATCAATATTGTTAAAATGTCCATAGTATCTAAAGCAATCTACAAATTCAATGCAATGCCTATCAAAATAGCAATCACATTCTTCATACACATAGAAAAAAAATCCTAAAATTTATACAGAATCACAAAAGACTCAGAATAGACAAAGCTATGCTGAACAGAAAGAACAAAGCTGGAGAAATCACATTAGCTGACTTCAAGTTATACTACAGAGATACAGGAACCAAAACAGCATGGTACTGACATAAAAACAGAAACACAGACCAATAGAACAGAATACAGAATGCAAAAACAAATCCATACATCTACGATGAGCTCATTTTTGACAAAGATGCCAAGAACGTACATTGCACAAAGAGCAGTCTCTTTAATAAACAGTTTTGGAAAAACTGGATATCCATATGCAGAAGAATAAAATGACCCCTATCTCTTGCTATATACAAAAATCAAATCAAAATGGATTAAAGACTTAAACTTAAGACCTCAAAACTATGAAACAATTAAAAGAAAACATTGGGGAAACTCTCCAGGACATTAGACTGGGCAAAGATTTCTTGAATAACACCCCACAAGCACAGGCAACCAAAGCGAAAATGGACAAATGGAATCACATCAACTTAAAAACCTTCTGCGCAGCAAAGGAAGACATCAATAAAGTGAAGAGAATTTCTTTTAATTCTCTTCATAAAGTGAATTAAATTCTCTAAATAAAGTGAAGAATATTTCTCTCACAGAATGAGAGAAAATATTTGCAAATTATCCATCTGACAAGGAATTAATAACCAGAATATATAAGGAGCCCAAACAACTCTATGGGGGAAAAAATCTACTAATCCAATTTTAAAATTGGGAAAAGTTCTGAAGAGACATTTCTGAAAAGAAGGCATGAGAATGGCAAACAGGTATATGAAAAGGTGCTCAACATCACGAATCATCAGAGAAATGCAAATAAAAACTATGATATATCATCTCATTCCTGTTAAAATGGCTTTTTTCCAAAAGACAGGCAATGCCAAATGCTGGCAAGAATGTGGAGTAAATTATACTGTTGGTAGGAATGTAAATTAGTACAACCACTATGGAGAACAGTTTGGGGTTCCTCAAAAAAACTAAAAATGGAGCTAACATATGATCCAGCAATCCCACTGCTAGGTATATACCCAAAAGAAAGGAAATCAGTATATTGAAGGAAATCAGTACATCTGTACTCCCATGTTTATTGCATCACTATTCACAATAGCCAAGATTTGAAAGCAACCTAAGTATCCATCAACAGATGAATGGATAAAGAAAATGTAGTACATATACACAATGTGTACTCTTCAGCCATAAAAAAGAATGAAATCCTATGATTTGCAACAACCTGGATGGAACTGGAGGTTATTAAGTTAAGTGAAAAAAGCCAGGTACAGAAAGACAAACATCACATGGTCTCCCTTACTTGTGAGCTAACAATTAAAACAACTGAACTCATAGAGATGGCGAGTAGAATGATGGTCAACAGCAGCTTAGAAGGGTGGTGGGTGTGGCGGGGGGTGGGGTGCAAATTGGGGATGGTATATGAGTAAGAAAAAATACATAGAATGAATAAGATATAGTATTTATTAGCACAACCGGGAGATTATAGTCAATAATAACTTATTGCACATGTCAAAATAACTAAAAGAGTATGAGTGGATTGTTTGTAACACAAAGGATAAATGCTTGAGGTGACGGATATCCCATTTACCCTCATATGATTATTATGCATTATATGCCTTATCAAAATATCTCATGTACCCCATAAATACATATATCTACCATGTATCCACAAAAATTACAAATAATAATAATAAAGACCAGAATAACTCTCAAGATTCTGGCTTTAGTGACAGGGAAAATGAAGTCCAAGAATAATACGGGAGGAAGAACATGTCTTAGAGAAACTATAATGAACTCCATTTAGATACCTCAAAATTGTCTTCACAAAAATAAAAGATCACCAAGTTCTGTCAATTCTCTCTTCTAAATATCTCTTGTCTGCACAGTCTTTCATGCTCTAGTCACATCACAGCTGCCCAATAGATCCACCTGCCCCTGACCTGGCTCCCTTGTATCTTCTCCACACTGCTGCCAAAGTGAACATGGTAGTAGCCATGGCAGACAGAATGGCTCTGTGTGTACATGGGACGCACCCTTACCAGAACCACTCAAAGCCATCAGGCAGAAGCTTAATACGTTATGCTCAGATATGAGATCTGATATTTCAGCTGGTAAGGGCTAAGACCTATTGCAATTTGGACAATTAAAGTCTGTAGCAGGTCAGTTACATACAGTAATTTACTTTTTACTTTAGTAATTTGCAAATGACATTAGAAATACAAGTGCTAGCAAGCAGCACTGCCCAAAATGACTTTTAAATTATGCTGAGTGTTTTGGTCTTGTACGTTACAGGATGTTTGTCCCCTCCAAATCTCATGTTGGAATTTGATCTCTAATGTTAGACATGGGGCCTAATGGGAGGTGTTTGGGTCTTGCGGGTGGATGCCTCATGAATAGATTGATGATTTCCCTAGGTGGGGAAGGGGGTGGGTTCTTGTTCTATTCATTCCCAGGAGAGCTGGTTATTAAAAAGAGCCTGGCACCTCCCCACTCCCTCTTTTGTTTGTTTGTTTGTGATAGGGTCTCACTCTTGACACCCAAGCTGGATGGAGCGCAGTGGCACGATCTTGGCACACTGCAGCCTCAAGCGATCCTCCCACCTCAACCTCCCGAGTAGCTGGGACTAGAGGCATGCACCACCATACCTGGCTAATTTTTGTATTTTTTGTAGAGACAGGGTTTCACTATGTTGCCCAAGCTTGTCTCAACTGCTGCACTCAAGTGATCTACTTGCCTTGGCCTCCCAAAGTGCTGGGATTACAGGCGTGAGCCACCGCGCCTGATCTCCCCACTCTCCCTCTTGCTTCCTCTCTCACCACATGATCTCTATACAGGCTAACTCCTTTTCACCTTCTGACATGACTACAAGCCCGTGAGGCCCTCACCAGAAGAAGATGCTGGCACCATGCTTCTCGTATAGCCTGCAAAGCCATGAGCCAAATTGCCCAGCCTCAAGTATTCCTTTATAGCCATACAAATAAACTAAAAATTACTTTTAATTTTTTTAAACTTATTTTGAAATAAGTATAGATTTACAGGAAGTTGAAAAGATAGTACAGAGAGGTATCACATACCCTTCACTCAGTTTCTACCACTGGTTACATGTTATGCAACTATACACAACCACCCAGGACATTGACATTAGTATAGAATGTGTGTACAGCTCTACAGCATTTTTTCATATGTATAGATTTATGTAAGCATCATGACAATTAAGACACAAAACTATACCATCACCACAAAGGTCTCCTTCAAGCTACTTCTTTAATGTCACACCTACTCCCCTCCCACTCACCACCCCAACCCCTGCCAAATGTTGGTTGATCTTTTTAACTTTGTATCTAGGGAAGTGAATGAAGGATGCACATAATATTATATGTTGTGATATAAACATTCATGCTTTCTCACAGAGCTTCCTTTGCAGCTATCACTCCCCTCACCTGAACCATCTGTAGCTATCTCTTATTCATTTGGTCATATCCTACCAATTTCTCAAAATCAAGGTACAATAATACAAAATAATAACTTAATTTTAACTTCTTCCTTTCTTGATAGTTCCCTGCTCTAAATTCACAACACACATTCTCTATACCAGGGGTGTCCAATCTTTTTGCTTCCCTGGGCCACACTGCAAAAAGAAGAATTGTCTTGGCCCACACATAAAATACACTAACACTAACAACAGCTGACGAGCTAAAAAAAAAAATTGCAAAATATCTCATAAAGTTTTAAGAAAGTTTATGAATTTGTGTTGCGCCTCATTCAAAGCCCACATGCATGCAGCCCACAGGCTATGGGATGGACAAGCTTGGTCTACACCATTGATATTTTAGTCACCAATTCCTTTGTGAAACCTTATTATTCAATGATAAGGTATATTTAACTTTTTAAATGTATAGTTTTTTCTCCTTGAGAGACTACTTTGTACTGCTTATTTAATCCACTACAGTGCCTAGAAAAGATAGAAACAATGAGTATTTGTTGACTAACTTCAAAAAGCATTTTGTAGATAATACTAATATATTTTATGGCCCTTTTATTTAGAAAAGCTTAAAGTGGATTACCAACGTTACTCCAATAATCCTGATGGCACTTCTATGCAATTCATCAGTATTATCATCTTGGCACCTGGCACAGCACTTGGTTTAGACAGTCAATCAATATTTAGATGACTGAATTCTCATATGCTCACATTTAGTAAAACTGGAGACATTAAAAGAGATTAGTAATCAATACCGAATTACCAATTGCTAAGAAAGAAGAAATAAAAGGATAGAAGAGAAAATAGATGTGGATTGAGGGCAGAGGAGAAGTAAAGAGATAAAGATGAGGAAAAGTACATTCAGACCTTAGAATTCAGCTTCTGATTGTTAGAGAGACTGACTGATCCAGGTGAAAGCATTTCGACATGCTGTGCCTGTGGCCAAAAGTCCCGTTGGAGCAAAGCCTGATATAACCCTGGTTTTTGAGAGAAGATCATGGTCAACTAATAAGCCCACGGAAGAGAAAGGAGGCAGTGAGGAGAGAGCAAGGCTCCTGAGTGATGCTCTACGGGCCAACCCCAGCAGCAGCCACCTGAGCTTTCTGTTGCCGCATCCCTGACCCTCACTGCAGGAACCAGGAGTGGGCTAAAAATTCCACCTGCTATTTTCTATCTACAAGATAGTTTCACTATGTAGTAATTGAGATTCAAACAGGAAGACAAATAATAATGACTTACATGAGACATGGGAGACCACATTAACTGACACACAGGTCCAGGAGTATTAATATAACCAATCGGCTTATAATCCCTTTCCACTTCAAAGAAGAAAACAGTTTGATCTTTACTCTAAGGAAAAAGAGACACACCGACGAAATATATATTACTATGAAATCTAGCCTATAGATCACAAAAAAGCATGTAATAACATAACGCTATCTCTATCTACAATGGTCATATATCCCAGATTATTCTAGGAGAATTCTTATTTCTAAAACTTGCTCAATTTTCCCCATTAGAGCATTTGGAAAACCATGTGTTTCAGTATGTGGTTCTGAAAATATGATCACCATACTTTCAGAAATTCACACAAAAAAATTATACCATGCATATGCTCACCTATTAGTGCATAAAGAATTTACACAGTTATTCTCTTCATTTATGGCAATTCTATATAAGAACATAACTATGCTGAATAAAATACTGATTATAAATAATACAACTAGCATGGTCCCCAGTTGAAATTTTCAATTCACCTAAAATAAGCATTAGAATTCAATTTGTAAGAATATTTTTAAGTGTTATTCACATGCTCCAGCTCTCTTCTGATTAAAAAGAGGGTTATTCACAGACTACGCTGAAAGAATATGACTACAAAGAAAGCAAAATGTGAATATATTGATAGAAAATGAATTTCAGTAAATAAGACATGATGAAGTAGGAGGACTTATAAGGCAATTTAACTATAAAATTTCAACAAGAAAAGAAAGGAAATGTACTGCTTACCCCTGTGGCTAGAATTTCCCCATCACGTTCATAAGCTAAAGCAGTGACACAAGCAGTATGGGGTTTGAAAACCTGTTTCAACTGAATATCAGCATCCAAAATTTTCTTCCGTCCCGCAAAAATCGTGAGCCCTTTTGGATCATAAAGTTCAAGAATTCGAACAACTCCATCTTCAAATCCTACAATAATTTGTGCTCCAGTGAAGTTTACCTTGGAGAAAATTAAAGATAAGGGACCTGAAACTAGTTAAATTGAGAAAGTTGTACTATATAACAGATATTTTATTTAGACTCAGGTAATTTAATATTGGCTGCCCATTGGCAATTCTTTATATCACTTTCTGGTAACCTCTATCCATTCCAGCATAGTTCCTTATAACCAATGACCACAGGAAGGATAAACAACATTAATTCAAACACTGAATGAACAAACAGCAGAGTGTCTGCCTACCACATGCTAAGCACCTATCATCAGCAACTCAGTGGTGAATATAAACCAACTCAGTGCTTGGTTTCACAGAGTTTTGGTCTAGTGAAAGGTGCAGACATTAATCACATAAATGAGTGTGAAATTGTGAACTGAAATAAGTGCTAAAAGAAAGAAATGTATTCTCTGAGAGCATATAACAAAGAAGGCTGACCTCGACTTATGGCTTCCCTAAGAAAGAGATGGTGGAGCTGATAACAAAAGGATGTTCAGGAATTAGCTAGGTACAGGAAGGTGGCACAAGCACTCCTAAGAGAGAATTTAACTTGTGCAGAAGTCCTGTGGCAGGAAATAACAGAACTCAAGAAAAAGTTATAGTCTGACTAGAGTAAGAGAACAATGTTTCCCCAGGAGGCTGGAGAGGAAGAGAGGCAGGCCAGGCAGCAGATCATAAAATGGCTTCCATGTCACAATAAGAAAAGCCTTCATCCCAGAGCAGTGGAAAGCCATCAAAGTGTTTTTAGTTGGGTTCCAGGGGGAAGTGGTAGTGACATGGTCAGATTTGCTCATTTTAAAATGACATCCTAGCTGCAGTATGGAAAATAGATATGAGGTGGTTTGGATAGGATGCTGGGAGAACTTTTGAAAGATCTTTTAAGATGGCTTCTACACTTCAGGGGAACTATTGGTCTGAGGTAATGTAGTGAAGATGAGGGATATGAACATATTTTAGGAAGAGGTGTAATGGCCCTACTTGGTATTACTGGATATGGGGAATGAAGCAGAGGGAGGAGTCAAGGATGACTGATAATGGCACTAACTGTGACAGAAAACACTGGAAGGGAGCCAGGTGTGTGTGTGGTTTGTAGTTGCTATTGTTGATTTAGAGAGAGGGATGATTGGGGATGTGCAGAAGATCATGGACTTAGTTTTGGAAACACGGAGTTCGAGGTCCCCTTGAGATTTTAAAATAAAGATATCATAGTCTGCAGCTTAGAGGAAAAGTCTCAGCTAGACATGTAAACCTACCAATGTTGGAATGTACCAAATCTACTGTCTTGGAAGAGCCTGGGCATCCTGTAGAGCTCAGTGACCATCAGTTATGAGAATTTAGGGAATAAAAAAGCTGTACACCATTCAACTTCAGTTGAATGTTGTTTATCCAATAAAAATTTACTACGTGTCTAAATGTACCAGTAACTATAGAGGCACTGGAGATGCAAAGAAGAATAAGGCATGGTTGTCACCATGAAAAACAGTCTAGTGGGAAGACAATAAAGCACATAATCTTAGTATGCTCTGATAAATGCTGTAAGAGATATACACACAAGCACTAAGGGGAAGAAAATCACAGAGGAAGGAGGCCCTAACTCTACTTGAAGGTAGATTCATGGAGGGCTATGCAGAGATGATGTCTGACCTGAGCTGAGTCATAAAAACTGATGTGTAGCCTTCCAGAAAGGCAAGGGGGTATGGAGAAGGGACATTTTAATTGTAGCTTAAAATCCATATGATCATTACTCGAATATAAGCCTAAAAAAGGAAACATGCTGTGAACATTACACGATCATCTGAATAAACAATTCAATTACCTGGATTGTAGTTTTAAGACTTCAGTTAAGAGTGTAACTAGATTAGGATAGTGAGTGAGCTAGGTCTGCCAATCTAAATGCTCTGTCATTTCTACTTACTCTAGCCTCATCATGAAGATGGCTCTCTTCCCTGGACTAAGTTCTCTTTCTGATCTTGATCCCATCATGAAATTCCCCCTAATTCCAATTATATCCAAATTTACTTTTAGCCTGGAATATTTTCTCTTTAATTTCAACCCAAAATAGTAAAGATTAAATATTTCCCCAAATACTTCCATGGCATTTTAAAAATATGGCTGCAAATCTTTGATGGGCCTCCCATGGACAGATGGGGTTTAAGTTCCCTCCTCTTGATTCTGTATGGGGCTTGTGACTGTGTGACTGCTTCACCCAATCAAGTATGGTAGAAGTGATATTTTGACTTCTGGGGAATGGGCCATAAAAGGTCATCAGCTTCTGCCTTTACAGTTGGAACACTAGATCTTGGAGCCCTGAGCTACCATGTAAAAAGTGTGTGACTGTCCTGAGGCTTCCATGTTCTGATGAAACCTAAGCCACATGGAGAGGGTGTTAGGTATAAACACTCCAGTTGGCAGTCCCAGCTTAGCCTAGCCTTCAAGTCATCCAACCCAGGTGACAGCCTTGTGATCAAGAAGCCTTTGGATTATTCCAGGCCCAGCCATTCATGTCTTCCCAGCTGAGTTCCCAGACACTCTGAAGCAGAGACAATCCATCTCTGCTGTCACCCGAATCCCAACACAAAGACTACATGAGCAAAATAAAATGATTATTTTATGCCACTACATTTTGAGATAGTTTATTACACAGCAATTGATAAATGGAACAACTCCCTATCTCAGCCTAATTTTTTTCTATAGTTCTTATAATTATCTAACATAACATGTACTTAACTTACTTATTTTGACTACTATCTGCCTCTGCCTCCCTCCCACTAAAGCGTAAGGTCCATGAGGGGCAAGTATTTTTTGTCTTTTTATTCACTGCTATATTCCCAGAATCTAAAACAAGGCCTGGCACATTGTCGGCACTCTGTAAATATTAATAGAATGAATGAAATCAGAGTCAGATGGATCGAGGCTAGATACACAAAGTTCTGTTGGGAAATTGCTTTGCAACATGAAACTGTTACAAATCTACAGGTGGCAAAAAATTTCACTAAAAACAAGACCAAACCCATAACAACAATCATGGTAAAGATTTCTATTACATTCTGACTAAAATAAACTAACTTAAAACTTTTATTATTCCTTAAAATTTTGAGTCAGCAAATATCTATATTTCCAGAAAATAGCATTGATATACCATATTTACCAATAGATTCTGGTAGTTCATTATAACAACAAACTTACCATTCGGGGTACCCAAACAAGGGCAGTACCTCCTTGTTTGAATTTCATCTGGGCCAAAGGAGTTTTGCTAGCAAAATCATAGATTCGAACAGAGCCTATAGAAAGACAGTTTTAAAAGAAAAAAAATTATATACATAATTTTTTTAAGTCTTGGCTCACTTTTTACATGTTGAATATTATAACAAGAAATTTCTTAACTAAATCAGTCAATAACTTTCTTTTGTAAAAAATTTCAGGTACAACCTCAAACAGGTAATTCATAAACATGAATAATAAAGAAGAAAACAGATGATTGACTGCTGGGTCAATTTCACCTTGCATAGTCCATATAGATTTGCCATAAGTTAAGAAGGAAGAAAGGAGACGGAAAGAATAGAAAAAACACAAATGTGGACAATATCAAAACGAGCAGCATTTTCATGAGCAATTTACAGATTTTGTCCTTCTTTTAATCTCTCACAATAACCATGGCTGCTGTGTTTTGTGGCCTCTCCTCTCCACAGCTCAACTCGCTTGCATTCAAGAGGCTCCCCTTTTGGGAAAATCCCCAAATGCTCTTAAGTCAAACACATATAAAAATTTTATTGCAAATAAAACAAAACAAGGCCAGACATATTTTTATTAAGAGTTCCTACTTACAGTCCAAGGCAGTTGTGGCCATGAGATAAGTGAGAGGAGAAACAGCCACGGCTTCAATAGCTCCAGAATGGAAGGAGAAGAGGCATTCTGGGTCCTGGGTCTGAGAATAGATAGACAGCTTACTAGATCTCAAAGACAGAGTAACAAAGAATTAAGATCAAGTTTAAAAAAATGCAAAGATAAAAATATAACACATGTGATTTTATTTGGATAGAAATAAGAAAAAGCCTAAAAAGTTAGAAAGAACACTGGTTCAGAATTAGGAGAACCAGATAGAGTCCTGGGCTTTGTCCTTAATGGCTGTGTGATTTTGCGCAAGTCACCTCAAATGCCAGTTTCCATTTCTTCATCTGTAAAATGAGATGGTAACAGCTGCTTGTCTACTAAATAGGGTAGTGATGAGGATCACATGAGATAAAATACATGAAAATTCTATATATTTATAAAAACTATAAAGTACTATATAATGTTAGGTATTGACACGGCCACTTTTCTGGTAAATTGTGTTATGAGATAGATTCTTTTTTATGTAAAATCATAACGAGAGAGAGAATTCTCAAGAGTAGCACATGTTAGGCAAGTTTTTTATGAGGACCATGATGAAATATGGAGAAAGATAAAGAATACTTTAAAGACAAATAACAAAAGTTTTTACTATGAAAGTTAGGAGAAAATAAGAATAATAGGCAACTTACAATATTTGAAAAACTAAGGTCAAGCTTCCATATGGCTCCATTGGCATCCTAAAAAAATTAAATAGTATTTTGTTTTATCATTTTAAACTTTCATCAGATTTTTTAAATGTTCTTTCTATGTTTTATTAAAGTAAGGACAAGCAATAATATCAAAAGCTCACATATATTTTAAAGTATAATTGAAATTTAATAAAAACAACTTCTATATTTTAGACTAAAGCCACACAATAAGCAATCTCATAACACTTACAGTCAAATGGACTTGTAGCCAAATCAATCATACTACTACTTTAATTTTTGGTCCATGTAATGTTAAAGAGCCAAGAGACAAGAATGCAACACACCTGAGCCAACCAAAAGTTATTTCCAGTTTCATTCATTTTTATCATAGAGAAGAGATTCACATTCTTGTCTACTTGAAGTTCATTAATAGGCTCAATCTCCAACAATCCAGTCTCATCTATTACATCAGCAGTGTCTATTGTCTCAAAATCCCATATCTTGTAAAATGAAAAGAAAATACTTTAATCGATCAGTAGTTTCTGAACATTTATTTTCTAAGCCAGAAAAACCCTGATTTTTTTTTCAAAAGTCATTTCTTTTTCTTTCATGAAAAGTAACAATGAACAAGTGTGATAAGAACACCAGCCAAAACCTGACCCCTGAAATTTTACTCTGAACTGAGGTATGATAAGCTATTATAGTTTCCTTTATATTTATAAAGATTAGTGAGAAAGTACAGCCTTGCATAAGAATTCTAATTTATCCAAAACAAATTTTATTTCAAGGTTTCTATTAGGTCTCTTTTTACATAAAGTGGCCATAGGAGTATATGGTTCAGTTGTTCAGCAAGACATTATAATGAACCCTGTTTTCTACATACCAGCAGGCCCCTGGAAGGGGGAAATATACCTTCTTGCTTAATGACTCAAGCACTATCTCATTAGAAGCAAAGAATATAGATGTAGATAAAGTCTCCATTAGAAAATGTTTCTCTTCCTGAATATTAATATTTCACACTTTACTATCTCATTGGGAAAATCTGGCATTTCCCCAAGTGCATACCACCAAACATGTCTCAGTAAGTGAGACAGTAAATGTTACTATCTGACAGTGAGACAGTGAAGTGTAGATTGTTGTTCATTGGGAGAGGAGTCTAGAATACTATAGGAAGAGTGAAGGAGCACAGTTTTACCTCACGGTGGCAGGGAGGCTCAGCAGGACCTCCCCTGTGAGGGGCCAAAGCTCATTCTGGACAGTTCTGGCAACATACCCTGCCATGTGATCCTAGACTGAATAACTGA